>NC_000020.11:37829870-38132900 GCF_000001405.40 Homo sapiens | reverse complement strand
ACACACCCTGAGTCCCGAGCGCACCAGGCTCTTCCGGGACACTCGCTCAGCTCATCCTCCCACAGCCTTAGGAGTGCCTGTGCCACGCAGATCCAAACATCGAGGACCTGGGAGGTGGAGTGGCTCACGCGGGGTCACCCATTAGAAGAGGCAAAGGCAGGATTAGAACCAAGGCCCGTGGGAGTCCAAGTGCGTCCTCTACCCGCTGCTCAGTGTCCACTCTCCAGCTCCTCGCTGGGAACCCTGGAGCCACAGTGGGGAGTTCAGGGATCCGCCCAGCCATTCCCCCGCTGTGTGACCCCAAGCACATTCCTTCCCCTCTCTGTGCCTCTTGGAGTTGCAAGAGAGTTGGGAGGGGTGATTCTGCATCATGAGCACCCTCCTTTCTCCCCTTCTGCAGAGAAGAGCGTTCCTCTTTGCATCCTCTATGAGAAATACCGTGACTGCCTTACGGAGTCCAACCTCATCAAGGTGCGGGCCCTCCTCGTGGAGCCAGTTATCAACAGCTACCTGCTGGCTGAGAGGGACCTCTACCTGGAGAATCCAGAAATCAAGATCCGGGTAAGGGCAGGCTGGGCAAGGGGCAGGGTCCCAGGGCAGCTCAGCGCTGGGGAGAGGGCAGATCCCTACCCCCACCCCACACACCTGCATCCCTGCAAGCTCCAGACCTTTGGTGCCTTAGCGATCCTCAAATCCTAGCCTCATCGAAGAAAAGCATCATGAAGCCTAGAGAATTGGGGACTCGTAGCCTCTAGGAATGAATCTGAAAATCCCAGAGTGTTAGGGTCATGGAATTTGGGGATCTTAGAGTCATGAATCCTTCAAATGCTATACTACTAAGGCTGGAACCCCCAGGCACTGGGCACTGGTGGGGCAGGGTGGGGTGGGGGAGTGAAGGGCACAGACTAGAGTCTCACTGCCTGAATTTGTACCAGGGCAGCCCTGGGCATGTGAGTTTGCCCCTCTGTGCCTCAGTTTATTCATCTGTAACATGGGGTTAATAATAGCACTGAGGGGTGTTGTAAGAATTAAAAGCATATCCACAGGAAACACATAGAGCCATCCTCAGCACATGATAAGGGCTCACTGAAAGCTAACTATCCTTATCATCGCCATCATCATCATTATAGCCCTTCACTTAGAGGAGCCGCAGCCCACAACCCCTAAGGGCAACAATTACACTTAAATGGTAAACAGCAGAGGGAGCGGCAGTGAGCAGTGTGTCAGACATTCTGCTGGAAGCTTGCACATATTAGCTCAGTTAATCCTCACAAGAACCCTCAGTCAGGCATTTCTCTCCCATGAAGAATCCAAGGTGTACAGAGTGGGGAGTAACTTCCCCAGGTCACACAGTGAAGAAGAGGCAGAGATCAGCCTGGCTCAAAAGCCTGTGATCTTTCCCCTCCAGACCCTGGGACAAGGGAGGCACTTTGGACATCCCCTGGGTCACGTGGAGCCTCATTGCAGCTCCATGCAGGAGACCTGGGCCGGTAGCACAATCGGTGTTTTCCCGATGAAGAAACTGAGGCACAGAGGTGGGGGGAGGGGGGGTGATCGTGGCAGACCTGGGTACAGCTTTGTTCAGCAAATATTGGGCCAAATTGCAGTGAATGCAGACAGCCCAGCCTGGATCCCACCTGCCCTTGACATCTGCCCCATGCCCTCTTCCAGATCCTTGGGGAGCCCAAGCAGAAACGCAAGCTGGTGGCTGAGGTGTCCCTGCAGAACCCGCTCCCTGTGGCCCTGGAAGGCTGCACCTTCACTGTGGAGGGGGCCGGCCTGACTGAGGAGCAGAAGACGGTGGAGATGTAAGTGCTGGCTGCTCTAGCTTTGGGGCCTGGGGGAAGCGGGCAGATGCCGGTGGGGGTAGAGACTGTCCTTAGGTACCAAGCCCTGGCTGAAAATCCCCTCCTCTCATCTCCCACACAGCTGTGCCCACTCCCAGACACCCTGGGGCTAGAGTTCCCACCGTCACATTCTCTGTCAATGCTGACACCACCCATGCACAGATCTGCCACAGACCTCCACAGTGACATCATCCGTCAATAGGCGCTCACCTGCAGACACGTGCATCCTCACATAGACAGGTATCTGCCCTCCGAATGTCCACACATGAGCATGCACACACATATGCATGCGTGGGTGTTTCCACATAGATACGTAGCTGCACACATACATACGAGCACACACTTCTTTTTTACTTTTTTACTGTAATGTAACTTATATACAGTAAAAAGCACAGATCACCTATGTACAGCTCAATACATTTTCACACACACGGCTACCTGAGCCTATCCCCTTGTGCCCCTAAATGCACCATCTGCTTTTATGCACACGGACACACATGCGTGCACAGGCACTGTTCACTCTAGGAGGGCAGATTGTCCAGGCCCCGCAGAGGGCCGAGAATGAGGCCCATTCATGGACACGCTGTGCTGATCCTCGGAGGTCACGTGACTTCCTGGCTGGACCCCAGCATGCGGGAGCCAGGCCTTGGGCCCCTTTCCTCACCACCCCCTCTCTCCCTGCAGCCCAGACCCCGTGGAGGCAGGGGAGGAAGTTAAGGTGAGAATGGACCTGCTGCCGCTCCACATGGGCCTCCACAAGCTGGTGGTGAACTTCGAGAGCGACAAGCTGAAGGCTGTGAAGGGCTTCCGGAATGTCATCATTGGCCCCGCCTAAGGGACCCCTGCTCCCAGCCTGCTGAGAGCCCCCACCTTGATCCCAATCCTTATCCCAAGCTAGTGAGCAAAATATGCCCCTTCTTGGGCCCCAGACCCCAGGGCAGGGTGGGCAGCCTATGGGGGCTCTCGGAAATGGAATGTGCCCCTGGCCCATCTCAGCCTCCTGAGCCTGTGGGTCCCCACTCACCCCCTTTGCTGTGAGGAATGCTCTGTGCCAGAAACAGTGGGAGCCCTGACCTTGGCTGACTGGGGCTGGGGTGAGAGAGGAAAGACCTACATTCCCTCTCCTGCCCAGATGCCCTTTGGAAAGCCATTGACCACCCACCATATTGTTTGATCTACTTCATAGCTCCTTGGAGCAGGCAAAAAAGGGACAGCATGCCCCTTGGCTGGATCAGGGAATCCAGCTCCCTAGACTGCATCCCGTACCTCTTCCCATGACTGCACCCAGCTCCAGGGGCCCTTGGGACAGCCAGAGCTGGGTGGGGACAGTGATAGGCCCAAGGTCCCCTCCACATCCCAGCAGCCCAAGCTTAATAGCCCTCCCCCTCAACCTCACCATTGTGAAGCACCTACTATGTGCTGGGTGCCTCCCACACTTGCTGGGGCTCACGGGGCCTCCAACCCATTTAATCACCATGGGAAACTGTTGTGGGCGCTGCTTCCAGGATAAGGAGACTGAGGCTTAGAGAGAGGAGGCAGCCCCCTCCACACCAGTGGCCTCGTGGTTATTAGCAAGGCTGGGTAATGTGAAGGCCCAAGAGCAGAGTCTGGGCCTCTGACTCTGAGTCCACTGCTCCATTTATAACCCCAGCCTGACCTGAGACTGTCGGAGAGGCTGTCTGGGGCCTTTATCAAAAAAAGACTCAGCCAAGACAAGGAGGTAGAGAGGGGACTGGGGGACTGGGAGTCAGAGCCCTGGCTGGGTTCAGGTCCCACGTCTGGCCAGGCACTGCCTTCTCCTCTCTGGGCCTTTGTTTCCTTGTTGGTCAGAGGAGTGATTGAACCAGCTCATCTCCAAGGATCCTCTCCACTCCATGTTTGCAATGCTTTTATATGGCCCAGCCTTGTAAATAACCACAAGGTCCACTCCCTGCTCCACGAAGCCTTAAGCCATAGGCCCAGGATATTTCTGAGAGTGAAACCATGACTGTGACCACCTTCTGTCCCCAGCCCTGTCCTGGTTCCTTCCTATGCCCAGGTACCACCCTTCAGACCCCAGTTCTAGGGGAGAAGAGCCCTGGACACCCCTGCTCTACCCATGAGCCTGCCCGCTGCAATGCCTAGACTTCCCAACAGCCTTAGCTGCCAGTGCTGGTCACTAACCAACAAGGTTGGCACCCCAGCTACCCCTTCTTTGCAGGGCTAAGGCCCCCAAACATAGCCCCTGCCCCGGAGGAAGCTTGGGGAACCCATGAGTTGTCAGCTTTGACTTTATCTCCTGCTCTTTCTACATGACTGGGCCTCCCTTGGGCTGGAAGAATTGGGGATTCTCTATTGGAGGTGAGATCACAGCCTCCAGGGCCCCCCAAATCCCAGGGAAGGACTTGGAGAGAATCATGCTGTTGCATTTAGAACTTTCTGCTTTGCACAGGAAAGAGTCACACAATTAATCAACATGTATATTTTCTCTATACATAGAGCTCTATTTCTCTACGGTTTTATAAAAGCCTTGGGTTCCAACCAGGCAGTAGATGTGCTTCTGAACCGCAAGGAGCAAACACTGAAATAAAATAGTTTATTTTTCACACTCAAACTAGGTCTGGTCTGTTCCTTTATGAGTTTGGAGGGAGATGGGTAGGTGAGCTCGCTCACACCTGGACCCCCACTTCCTGCCTAGGAGTCTTTCCTGAGCCTCAGCCCTGTCCCTGCGTTTAAACTTTACTGGCATTCAAGGTCCTACACAGGCTGGCTCCATCTCCGGCCCCTTCCACCAACAGTCTGTTTTTGGGCCACAATTAACTTCCTGTATCCCCAGAACACCCTGCGTAGTTGTCTACCTCTTGGCTTTTGTGTATGTAGTTCCCTGAGCCTGGAGTGCCCCTCCTTTTCTTTCCCTGCTTGGCAAACTCCTACTCATCCTATAATGCTTAACACCAAAGTCACCTCTTCTGTGAAACCTTCCTTGATATCTTTTCGGGTCCCCAGAGTCCTGGAATATGGACCAATTCAAACATTTATCACAGTAAATTTTACTTCCACGTTGGCCTATCTGTCCCCTTCTCCATCCTATCTGAAGCCCTCGAGGCAGGGACCACGTATCTCTTAAATACACTAATAAATGCTGAATTGGTAAATGAATGTTTCCTAACTCAACTCCCACAAGACCTGTGCTGTCCCATAGAAATAATACATGAGCCACAAATGCAAGCCACATATGTAATTTAGAATTTTCTAGTGACCACATTGAAAACAGTAAAAAAGCCATAGGTGGAATTAGCTTTAATAATGTATTTTATTTAATCCAATATATCCAAAACATTATTTCAACATGTAATCAATATAAGAATTAGTAAGGTATTTGACCTTCTTATTTTTGTACTCAATCTTTGAAATGTGGTGTGTGTTTTATACTGACAGCAGGTCTCAATTTGAACTAGCTGCATTTCAAGTGCTCGGTAGCCAGTCTGGCTAGTACTGGATGAAGCAGGTCTAGACTGCGATTCCGTGGATGTGCAGACTTGGTCATTCATCTCATTCCCCACCATCGAAGCACTCATGAGTATCTGTTGAATGAATAGATGATGGGGACAGTCCCCACCCTTGGGAAGTCATGTAGAAAGACATGACATGCACATAAAAAATAAATCAAAATAAAAACATGACATCACGTGTTCTGGGTGCCGAATCCTTCTGTTCCTTGGACGCTACAACCTGGTGCTGGCTGGGTGGCTTGATAATTGTATCAGTGAGTCACCAGCTGGAAAACAGAAACCGCACTACTATTTCAGGCAGAGAGGGAGTTCATAGAGGAAGTTCATTCCAGAAGTATCCAAAGGGGCAGAGGAGCAGATGGGAGAAGGAGTGTGACCTAGAAATTGGGAAGCAGCTGCAAAGCCCACGAGCTGGCGCCCACAGCCCTAGAACCAACATAGCTGCTGGGAAATACAGAGCCTGCGGAAGCCACCTGAGGCTGCAGCCAGAGGCAGGCTGGCATCTCCCCTCCTCAGGCCTCTTTCCCACTGGCAGATCCCAACCTGAAACCGGCTGGGAAGCAGCTCTGGAAAATGTCATTTTCCAACTTCCAGCCCCCTGAAATACAGAGAGGGTAAGCAAGGGCAAGGATGGAGTAGTTGGGACCTATTGCCATTCCCTGTGCTAAAAACACTTTTACTATCCTCTCTACCTAATGAACTCTTACTCAACCTGCAAAACCCTGCCCCAAGGAGGCCTCCTTTGTGAAGCCTTCCTGGACTGCAGCCAACTGCCTTGACCTCCCCAGACCTTTACGATACTGGATACTCGGCAGCCTTAGTTAGGAATAGCAGTTTCTGTGCCTGTCCCTTCTTCCGGAGCACCCTGAGGGCAGGGTCAGGGCACAGCCCCAACAAGGGCTGCCAACTCTGGCTTCCAGGCCTGAACAGCCTCCCGGCTATACAGCAGGGGCAGGGCTGCTCCAGCCAGGGCTGCTGACACTGGGCAGGTGCACAGGCCTCCCTGATCAGCCCCCAAGCCTGCCCCACTCCGGGGAGCCCACTAGCCAGGAACCCAGGAAGGGGAAGGATACTGACTCTTTGGGGCACATATGTCCATTTTACAGACAGAGAAAATGAGCCTGAGGCCTTGCCCCTCAAACCCCATGTGAGGGCTGAGTCTGGGCCCCACAAGGACAGTGCTGGGCACTGCTCTTTGGCAGGTCAGGGCTGCCAATCCCCACCCAAGCTCTGCTCATAGCTTGGTGCCAGGGGCCTGGACTCCGGATCAGAGCTGGCTCTGCCACAGACTCACAGTGTGGCTTCAGGCAGGTTGTCACCCTCTCTGTGCCTCCACTTCCTTATCTGCCAAATGGGGATGACATGGTGTCTACTTCCATGACTAATGCGCAGGTTCAATAAAATAGTGCACATCAAGTACCTAGCTGTCTCTCGGCACATCATCCTCCTAACAGCCAACATTGACTGCAGGTCAGAAATCCTTTACATGCAATGAGTTATTTACTGCCTTCATTTTATAGATCAAAAAACTGAGGCATAGAGAGGTTAAGAAATTTGCCCAAAGTCACACAGCTGGTAAGTTTCAGAGCTGGGACTTGAACCCAGGCAGCTTCCCTCCCCGGGGCAGGGCCTAGCCTGGAGAAGGCCCAACCTCTACCGGCACCCTCCCGTCCTACCATGTTCCAGGGCTCTCAGGGCAGGAACCCCATATAAGCTCTCACAGCCCTCGTGGAGAGGGCTTCTGATTGGGTCCACCCTCCCACCCCTAAAGACTTTCTTCTGTCCAGCTGCCTTTGTTTACCTAGGATGCCCGCCAGCTCACCCATTGGCCTCAAGCCAAGCTCAGAACAACAGAATGTTGATGGAGTCGGAGAAGGAGGGGCAGAGGGTGGAAGGCCAAGCCAGGGCCTCCTAGAAGCACGTTTACTTGGGGCTGGCACTGGGTCAGAACATACACTCCCCCAGCCTCCCCACCTCCCTCCCCAACAGGCCTGGGCAGAGGCACAGAGACACGTCTGGGAGTCCGAGAAGCCCTGTGTTCCATTTCAAAGGGGAAAGGCCAAAGAGACCCATCAAAAGCAAAAGTGATGGAAAAATGATGGTGCATACAGCCTTGAGAACGCAGGCTCTACGATGACAACCCCACCATGAGGGTCATAGGCAGACACAAAGGACTACACGGTTCTACCCATGTGAAGTTCACCAACAGCCGTGATCATGCTTCCCCTGGTGGTAGAGAGGCCGAAGGCAGCCTGAGGGGCTGCAGGGGCCTGGGATGGTTGTGATTTTCTTCATCCGGGTGCTGGGTAAACAAGCACGTTCAACATGGGAAGATGTGTCAACCGCATATGCATGATCGCACTCTGTTTGTATGCATGATATACTTCAATGTGAATTTTAAAAAAAATACAATACTCAAGGGTTCTGAAAGTTCAAAGGGATGGAGAAAAAGGAATCAATGTTTTTGAGTCACACTCTGCGCCAGGCACTATGCGGGGCCTTCTCGGGGAGCACAGGGCGTTTTTCAGGGCAGGCTTGAGGTCAGGTGCCTCGGGCAACTCAGGTCCTGAGTCCCCTCCATACCCTTTTCTGGGAGATAGGGGTTCCAGTAGGGTACACCTCCTAGGGATATTGTGAGCCTTAAACAAGATGCTTTATATGTGAAAATAAGACTGTAAGTCCAGGTGCAGTGGTTCACACCTGTAATCTCAGCACTTTGGGAGGCTGAGGTGGGAGGATCACTTGAGTCCAGGAGTTTGACACCAGCCTCGGCAACATGGCGAAACCCCATCTCTACAAAAAATAAAAAAAAATTAGCCAGGCATGGTGACGCGTTCCTGTAGTCCCAGGTACTCGGGGGGCTGAAGCTGGAGGATCCCTTGAGCCTGGGAGGTGGAGGTTGTAGTGAGCCAAGATTGCACCACTGCACTCCAGCCTGGGAGACAAAATGAGACCCTGTCTCTCTCTCTCTACATATATATTTTATATATAGATATAATATGTATATTATATCTATAATAATATAATACATATATAATATGTATATTATATATAAGACATATATAATGTGTGTGTGTATTATATATAATATGTATATATGTGTATTATATATAATATGTATGTATAATATGTACATATAATATGAGTATTATATATAATATGTATATATAATATGTATATATATGAGTATTATATATAGTATAATATATATAATATGTATATTATATAATATACGTATATTATGTATTATATATAATATGTATATTATATAATATACGTATATTATGTATTATATATAATATGTATATTATGTATAATATATAATAAGTATTATATATAATGTGTATTATATATTATATATAATGTGTATTATATATAATATATAATGTGTATTATATATAATATATGTGTATTATATATAATATATAATGTGTATTATATATAATATATGTGTATTATATATAATATATAATGTGTATTATATATAATATATAATGTGTGTTATATATTATATATAATGTGTGTTATATATTATATATAATGTGTATTATATATAATAGGTATATTATATATATAATAGGTATATTATATATATAATAGGTATATTATATATATAATAGGTATATTATATATATATAATAGGTATATTATATATATAATAGGTATATGTATATTATATATAATAGGTATCTTATATATAATAGGTATATTATATATAATAGGTATCTTATATATAATAGGTATATTATATATAATAGGTTTATGTATATTATATATAATAGGTATATTATATATAATAGGTATATGTATATTATATATACATATTATATATATTATTATTATAAATATTATATATTATTATTATACATATTATATATTATTATTATATATTATTATATATATATATATATAGAGAGAGAGAGAGGTTTCTGAGGCCCAGAGAGGTTACAGGACAGGCCTGAGATCACAAAGCTAGAAAATGGAGCTAGGAGGCCTACTGGGCAAGCTCCATCCACAGTAATTGCTCTAACCTTCTGCTCTGTTGCCATTGGTCACAGGCTGTGGACTTAAAAATGGAGAATATCCTAGACAAGGAAGTCAGAGAAGGCCTTTCTTGGAAGCTACTATGGAAGCTGAGAGCCTGGGGAGGAAGAGTCAGTCCAAGAAAGGGTGAGGGGTAGGTGGGGCAGTTTGTGAGCTGGGGAGTTTTTGAGCTGGAGTGTTTGTGAGCAGGGGAGCTTTTGAGCCCAGAAGAGGAGGAGGGGTAGGTGGGGAAGTTTGTGAGCTGGGGCTGGGGTGTTAGGCAGGGGCCAGAGGTGAGCACCAGGCAGAGGCGACTTCCTGGGAAGCTGATGACATTTAAGCCTCAGGGAGACTCATCTGCAGGGGCCCCGTACCAGGAATCCCAGGAAGCCCGGCAGTGTTCACACAGGGCAGGGACCCAGGTCACTATCAGGAAGCATCTGAATGCACACATTTCTGGGAAACAGGCTCAGAAATGCTCAGAAACACTCAGAAGAAAGGAATCGAAACTTGAAAGTCTCCAGCAGTTTGTTGTGATTTCTTTTCACATTCTTTATAAATATTTACTTTTGTACTCAATTTATCATTTTCTTTTACTTTTATCTTTTTCGTGTACTCAATTTATCATTTTCTTTTATCTTCTTCTTCTTCTTTTTTTTTTTGAGATAGAGTCTTGCTCTGTCACCCAGGCTGGAGTGCAATGGCACAATCTTGGCTCACTGCAACCTCCGCCTCCCGGGTTCAAGCGATTCTCCTGCCTCAGACTTCTAAGTAGCTGGGATTACAGGCACATGCCACCACACCTGGCTACCTTTTGTACTTTCAGTGGAGACAAGGTTTCACCACATTGGCCAGGCTGGTCTTGAACTCTTGACCTCAGGTAATCCACCTGCCTTGGCCTCCCAAAGTGCTGGGATTACAGGCGTGAGCCACCATGCCTGGCTTCTTTTTCTTAAAGACGTTCCCTCAAACTTAAAACCATGATGTGGTATCACAGCCTCCTTATGAGAATGACTAAAAATGAAAAAGCAAAAAATAGATAAATAGATACACACATATATGTGTGTGTGTATCTACCTATTTGTGTGTGTGTGTGTGTGTGTATATATATATATATATATATATATATATATATATATATATATACTTACACACATCTATATAGCTCCTAATACAGGCCAGGGCCAGGTGCTGATTTAGGTCCTGAGGACAGGCTTGTCCCACAGAACATTCAGACAGACCACCAGTGTGAAGTGAGAGGTGCCAGGAGGGAAGGACTAGGGCTCAGAATAATGGGGATACATATATATATATACACACACACACCATATGTGTGTTTACATATCTACACACACAGTATATATGCACACATACACTGTGTGCATTGCATGGATGAACTAGGTCCTACCACACACACATACTGTGTATACCCACACACACACACACAAGGTGTCAGTGAAGATGTGGAATGGCAGGACTTTCCTCCACAGCTGGGAGGAGAGAGGAAGCTGGTGTGGCCACTCTGGAACACAATTTGCAGTCCTTGAATCTTCTACAGCGGAACATTCATCTCTCCCTGTGAGCCAGCAACTCCCCTCATGGATGACTCAACAGAAATGAGCCCGTATGTCCCCCAAAAGACACATGCAAGAATATTCATAGCAGCTTTTCCCCCAGACATCCCAAAGCTGAAAACAACCCCAAAATGCAACGCTTGCTGAGTGGACATAGAAGCTGTGGTATTGTCATTCCAAGGGCCGCTATAGGAATGAGAGGAAACAAAGTACAGCTGCATGCAGCAAACATGGTTGAATCTTGCTAACATGTTAAGTAAAAGATGCCAGACTCTTGCCAGGCGCGGCGCTCACGCCTGTAATCCCAGCACTTTGGGGAGGCCAAGGCAGGCGGATCAGTTGAGGTCAGGAGTTTGAGACCAGCCTAGCCAACATGGTGAAACCCCATCTCTACTAAAAAACAAAAATTAGCTGGGTGTGGTGGTGCACAACTGTAATCCCAGCTACTCAGGAGGCTGAGTAAGGAGAATCGCTTGAACCCGGGAGGCGGAGCTTACAGTGAGCCAAGATCGCGCGACTGCACTCCAGCCTGGGTGACAGAGTGAGACTCCATCTCAAACCAAAAAAAAAGATGCTAGACACCCGGGCACGCACTGGATGATTTCAAACATATAAAGTTCAAAACCAGGCAAAACTCATCTATGACGTCAGAAGTCAGGAGAGTGGTTATGTTTAAGGGGTGGATAACAAGAAAGGGGTACCGAGAGGCTTCTGGGATGCTGGGAATAATGGTCCGATTCTTTTTTTTTTTTTTTTTTTTTTTTTTTGAGACAGAATCTCCCTTTGTTGCCCATGCTGGAGTGCAGTGGGGCAATCTTGGCTCACTGCAACCTCCGCTTCCCGGGTTCAAGTGATCCTCCTGCCTCGGCCTTATGAGTAGCTGGGACTACAGGTGTGTACCACCATGCTTGGCTAACTTTTGTATTTTCATTAGAGACAGGGTTTCACCATGTTGGCCTGGCTAGTCTCAAACTCCTGACCTCAGGTGATCCACCTGCCTTGGCCTCCCAAAGTGCTGGGGCGTGAGCCACCATGCCTGGCCTGATTCTTGACTTGAATGTCAGTTTACATGAGCGTGTTGAGTTTGGGAAAATTCATCAAGCTGTAGACATGATTTGTGCCTTCTCTCTATACATGTTCTACTTTAATGAAACTCTCTCCTCCGATGGTATAAGTTTTAGGCCTCTTAAAACCTGACCTGGTGATGGGGGCAGGGAGCGAGACCTCAAGAACAAGAAAGGAATAGGGGAGGTGTGGGTGGGATTGTTTGGGTGAAGACAGGAAGACTGGAATCACATAGGGGCAACCAATGGGGGTGGGGGGCCAGGGGCTAGAGGGAGGTTTGGTTTCTGATTGTTCTGCACTGAGAGTCAATCAACTTTTGCCCAGCCAGGCCTAAAGCCAAGATTTGTACACCAGCCCTGCCCAAGCTGAGCGCCCTGGCACCACCAGACCCCACTCCCCTGGAAGACAACTCTCTTTTGGCCAACTCCCGCTTCATTCCTTCCCAGGCCTGGCCAACCCTGCTTGTGGAAACTCTGAGGGGCCGCCCCACACCCAGTTCGTGGCAGGCACCCAAACACTCATCACCGCACTGACAATTTTCCCTCTTCAATCATGAGTCTGATTTTTCTCTTTCCTCTTCCCTGTTTCATGAACCCAAGCTTTTGTGAGGCCCTCTTGGAGGCAGACTTCAAGCCTGATGATGTCGCATCTTGTTTCATTGGGGGCCCTGGTGGCCCTGGTGAAGTGGATGGTGCTAACCTATTTTACAGATGAGAAGAGTGAGGGCCAACAAGGTAAAGTGACTTAGGGCCAAGATCACCACCCGACAAGGGACAGAGCTGGATTTTAACAATAACTACAGGCCGGGCGCAGTGGCTCACGCCTGTAATCCTAACACTTAGGGAGGCCGAGGCAGGTGAATCACAAGGTCAGGAGCCGGAGACCAGCCTGGCCAGCATGGTGAAACCCTGTCTCTACTAAAAATACAAAAAATTAGCTGGGCATGGTGGCACACAGCTGTAGTCCCAGCTACTCGGGAGGCTGAGGCAGGAGAATTGCTTGAACCCGGCATACGGAGGTTGCAGTGAGCCAAGATCGCACCACTAAACTCCAGCGGGCGACAGAGCGAGACTCCATCTCAAAAACAAAAACAAGCACAAAAACAAAAAAACAATAACTACAGTAACAACTTCACCCCCACGTGTCAGCACTAAGCAGTGGCTGGCTCTGTGCTAAGCACTATGAGTATGTTTGCCCATCCAGTCCTCACGATGAGCCAGTAAAGGAAGCTGCAATTATTATCAGTCCTGTTTTTTACAACTGGGTTTTGAAGTCTTACAGGCACAGAAAAGTACAAATTATAACAGCCTGATGAGTTTCCACAAACTGAACCCGCCCGTGGGACTCACCCCACATTACAAAACAGAACATAAGATATAATAGCAAAAGCATTGGTAATACAGGAGAAGACTGATAAACTGGACTTCATAAAAATTTAACACTTTTCCATCTCATAGAATGCCATAAAGTGAAAACACAAGCCGTGGGATGGGGGAAACATTTGCAAATTATATATCTGAGTCTAGCATCCAGAATATATAAAGAACCCTTACAATTCAACAATAGGAAGGTAAATAGTCTGGGTGCAGTGGCTCATGCCTGTAATCCTAGTGCTTTAGGAGGCTGAGGCAGGAGGATGTCTTGAGGCCAGGAGTTCAAGACCAGCCTGAGCAACATAGCAAGACCCCATTTCTAAAAAACAACAACAAAAAAACAATTAACTGGACCTGTGGCACATAATAGTCCCAGCTACTTTGGAGACTGAGGCAGGAGGATCCCTTGAGCCCAGGAGTTTGAGGCTGCAGTGAGCTATGATGGCACCACTGCACTCCAGCCTGGGTGACAGAGTGAGACCTTGTCCCCCTCCCCCCAAAAAGATGGGCAAGGGATTTGAATAGGCATTTCTCCATAAAAGCTATACAAATGGCTAATAAGCACATGAAAAGGTGCTCACATTCAACATCATTAGCCACTAAGAGATGAAAATCAAAACCACAAAGAGATGCCACTTCACCCCCAGCAGAACGCTATGATCCATAAGACAGATAATAACAAGTGTGAGCAAGGAGGTGGAAAAATTAAAACCTTCATACACTGCTTCTGGAAACATCGAATGGTGCAGCTGTTTTGGCAACAGTTCGGCAGTTCTTCAAAAGGTTAAACATAGAGCTACCATTTTACCTATCAATCCCATTCCTGGTGGAATTACAGAATAAAAAACATATGCCCACATAAAAGTTGTACACAAATATTCACAGGAGCCAAAAAGTAGAAACAACCCAAGTGTCTATCAATGGATGATAGTAAACATCCATTCTTTGAATGCAGTGAATAAAGGAGTAAACAAAATACAGTATATTCATGCAATGGAATATTATTCTGCAATAAAAAGGAATAAAGTACTGATATATGCTACAACATGGATGAAACATGAAAACTTTATTGTAAATGAAAAATGCCAGTCACAAAAGACTGCATATTGTACGATTTCATTTATATGAAATGTTCAGAATAAATAAACAGATAGAAGATAGATTAGTGGTTGCTTGTGGCTGTGGTGGTGGGAGAGGCAGGAGGATAAGGAATGACTTAATGAGTAGTTTTCTTTTAGGATGATGAAAATGTTCTAAAATTAAATTATGGTGATGGTCACACGACTCTTAAGTATACTTAAAACCATTGAATTGTACACTTCAAACAGGCGGACTTCACGATATATGAATTATATCTCAATAGAGCAGTTTAAAATAAAAAGACAGTCCATGCCTTTATTCATGCTGTTTTCCTACTTGAATTGCCCCTACCTTCTCCTATGTCTTTGGATGTCCAAAAGTAACAGATTTCTAAGGCCTGACTCAAATGCCATTACAGATTTCCTTAATATGTTCCAATCAGAAAAAATTTTTCTCTCCTCTGAACTCCCACGCCAATTCACCGTTCATTCACTCAGAGATTATTTAAAAGGCACCAATCATGTGCCTGGCATTTTTGACATTTTACATGATTACTTAAGGGCCCATTCATCTCTGCTACTCTACTACAAACTTTGAGAAGAAGATTGTATCTTACCTCCTGCTTACTCAGAACCCAGCAATGTGACCAGCACACAGCTGGCATTCAAAGAAGGTATGTGGAATTCATTCTAAATATCCTTTTTCTCATATCAGCCTCCCCCCGGGAAACAGGTCCTCCATGGAAGGTTCCAGGCCTGATTCATTATTGCATGCCCTAGAGAACAGCCTAGAACTTAATAGAAGTTTGTTTGTTTCTTTGTTTTTTGAGTAAACACAAAATGATTAAATGATGATGGCTTTAGTTTCTACCATGACTGTCCAGTCAAAGGTTTTAAAAGGAGATGAGACTTACCTCCAGATTTGGGAGGATGGGTACAGATAAGTGAGGATTAGCAATCTAGATGGGGCACCGCAGGAAGGAAGGCATGTTACCTTACAAATATCTACTGGGAACAGAAACCATGAAAAGTACCAGCAGAATTAAAAGAGAACCAAATACTGATGGTTGCACAACATTATGAATGTATTTAGTACCACTGAACTGTAAACTTAAAAATGGTTAAGATGGTAAACTTTATGTTACATATTTTTGCAACAATTTTAATAACTGAAAAAATAGAGAAACCCAAATAGAACTTCTAGAAATGAAAAATACAATAACTGAAACATAGAAGTCGATGGTTGGGTTTGATAGAAGATTAAACAGAGCTAAAGAAAAACACGAGTGAGGCAGAAGATAAATGATCCAGAATATAGTACAGAGAAGTAGATAGGTGTTAAACATAAAAGAGAAGTTGGGAGACATGGAAGAGAGGCTGAAAATATCTGACATCTATTTAATAGCAGTTTCAGAAAAATACAAGAGAGAAAATGGGGCAGACACACTAACTGAAGAAATAATGACAGAGAACTTTCCAAAACTGATGAGAGGTACTAATCCACAAATTCAAAAATCCCAACAAATCTCAAGGAAAGTGATAAGAATAAATCCACGTCTAGACATCACAGTGAAGGAGAAAAACATCACAGACAAAGAGAAAAATCTAAGGAGCAACCAGAAAATAAGAAAAATAACCTTCAAAGAAATGACAGAGTGATGAAGACTTCTCAACAGCAACAACAGAGCCAGGTGATAGTAACATGATACATTCAATGTGCTGAAAGAAATTAACTACCCAACTAAAATTCCATGCTCATCAATATGTACTTCAAGAATATGGGTTAAATAAAAGCATGCTCAGACAAAAAAGAATAGAGCACATTCTGCTTGTTGAAACTTGTTACAGTGTACACTTTATGTAGAAGAAATACGAACACTGATGGAAGGCTTGAGATGAAAGGAGAAGTGAAGAACAAAGAAATGATCAATCCATCTGCCAGTCTAGCTGAGCACTGACTACATAAAACAATAACATTAATGTCTTGTAGAGTTTATCTTTTTTAAAAAAATAATTAGAATACACCAAAACCATGGAGTATATGTCAAATTAGAGTAGCAGTGTTCTAAGGCCTGGAAGAAGAGCAATGGTACTGATTATATTTAGACTTCAGTAAGTTAAATATTCATGTTGTAATTTCAATGATAACATTAAAAGAATAAAAACAGTGCATAATCCCCAAACTAGTGGAGAGGGGAAATAGAACGCAAAAGTAATCAGTTCAAAATGGGAAGGAAGGAAGGAAGGGAGAAAGGGAGGAGGCGGTAAGAAGAAAGGAAGGAAGGAGGAAGGGAGGGAGGGAGGGACAGAGGGAGGGGAGGGGAGAAATCACAAAATAAGCTAGTGGGTTTGCACCCATATACATTGATAAATTATATTAAATATCAAAAGACCAAATGCTCCAGTTAAAAGATGAATATTCATGAAGATTAATTAAAGAGAAATGGCACAAAAATATTAGAAATAAAAAATGAACATCACTACAGATGCTGCCAACATTAAAGAAAAAAGAGGCTATTTTGAAAAATTTTGATCCAATAAATTTGAAATTTTAAGTGAAATAAGCAACATACTAGAAGGTATAACATTCCAATTTTGATTTAAGACAAAATAAAAAACCCTAGATAGTCCTTTAACAATTAAATAAATTGAATCAGTTGTTAAAACCCTTCCAGTAAGAAAACTTCAACCTCAGATGGCTTCATTGGTAAGTGCTATCTAACATTCATCTTTGATAATCTCTTCCAGAGAATAGAAAAAGAGTGAATAAACTCCAATTCATTGTATGAGGCTGAACTACCTCGGAGGCTGAGGTGGCGGTATCCCTTGAGCCCAAGAGTTCAAGGCTGCAGTGAGCTATGATCAAGCCACTGCACTCCAGCTTGAGTGACAGAGAATGAGATCCTGTCTCTTAAAAAATGAATAAATAAAAAATGAATATTAGCCTCCCAAAATTCAACATTATTAAAAAATACCACAACCCCCTAGAATTCATTCTTCTCCCTGCAGCCAGAGGGAGTTTCTCAAACATAAATCCAATCATGCATGCCCTTGCCTAGCCATTCAATGTCTCCCTGTTGTCCTTACTATGAGCTGCATGGTCTGGCGCACTCCTGCCTCTCTCTGTCAGTTCCCCAGTCACCCATTCTGCTGTAACCAAACTGGACTTTTTTGATTTCTCAAAATATCCCAAACTCTTTCCCTCTTCAGGGCTTTTGCACAAAGCTATTCTGTGGTGTTCTACTTATTTCTTATACTCTAAAAGTTAGAGACATAACATAGTAATTTATTGCTGGGGATGGTGGCTCACGCCTGTAATCCCAGCACTTTGGGAGGCCGAGGCAGGCAGATCACTTGAGGTTGGGAGTTCGAGACCAACCTGACTAACATGGAAAAACCCCGTCTCTAATAAAAATTCAAAAATTAGCCAGGCATGGTGGCGGGCGCCTGTAGTCCCAGCTACTCGGGAGGCTGAGGCAGGAGAATTGCTTGAACCTGGGAGGTGGAGGTTGCAGTGAGCCGATATCACACCACTGCACTCCCGCCTGGGTGATAGAGTGAGACCCCATCTCAAAAACAAAAACAAAACAGTAATTTATTATGTTTCCGGGGTTGACTGTGCCCAGTTGAGTGTTTCTTTCTGCAGCTGCAGTCAGATGGGGGCTAGGGCTGCAGTCATCTGAAGGCTCGAGGGCTGGATGGAAGACAGCGCATTCATATGGTGGGCAGTTGACGCTTGCTGTTGGCTGAGAGCCCAGTTACATGGTTGGCCACTCCATGTGGCTTAGAATTCTCCCAGCATGGCAGCTGGATTCCAAGAGGAAGTGGCCTAAGAAACAGAGTCCGAAGAACCCAGAAGCAAAAGCTACTGGAGTAATTAAAGGTTACATCCAGAAATAACACAGCATCACTCCTGCCTTATTCCATTGGTCAAAGCAATCACAGGTCCCACCCAGAATCAAGGCTGGAGAAATAGACTCCATCTCTTGCTGAAGGAGTGGTGAGTCACACTGCATAAGAGTGAATGTGATGGGAGATACTGCTCAAGCCATCTTTGGAAAATGCAGTTTGCCATAGCTAGTCTCTTCTTGTCATTTATGCCTGCCCTTAAATGTTTCATGACTTTCCCTGTCCACCCTATCAAGGGTAGTCACTATGTCATGTCACTCTATTTTAATTTTTGTCATAGCCCGTATTATCATCTGGCATTATGTGATATCATTGTATAATATTTGCCTTCCTACAGCTGAACCTAAGCTCCTTGAGAGTTGGGACTTTGTCTTGCTCAGTGCTATGTTGCTCCTTCCTCATGAGGGCAGGGCGTATGGTAGGTGCCCAGAGACTTACTGAATTATTGAATGAAGCTTCTGGGGGAAGGTTTGCACTCGGCAGGCAGGAAGCTCTTTTGAACATCCAGGGATGAACCTCGTGAGAACAGGCTACTGCACATGTCATTGAGTTCCCTATTACTGGCAGGGTTCATGCAGGGACAGGATGGGCTGCCTCCAGGAGTGCCAGAGAAAGAACCTGGACTCAGAGGGAGAGGCTGGTCCTTCCCCATGCTGGACCTCAGCTCTTCTCACCTTGGGAGCCAGCCTCTCTTCTTACCTTTGGCTCCTCTTCAAGTCAACCTGATCCCTCTGGTTTCTGGGGATAATGAGCCAGGATTTATGGCTCCACTTCAATCCCTAATATTGTCACTGTCCATTCAACCTCCCCTAGGCTCTGCTTTCGCAGAAAACCCACAACGGTTATTTCTCCTCCCTTTCCCCTAACCCCGCCCCACCAGGCTTATCTTCCTATTTCAAGTTTTCTGGCAGAGAACACGGCTCCCCCATGTGGTGGGCATTGGGCTGGAGGCCTCTCCACACACAAACTTGAGGGAGGTCACTCTGTTAGAAGCCTCCAAAGGCGCCCCATTGCCTAGAGGAATGTTTTCTCCATACCACAGGCCCTTTGATTAAAGCGAATCCTTCCTTGAACCACCACAACCACCACCACCACCACACTGAGCTCTCACTGTGTGCCTGGCACTGTGTTCTGAGCTTTGCCTGTTTGACCTCACTGAATTCTCCATAATTCCTCAGGAGACAGGGGTTATTATTGGCTCCTCAGGTCACACGGTATGGGGACTTGGGACTGGAACATTCTCTGTTCAGACCACACATTTGTGAAACACTGTGAAACATTGTACCCGATCCCCTAATGGCATAGCACAGAGTAGTAGAGCTGCTTTCGGTGGAGCGGGGAGTAGGGGGGTCAGGAGCCCTGCCTCCTCAACTCTCCCACCTTCTTCCTCGAAGCAGCTCCCCCAAACCACTGAGGCACCACATCCATCATGCTCCCCATGGTGGGGCCAAGGAAGCAGAGCGGATGATCAGGTGGACTCTGGAGTCAGAGAGCTCTGTGCGTTCCAGCTGCACAAACCTGGGCCTCGGTTTCCTCCTGCAGCATGGCGCTGATGGGCATGCCTACTTTGGGAGGGTTACCATGAGGATTAAACAAGATGGGGATGGCACCCAGGAGGTGCGCCTTGCCTGTGGGCCTGGTTTATCAGCAGTCTCTGGGGTTTAGGGGAGCTCCTCAACACCTCCCTCTGGACTCAAAACCATAGGCCCAGGGTCGGGAGCTGAGGAGTCAAGGCAGCCCTGACCCCTGCCAGGAACACAGGCCGATCAGCTGTGCCGGCTCTACTTGCAGCTGGTGCATCGCGGGCAGATGCAGGGAGGCAAAGCTGCTAATGAATCAGTCAGTTTCCAGAATGTCCCTCCTCCCCCACCCCCCGCCCCCCACAACAGAATGCTCCTGCCCTGACAGGTGCCACAGGAGGGCTGAGGCCCAGCTGGCAGCAGACCCAAACGTTGGTTGAACCACTGGGTAACTCTGTAATGAACGGTCCCCCAAGCTGGAGGCACTAACCTTGCTGCCCACCTGAAAGTCTGGGCTCTGGGGTTAACCCTTCCCTTCCCAGCCCCAGCCCCAAGAGCTCAGCTCGTGGCAGAAGGGCTGCACTGATTACCCATTGCTGCTGAACTAATGACCCAAAAACTTAGCAGCTGGAACTAATAGTGGTTTCTCTGTTTCTGTGGCTTCGCTGGGTGGTTCGGACTCAAGGGTTTTCACGAGGTGTTGGCCTTGGTTGTGGTCATCTTAAGGCTCGGCTGGTGGAGGGTCCAATTCCAAACTCATTTACTACCTGTTGGCAGGCCTCAGAAGAGCTATCTCCAAGATCATCTGTATGAGTTCAAGGTTACAGTGAGCTATGACCGTGCCACTGCAGCCTGGATGACAGAGTAAGAAGAAAGAAGAGAAGAGAGAAAGAAAGGCAGAGGAAGGAAGGAAGGATGGAAGGAAGGAAGGAAGGAAAGAAGGGAGGGAAGGAAGGAAAGAAGGAAAGAAGGAAGGAAGGAGGGAGGGAGGGAGGAAGGAAGGGGAAACATCTGTTGAATTGAAAAAAAGATTTAAGTCCTTGTGCAGCTGATAAAACTACAACTTTGAAACATAAATTCGTTGGAATCACAGAACTCCGGGGCTCAAAGGGGACTCAGAAACCATCCAGCCAAACTGATTTTCTCATTTTCAGAGGAGGAAACTGAGGCCCACAGACAGGAAGGACTACCCAGGCTGCAGTAAGTAAGGACAGAGATGAGAGGCCTCTGGGGTGACCCCTCACCTGCTGTTTTCCGTCAGTCACAAGCCCCATCTACCTTCTGTCACCACCTAACCTTCACCACTGGCATTTGACAAATGCTAACAGGTCACTCCATCAGCCATCGGCACAAATGCTGGAAGTCACTGGGAGGCCTCCTTTCTGGTAAATTATTTTCTCAGTTTTGGAAATACCTAAAGATGCACAATCAGTCTAGAAAATAGGCCGGATGCCGTGGCTCAAGCCTATAATCTCAACACTTTGAGAGGCCGAGGCAGGAGAATTGCTTGAGGGCAAGAGTTTGAGACCAGTCTGGGCAACATACAAAGACCCTATCTCTACAAAAAATGTGAAAATTAGCTGGGCATGGTGGTGCTTGCCTGTACTCCCAGCTACTCAGGAGACCAAGGCCAGAGGATTGCTTGAGCCCAGGAGTTTGTGGTTACAGTGGCCTATGATCATACCACTACACACTACACTCTAGCCTAGGTAACAGAGTGAGACCCTGTCTCTTAAATTAAAAAAAAAAAAAAGAAAAGAAAGAAGGAAAGAAAGAAAACAATCATTTACCCCAAATCAAGAACCAGCTCTGCTTTGGAAAATTCTCCACTGTGGGTTTCTCCCAGGTGGAGGCCTAAACTGGTTGAGCTGGCAGGGGCCAGAGACACACTAGGCTAATTCCAGAAGGGGTAACAGGCCAGAGAGGGACAGAGACTTTCCTGAGGTCACACAGGTCATCAGTGTCAGGGCTGGGACCAGAACCAAGGCCCCTTCACCCTCAGGCCAATGGCTCCACACAAGGCTGCAGGTGGCAGGCCAGGATGAACTTGAAGAAAGCTACAGACTGTGACCCAAGGCTAACAGATTCTTCTTATAACAAGGGGTTCTTACTGAGACCGCGGTCAGCTGCGCAGACTCCTGCCCTAGATACTCAGCAGAGAGTAACTCTACTTGCAAAAGTGGCAAACTGGTGTTCCAACAAGATCCAAATTAGTTTCCAACATTTAAAATCGAGAGATTCTTACATACAAATCTAGGTTTTCAGCTTCCTTTTAGAAAAATCGGACAATCTGGCGATGCAATCCGGCATGCCAACACCTGGTTGACCTGAGCAGTGGCCGTCTGCAGAGGCAGGCACACCATCTGTCTCTCCTGTCCAAGTGGGCCAAATTCCCTCCTCCTCACTGCCTTCTCAGCCTTTGTAGGCATTGAAGGTTGCAGCCCCTCTTCTACTTAAGTTTGCAGAATACCCTCTATAACATACTTCTCAGGTAAGTGGCTTCTTTTGCTGCCTCCAGGGACCAGGAGTTCACTACCAGTCTGTTCCATTGTTGGCCGGGTAGATGATGGTGGGGGGAGCTTGACTGGAACCACAGCATCTCTGAAACCGTGTATAACAGGTCATGCTATAATGTAATCCCAGAGCCTAATAAACTTTATTGCCTCATAACCAGAACTCTCTGTGCTTGTTTTGGCTGAGGAGATAAGAAATCTACCACTAGGAATGACTTTACAGACTTGCAGGCCATTCAAATAAAGTCCAGACACCACTGCATTCCGGGTAAACTAGGGGCCAGGTCTGGATGGCCTTTTTGAGGTTTCAAAGGCAACTATGGCAAATATCAAGAGAGTTTGGAGGTCCTACCTACTTTGGGTTCTTAAGCAATGACAGCTCTCATATAAATTACTTTCCCATGACTCAGGCCAGGCTGAGCTGACTCCTGACCTTGCCAGGAGCTGTCATCACCATCCCTGTGTCATAATCCATGGGAGGAAGCGGGGAGGGTCTCATAGCAATGTCAGGCCACTGAGCACTTCATCAGGAGGCGGCCTGGGAAATTTGAGCAGACACTCTTTATAAAGTTCTTGGCAAGCTTCAAAGTTTGGAATGTTAAAATAGCAATGGCTTTGTTCCTACCACACTTATCAGCAGTCCAATCTCAAAGCCAACAGAAATATTAGTCTGGACCATTGGATCTGGGAGGGGCCTTACATGCTTCATCTCATCCCATTCTGCACCTTAACCAAGAAGCTCCTTACAGCACCCCAGCCGAGAAGGGTCAGCCAGCCTCGGTGGGGCCAACATGTCTTCCTGGTCATGGGGCAGAAGCCCTCCCCACTGGAACATCCGTCTCTTGCCCCAGTTTTAACCTCAAGGCAAGAACCATTTTTATGCTCCATCTTCATCCAGAGCCATTGAGTCCCACTGTCCTTGCTTTTTCTTCACTTACAGGTTAAACTGTTCCCCATCATCCATTCCTTCCTGGGAGAACTTGATTTTGAGGCCTGGCCACCCTCCTGCAATTGGCCAGGGTCCTTCTCCAGGATCTTCTTACAACAGCTGTGACCTTAAGCGGACACAGTTCATACTCCAGGACCTCCTGATTGGGTCCAGCTGTGCCCCATCTCAGGCTGTCACTCTCTGAGTTTACACAGATTGTTCTGTATCAGCAAACAACTTGTATTGATTTGGCAGATATATAGCTTGTTACTTGAGCAATAGCAATTCATGAAGTCCCCATAACCTTATGAGATAGAGCCTATTATTATCCTTCCCAGTGTACAGATGATGAAACCAAGACACAGGGAAGTGAAGTCACTTGGCCAAAGAGCAGGTTAGGTAATGAGATCCAGACTTAAACTCAGATCATGGGGGTCTGGAGCTGCTGCCTGTAAGCATCCCAGTGCTGTCTCTCATTGCAGCTGTTCATGTTAAACATGGGGAGAAGGCTTCCAGGGAGATGCGGAAATACTTAGGCCTTCTTGATACGTCAGCCCCATGCCAAGCAGTGATTTGTCCCAAGTCACCCAGTTCTGCAGTGATGGAGTTGGGACTTCAACTGGGTTCCAAATTCAGGGCTCTTTGCCCAAGACAAGAGCATGTGAGTGGACTAATCTGATTTAATTGAAGTAGAAACAAATCCTCCAGGGTAGCAATGTCACAGAGATCCTATCCAGGGAAGCAGAATGCATGTAACCTGGCTTTGAGCCCGGATGCAGATCTGACAGGCCACAATGACACAGTGGGCCCCTGGGCCAAGGAGAGGAGAACTGCCCAATCTAAGTATCTGAGAGTTTGAAATAGCACATGTTAGGAAATACACAGAAACCTCATTAATTCAGAACCCAATAACTCAGAAGCCATCATGATCTCTGCGGGCTGAAGTGCATATCACATTAATCTGGAGATCGGCAAACTCTTTCTTGTAAGGGGACAGATAGTAAAGATGTTGGGAAAGGCAGACACAGGCTGCCGGCCCTTGTGTGGTTGCATAAGAGCCTGCCTCTGGCCTGGAATATTTCCATACAGGAAAGTAAAGAACCCTCAAAGCCTGTGCTGGGTATATCACCTCTCTTGGAAATGTCTTTTCCTGTTCTGGCCTTGATGTATACTTTTTTTTTTTTTTTTGAGACAGAGTCTTGATCTGTCACCCAGGCTGGAGTGCAATGGCGCAATATCGGCTCACTGCAACCTCCGCCTCCCGGGTTCCAGCGATTCTCCTGCCTCAGCCTCCCAAGTTGCTGGGATTACAGGCACCTGCCACCACGCCCGGCTAATTTTTGTATTTTTAATTTTTTTAGTAGAGATGGGGTTTCACCATGTCAGCCAGGCTGATCTCGAACTCCTGACCTCAGGTGATCCACCCCCACCTTGGCCTCCCACAGTGCTGGGATTACAGGCATGAGCCACCACGCCTGGCTGATGTGTACTTCTTTAGTCTGCTTAGACACGGGTGTCATATGACACCTGGCCAGCCCACTGCTGTATGTGTTCCTGGCAGAGAGGGAACAGGAACAGAGTCCCTCACCTGCAGCACAAAAGAGGGGCTGCAAGAGTGCAATAGTGAGCACTGGTTCCCAAGTGAGACCCGCTGGCCATGGGGGACTGATGCTATTTTTTTTTTATATTTTAAGTTTTAGGGTCCATGTGCACAATGTGCAGGTTTGTTACATATGTATACACATGCCATGTTGGTGTGCTGCACCCATTAACTCATCATTTAACATTAGGTATATCTCCGAATGCTATCCCTCCCCCCTCCCCCAACCCCACAACAGGCCCTGGTGTGTGATGTTCCCCTTCCTGTGTCCATGTGTTCTCATTGTTCAGTTCCCACCTATGAGTGAGAACATGTGGTGTTTGGTTTATTGTCCTTGTGATAGTTTGCTGAGAATGATGGTTTCCAGCTTCATCCATGTCCCCACAAAGGACATGAACTCATCATTTTTTATGGCTGCATAGTATTCCATGGTGTATATGTGCCACATTTTCTTAATCCAGTCTATCATTGTTGGACATTTGGGTTGGTTCCAAGTCTTTGCTATTGTGAATAGTGCCACAGTAAACATATGTGTGCATGTGTCTTTATAGCAGCATGATTTATAATCCTTTGGGTATATACCCAGTAATGGGATGGCAGGGTCAAATGGTATTTCTAGTTCTAGATCCCTGAGGAATCACCACACTGACTTCCACAATGGTTGAACTAGTTTACAGTCCCACCAACAGAGTAAAAGTGTTCCTATTTCTCCACATCCTCTCCAGCACCTGTTGTTTCCTGACTTTTTAAAGATTGCCATTCTAACTGGTGTGAGATGGTATCTCATTGTGGTTTTGATTTGCATTTCTCTGATGGCCAGTGATGATGAGCATTTTTTCATGTGTCTTTTGGCTGCACAAATGTCTTCTTTTGAGAAGTGTCTGTTCATATCCTTCGCCCACTTTTTGATGGGGTTGTTTTTTTCTTGTAAATTTGTTTGAGTTCATTGTAGATTCTGGATATTAGCCCTTTGTCAGATGAGTAGATGGCAAAAATTTTCTCCCATTCTGTAGGTTGCCTGTTTACTCTGATGGTAGTTTCTTTTGCTGTGCAGAAGCTCTTTAGTTTAATTAGATCCCATTTGTCAATTTTGGCTTTTGGATGCTGACTGTTGAGGCTGATCTTGCTCTGTCTCTTCTCTAGGTGAATAAAGCATTGTGCCATCCAAGGCCTGTGCAAGTGGCTTTCTTGGCAACCCCAGCACCAGCAAACCATGCAGTAGGTTGAGATTCTCGGACTGCCGCTCCTAGTGGCAGGCATTAGTACGCTTTGCTATCCTCTGTGCAGTGGGACTGCTTCCCCTGGAGGTGGTAACAGGTGTCATGTGCTCAAAATATTTTAGACGTTGTGGGCCACCATACAGCCTTCATCTCAACCACTCAACTCTGCCATTGTATGGCAAAAGCCGCCACAAACAACACATAAGCAAATAGGTGGGGTTGTGTTCTAGTCAAACTTTATTTACAAGAACAGGCCAAGGGAAGTTTGCTGACTTGGGCACTAGCTATGGGAAAGGCACATCACCATAAACAAGCCAGGCTCTCACAGACTGCCAAATCCACTTATAAGAACTTATCAGGCCAGGTGCGTTGGCTCACACTTGTAATCCCAGCACTTTGGGGGGCAGAGGTGGGAGGGTTGCTTGAGGCCAGGAGTTCAAGACCAGCCTGGGCAACATAGTGAAATCCCATCTCTACAAAAAATTTTAAAAATTAGCCAGGTGTGGTGGCTTGAGCCTATGAGTTCAAGACTGCTGTGAGCTATGATTGTGCCACTGCACTCCAGCCTGGCTGGCAGAGTGAGATCCTGTCTCAAAGAAGTAAAAAATAAAAGAACTTTTCAAACACTTAAGCAGTACCTGTTTGCCCACAATGGATCAGCAATCTTTAGTGACTCATTAAATTAATTAATTAATTTATGATGTCTTGAGACGGAGTTTCACTCTTGTTGCCCGGGCTGAAGTGCAGTGGTGCGATCTTGGCTCACCGCAACCTCTGCCTCCCGGATTCAAGCGATTCTCCTGCCTCAGCCTCCAGAGTAGCTGAGATTACAGGTGCCTGCCACCATGCCTGGCTAACTTTTGTATTTTTAGTAGAGATGGGGTTTCATCCTGTTCGCCAGGCTGGTCTCAAACTCCTGATCTCAGGTGATCCATCCGCCTCAGCCCCACAAAGTGCTGGGATTACAGGCGTGAACCACCACGTCCAGCCGTCTCATTAAATTAAAACAGTAATATTTCTATAGAGAGAAAGAGAGAGAGAGAGAAGCAAAAAGAGCTCTACTTCTCAGCAACTTTAGCCCTCGTCCTTTTGACATGAAACAATTACTACACTTGTGCCGACTCCATCGTCTTTGAAGCCCAGTGGCATTGCTCATCTTGCCTGAGCCCCCACCACACTGGGAGAGGTGGGTAAAGCACAACCCTCTCATGTGAGAGATGAGGACACTGGGGCACAGCGTAGTCATATATCCTAGATTCCAGAATTAATAAAGTACAAGTCAGTTCTCAAATTCACATCTTTCAGGTTATAAACTTGAATGTCCTTTCTACTGCCCAACATTCCTTCCCTCACAAATTAAAGAGTAATCAAATTATTTCTTTTAAAATAGATGATTGTTCATGTAACTTTGCATTAGATAAGCCCAGATGAGTGAGATTTTATCGTATAGGTTCCCTGTAGTTTGCTGTAACAAACAGCAACAAATCAGGAGGCAGGAGGCGGCAGCGGGAACTTGGAGAAGTATTTCCTTTCTTGGACCTCAGTTTCCCCTGGCGTAAAACAAGGCTGCAGATCTTCTATGTCTGGCATTCTCCAACAAGCAATACAGGGTGATGGAAAGAGAGCTGGAGACAAGAGGGACTTGGGGCTGAATCCCCGTTCCATCTATACCAGCATCACACTCTATTGGGCGAGTCACATCTCTGAGCCTCTGTTTCCTCATCTGTAAAGAGGGGATATTGTGAAGTCACAGGATTATTGTGGTTAATAAATGGTGGGGAGGGGGGAGGAGTTTACAGTTATAGCCCAATAACTGGCTCATCACTTCACAGGTAGTCAAATGTTCATTACACTTCGGAAACTTGCAGCATGATTTGCAAATATTCTGGGTGGGGCGGGGGCTGTCTTTCCTTTTTTATAGGGTCCAAATGAAGAATTTCTAGTTTTTAATTCTGAGAAAGCCCAATTTATGTACTTTTTTGTTGCTTGTGCTTTTGGTGTTATATTTAAGAAGGCTTTGCCGAAACCAAGGTCATGAAGATTTACTCATATTTTCTTCAAAGAGGTTTATAGTTGTACTTCTTACTTCTAGGTCTATGATCCATTCTGAATTGATTTTTACATGTGGTGTGAAGAAGAGGTCAAACTTCATTCTTTTACATGTGAATATTCAGTCGTTCCAGCACTGTTTGTTGAAGAGGCTATTCTTTCCCCATTGAAGAGTCCTGGCACTGTTGAAAATCAATTGGCCATAATGTGAGGATTAGTGTCTAGACACTAAATTCCATTCAGTTGATTTATGTCTGTCCTTATGACAGTACTACACAATCTTGATTGTTGTAGCTCTGTAGTAAGTTCTGAAATTGGGACTCACAGTGTGAGTCCTCCAACTTTGCTCTTCTTTCTCAAGATTGACAATTTCCATATGAATTTTAACATCAGCTTGTCAATGTTTACAAAAAAAAAAGGCCTGCTGGAATCTGGATAGGAATTGCATTGAATAGGTAGATCATTTTGGGAAGTATTGGTATTTTTTTTTTTTTTTTTTTGAGATGGAGTCTCACTCTGTCACCCAGGCTGGAGTGCAATGACACGATCTCATCTCACCGCAACCTCCACCTCTCAGGTTCAAGCGATTCTCCTGCCTCAGGCTCCCAAGTAGCTAGGATTACAGGTGCCCACCACCATGCCCAGCTAATTTTTGTATTTTTAGTAGAGATGAGGTTTCGCCATGTTGGCCAGGCTGGTTTCGAACCCCTGACCTCAGGTGATCTGCCCACCTCAGCCTCCCAAAGTGCTGGGATTACAGGCATGAACCACTGCGCCTGGCTGTATTGGCATCTTAATAATACTGTTTTCCAATCCACAAACATGGGATATCTTTCTCTTTATTTAGGCCTTCTTTTCTTTCAACAATATTTGTTATTTTCAAGTATGACTTTTGCACATCTATTGTTGAATTTGTTCATAATTATTTATTGTTTATGATGCTGTTGAAAATGAAATCATTTTCTTAATTCTATTTTTTCTATTTTTTCCTCTTTGTTTTTGGATTGTTCATTGCTAGTGTTTAGAAACATAATTAATTTTTTTTGTATATTGGTCTTTTATCCTGCCACCTTGCTGAACTTGCTTATTAGTTCTAGAAATTTTTTAGTGGATTATTTAGGATTTGCTGTATACAAGATCATGTCACCTGTAAATATCAATAAAATATCAATAGTTTTACATCTTCCTTTCCAGTCTGAATGTCTTTTATTTCATTTTCTTGCCTGATTGCCCTCACCAGAACATTCAGCACAATGTTGAACAGAAATGGAGAAAAGCATCTTTGTCTTGTTCCTGATTTTTTTTTTTTTTTTTTTTTTTTTTTTTTGAGACGGAGTCTCCCTCTGTCGCCCAGGCTGGAGTGCAGTGGCGCAATCTCGGCTCACTGCAAGCTCCGCCTCCCGGGTTCATGCCATTCTCGCGCCTCAGCCTCCCAAGTAGCTGGGACGACAGGTGCCCGCCATCACGCCTGGCTAATTTTTTTTTTTTTTTTTGTATTTTTACTAGAGGTGGGGTTTCACCATGTTAGCCAGGATGGTCTCGATCTCCTGACCTCGTGATCTGCCTGCCTCTGCCTCCTAAAGTGCTGGGATTACAGGTATGAGCCACCGTGCCTGGACTTTTCCTGATTGTTTTTTTTCTTATTTTAGTTTTTAGGAGACAGGGTCTCACTTATGCTGCCCAGGCTGGTCTCAAACTCTAGACCTCAAGCAATCCTCCCTCCTCAGCCCCCAAAGCACTGGGATTATAGGTATCAGCCACTGTGCCTGGCCTGTGCCTGATCTTAGGGGGAAATTTTGTAGTTTTTTGTCATTAAGTATGTTGCTAGCTATGAGTAGTCCATAGATGCTATTTATCAGGTTGGAGCAATTCTCTTCTATTCCTAGTTTGTTGTCTCCACAAATTCTGGTATGTTGTGTTTTAATTTTCATTCAGTTCAAAATACATTCTGATTTCCCTTTTGATTTATTTTTTATCCATATTTTGTTTGGAAGCATGTTACATAGTTTCCAAATATTTGGGGATTTTCTGAGGATCTTTTCAGTATTGATTTAAAAAAATTTTTTTTTGAGATGGAGTCTTGCTCTGTCACCCAGGCTGGAGTGCAGTGGCATGATCTCGGCTCACTGCAACCTCCACTTTTCAGGTTCAAGCAATTCTCCTGCCTCAGCCTCCTGAGTAGCTGGGATTACAGGCGCCCAAAATCATGCCTGGCTGTTTTGTATTTTTATTAGAGATAGGGTTTCACCATGTTGGCCAGGCTGGTCTCCAACTCCTGACCTCAGGTGATTCGTCTGCCTTGGCCTCCCAAAGTGCTGAGATTACAGGCGTGAGTCACTGTGCCCGGCCTTGATTTTAATTTTAATTTCACTGTGGTCAGAGAATGTACTTTCTTTCTACAACTTGAATCCTTTAAAATTTTTTTAAAATAAAAATTTAGTCAGCTTGCTAGAGAACTTTTGAATTTATTGTTTTATGGCCAAGAATGTGGCCTATATTGGTAAATCTTACTTGGACACTTGAGAAGAATTTGTATTTTGCTGTTGTTGGGTAGAGTATTCTAGAAATGTCAATCAGGTCAAGGTTAATGGTGTTGTACGAGTCTACTATAATCCTGACTTTCTGCCTACTTATTGGTCTTAGTCTGCTCAGGCTGCTGTAACAAATACCATAGACAGGATGGCATAAATAGTAAGCATTTATTTTTCACAGTTATGGAGGCTGGAATTCTGAGAACAGAGTGTTAGCATGGCTGGGTTATGGTGAGAACCCACTTCATGGCTTGTAGACAAGCCACCTTTCTGTCCTCACAGGATGAGGACAGAGAGAGAGGGAGCAAATTCTCTTCTGTTTCTTCTTATAAGGGCAGTAATCCCATGATGAGGGCTTCACAACCTCATTACCTAATTTTCTCCCAAAGACCCCATCTCCATATACCACCATATTGAGGATTAGAGTTTCAACATATAATTTTTGGAGAGGAGGGAGGACACAAACATTTAGTCCACAGCATTATTCTATCAATTATTGGGAAGGGTATTGACATATCCACTACAATTTTGTATTTGTCTATTTTCTTTGCAGTTCCATCAGTTTTTCCATTATATATTTTAAAACTCTGTTATTAAATGCATGTTTAACATTATCATGTCCTCTTAATTGACCCCTTTATTATTGTGAAATGACCTCATCTATCCCTGATAGTATTCTTTTCTCTGAAATCTAGTTGGCCTGATATTATTTAGATTTCTTTTGTCTAATGTAGATATATCTCTTCATCCATTTACTTTTAAACTATTTGTGTCTTTATATTTAGTTTGTTTCTTGTAGGTAGCATATACTTGGTCTTGCCTTTTTAAAAAATCCTATCTATTGGCTGGGCACAGTGGCTCATGCCTGTAATCCCAGCACTTTGGGGGGCTGAGGTGGGCGGATCACGAGGTCAGGAGATCAAGACTATCCTGGCCATCAAGGTGAAACCCCATCTCTACTAAAAATACAAAAAATTAGCTGGGTGTGGTGGCACGTGCCTGTGGTCCCAGCTACTCGGGAGGCTGAGGCAGGAGAATTGCTTGAACCTGGGAGGCGGAGGTTGCAGTGAGTCAAGATCATGCCACTGCAATCCAGCCTGGGCGACGAGGCAAGACTCCGTATCAAAAAAAAAAAAAAAAAAAAAAAATCCAACCTAGCTCTGCCTTTTTATTGAGATGTTTAGACCATTTATATTTAATGTGATTACTGGTATGATTAGATTTTAGTCTATCATCTTGCTATTTATTTTCTATTTGTCTAATCTGTTCTCTGCTCATTTTCCTTTTTCTGTCATCTTTTGGAATAACAGAATAATTTTTACAATTTCATTGTATCTCCTTTGTTGACTTCTTAGTTACAACTCTTAGCTTTGTTATTTTAGTGGTTGTTTTAGACTTTTAGTGTACTTGTTACCTTAACACATTCTACTTTCAAGTGACATAACACTTCACAAATACTATAAGAACTTCACAAGAGTATAATTCCATTTATCGCCTTCTGACCTGTATGTTGTTGTTGTCATACATTTCACTTTTTTTCCCAAATGTATTATTATTTTTGCTTAGTCAATTGTCTTTTAAAAATATTCCTGTGTAGTTATCATTTTCAGTGCTCTTTATTCCTTTGTGTAGATCCAGATTTCATCTGGTATGACTTTTCTTCTGTCTGAAAAGACATTTCTTATTGTTCAAGTGTAGTGGTGATGAATTCTTTCAGTTTTTGTTGCTGTGATAGTCTTTATTTCCCTTCCATTTTTGAAAGAAATTTTTGCTAAATATAGAATTCTAGACTGATGGTGTTTTGTTTTGCTTTGCTTCTTTCAGCACTTTAAAGACGTCATGCTATTTTTTCTGGCTTACATAGTTTCTAAGAGGTCTGATGTCATGCTTACCTTCGTTGTTCTGTATATAATGCTTCTTTTTACCCACTTACCACTGGTTCAGCAATTTAACTATGATGTGTTTTAATGTGTGTAGTTTTCTCATGTTTATTCTTTTTGAGGTTTACTGAGCTTCTTGGATCTATGGCTTTATAATTTTCACCAAATTTCTTTGACATTTCTTCAAAAGTGTTTTCTGTCTCTTTCCCTCTTTCCTCTCTTTCTAGTATGTATTTTTGATTCTTGGTACTGTCCCACAGGTTCCTCCAGTTACTCTTTGTCCAGACTTTTCTCTCTGTGCTTTATTTTGAATAATTTCTATTTATGTGTCTTTAAGGTTATAGTAATCTTTTCTTTTGCAATGTCCAATCTGCAGTTAATCCCATTCAGATTAATTTCAAATATTATTTATCTCTAAGAATTTGCTTTGGATTTAGGTAATATATATCCCATGTCTTTCCTCATTATGTTCATGTTTTCCTTTATCTCCTTGAGTATTTGCAATATTGATAATAGCTATCTTAAGGCTTTTGTCAGCTAATTCAATAATCTGTGTCATTCTGGATCTATTAATTTATTTTTCTCCTAGCTCTGGGCCATAATTTTCTACTTTTCTGCATGCCTGGTGACTTTTTGTTGGATGATAAACACAGTGAATTTTACATTGTTGAGCGCTAGGTTTGTTGTATTTCTTTAAACAGGGTTAGGCTTTGTTCTGCCATGTAGTTAAGTTACCTGTGGATCTATTTAAGGTCTACTATTAAGCTATTTTTTTATGGCAAGCTGTGAGGAGCTTTTACTCTAGGGATAATTTAGCCCTACTACAAAAGCATAATCTTTTTGAGGATTCTACCAATGCTGTCTGTATTACAAGGTCTCTCCCCACTCTAGTTAGTGTAAACCTCAACTATTCCCAGACTTTTTTGAGCTCTGGGGTCTATTGCTTTCTGTTTGTTCTTTCTGTTTGATCTCATGGTATTTCATCCCACACATGTACTGATTGGAACTCACTTAAGGGCCAGAGGCCCCTCTGCAGAGCTCCTGAGCTCTGTCTCTGTTCAGATACTTCCTATTATTTTTTCCTGCAAGTTCCAGCCACCTCAGTCTTCCTGACTCACTTAAGGGTCAGGGGACTGTCTGCAGAGCTCCTGAGCTCTGTTTCTGTTCAGATACTTCCTGTTATTTTTCCCTGCAAGTTCTAGCCACCTCAGCCTTCCTGAACTCTGATTTCTATCTCCTCAATTCAGGGATACGGTGGATCTCTGGTTCCCTATCTTTGTGCTGCACACTGGAAGTGCCCTGAATAAGTAAGGTAGGCAATCATAGCCTTCTCTCTGTTTGTTTTCCTTCTCTCAGGGACTTACAATTCTGTGTTTCCTATTGTCCAATGCCTGAAACACTTGTTTTATATATTTTGTCTGCTTTTATAGTTGTTTATGGTAGAGGGCAATTCCCATAGCATTTAATCCTTCATCGGTAGGAATGAAAGTCTCTAACTTAGTTGTTTTCATTATTGATTTGTACCTCAAAATATCATTTAACTAGTAGATGATGATTTTATTAAAGATTGGTAGAGACTTTTAAGAAAATTGTGTTTGGCTGGACATGGTGGTGCACACTTGTAGTCCCAGCTACTCTGGAGGCTGAGGTGGGAGGATCACTTGAGCCCAGGAGTTCTGGGCTGTAGTGCACTATGCTGTTTGGGTGCCTGCAATAAGTTTGGCATCAATACGGCAAACTCTTGGGAGTGGGGGACCATCAGGTTGCCTAAGGAGGGGTAAACCAGCCCAGGTCAGAAATGGAGCAGGTCAAAACTCCCATGCTGATGAGTAGTGGGATTATACAAATTAACTCATAATGGATCAAAGATCTAAATGTAAGAGCTAAAAGTATAAAATCCTAGGACTAAATCTTCATGGTCTTGGATTTGGCAGTGTTTACTTAGATATGACCCCAGAACAGGCAAAAGAAAAAATAAATTGGAATTCATCAAAATTAAAACCTTATGTGTATCAAAGGACACTATCAAGAGAGTAAAAAGACAACACACAGGGTGGGAGAAAATATTTGAAAATCATGTATCTGATTAAGGGTCTAGTATCCAGAATATTTAATGAATGTTTACAACTCAACAACAGAAAAGATAACTCAATTCAAAAATGGGCAGAGGACTTGAATAGACATTTCTCCAAAGAAGATATACAAATGGCCAACAAGCCATTTGGCCATGTTGTTATGGCCAACATGACAAGATGCTCAATGTCATTAGAAAAATGCAAATCAAAACCACCTCACACCACTTCATGCCTATTAGGATGGCTATTGTTACAGCTTCAATTGTGTTTCCCGCCGCCAGCCCCCCTGCAAAAAATATATATTGGAGTCCTAACCCCCAGCATCTGTAAATGTGACATTATTTGGAAATAGGGTCATTGCAGATTTAATCAAGATGAGGTTATTAAGGTAGGCCTTAATCCAATATGACTGGTGTCCTTAAAAGAAGGAAATTTGGACACAGAAACACAGGGAAGATGGCCATTTAGGAAGATAGAGGCAGAGGTTATAGTTACGTTGCCACAAGCCAAGAAACGCTTGGAGCTACCAGGAACTGAAAAAGGCAAAAAAAAAATCCTCTTCTGGAGGCTTCAGGGGAAGCGTGACCCTGAAAACACCTTGATTCTGGATTTCTAGTTTCCAGAACTGTGAGACAATATACTTGTTGTTTTAAACTACCCAGTCGGTGATATTTTTTTATGGAGCCCTCGGGCAGTAATACAGCTATAATTTTTTAAATGAAAAATAACAAGTTTTGGCAAGAGTAGTGGTTATTTTATTTTATTTTTTTAATTTTACATGTCAACTTGGCTGGGCCATGGAGCCCAGATATTTGGTCAAATGTTATTCTGGATGTTTCTGTGAAGATGTTTTTGGGATGAAATTAACATTTAACTTGTTGGATCTAGAGTAAAGCAAATTACCCTCCCTAACCTGAGTGGGCCTCGGCCAATTAGCTGAAGGCTTTAATAGAACAAAGATTGACCTCCCCCTAAGCAAGAAGGAATTTTGCCAGCAGATTGCCTTTGAACTGCAACTCTTCCCTAGGTCTCCAGCTGCCAGACTACCCCAGCAGATTTGGGATTTGCCAAACCTCCACAATTGTGTGAGCCAATTCCCTTAAAATAATTTTTTCCCTTTCTCTATGTATGTTTTTCTGGAGAACCCTGACTAATACAGTGAGGATGTGGAGAAACTGGAAGGCTCATACATTGTAGGTGGAAATGGAAAATGGTGCACCCACTCTGGAAAACCATTTGGTGGTTCCTCGGTAAGCTAAACGTAGAATTACCATGTGACCCAGCAATGGCACTCTTAGGTATATACCCAACAGAACTGAAAACAGGTGTTCAACCCAAAACTGGTATGTGAATGCTTTCAGCAGCCCAACTGGCTGTCGCGAAGAGGTAGAAACAACCCAACTGTGCACCAACTAATGGATAAATAAAATGTGGCATATCCATACAATAGAATATTACTCAACCATAACAAGGGATGAAATTCTGATATATGCTACAACATAGATGAACCAAGCCTAAAAACATTATGCTAAATGAAAGCGAGGCATAAAAGGTCATATATTGTATGATTCCATTTATATTAAATATACAAATAGGCAATTTCACAGGGAGAGAAAGCAGGTTAGTAGTTGCCAGGGCCTGGGAGTAGGGGATAATGGGAGTAACTGCTTAATGTGTACAGGGTTTCCTGTTGTGGGGATGAGAATGTTCTGGAACTAGATCATGGTGACGGCTGCACAACATCACAGATGTGCTAAATGCCACTGAATTGTACACTTTAAAATAGTTTTATATATATATATATATATATATTTTTTTTTTTTTTTTTTTTTTTTTTTTTGAGACAGAGTTTCACTCTTGTCACCCAGGCTGGAGTGCAGTGGCGCGATCTCGGGTCACTGCAACCTCTGTCTCCCAGGTTCAAGTGATTCTCCTGCCTCAGACTCCTGAGTAGCTGGGACTACAGGCACACACCACCACGCCTGGCTAATATTTTTGTTTTTTTTTTATTAGAGATGGGGTTTCACCATGTTGGCCAGGCTGGTCTTGAACTCCTGACCTCAGGTGATCCACCCTCCTCGGCCTCCCAAAGTGCTGGGATTACAGGTGTGAGCCATCGTGCCCGGCTAAAATAGTAAATTTATGTTATATGTATTTTACCACAATTTTGAAAAATATGTTCACATATACATAGGATTATGAATTCACAATTTAATGAACAAACTGAGGTTGTGAAAATGAACTTTTTAAGTAACAAAAATGGAAAGGGGAACCAAGAATTAAAGGTCCTAAAATGAATCATGTGTGTGTAACCACCATAGTACACAGGCAGGATTGGGGAACTGCAATCGCAAAGCAACTTTGTCTCCTATGTCCCTTGAAATCCAATTTGTGGGGCTAATGTATCCTGTAACTCTCAAAGAAAAACCCAGGCCTCCATAACTTCTCTAGTCATTTTTATTTAAAAAAATTCCTGTAGTCACACTTAAAGTGTAAAAACAGTCTCATTTCAGAGATGTAAATGTGCAAGCCCATGTTACAATCAAAATAGCCTATCATGTGAAGGTGACCTCTCTGGGTCTGCTGGGGGCGAGAGGCCAGCATCTGGGAAGGGAGGCCAGCATCCGGGAAGGGAGGCCTCCCTTGTTTACCGTTTCTGACCCTTCCAGGGACACAGCAGTGGGAGTGAAGCAGCAGCAAGAGACAGTCCTTAAGGTCTGGTGGTGGTGACTGGGCGCTGCTGGGCAAAAGTTTAACAAAGTTTAACAGCTTCCTTCCCCCATGGGCTCCTCAGATGCTCCTTGGAGTGGTTCCTCCCCTCCCTTCCCCCAGTCTCCCATCCTCATCTCCCATCACCTGGGGTCTCTTGGGGTGAGGGTTTCTCCCTGGCTCTTTGCTCTACTCCTTCCTCAGCACTGTGAGTCTGAAGTTCGCCTCCTTGAAACCCCGGGCCTCTTGCCCAGGCTCTATCACCCCAGGATGCAGGCCAGTTCTTCTACATGCATGCTCTGCCCTGACAAACTCTAGGAGTGGAGTCTGCACCCAGCCTCTCCCTTGCTTCGTCATCAAACACTTAGCCAGCACTGGCATCTCATCCTTCAGACTTTTCCAGGCAGGGGTCTGTTTAATCCACCAGATCAGGGACACATACTAAGCTCCATGGAGGCCCTTTCCCCTAATCTTGAGATAAAGTGTAGGTGGCACCCACTGCTCCCACTAGGGAGATGCCAAACACACCAATGGCCCTTTTCAAATAATTCTCATCCCAAATCCTCTTCCTTTACCTCTTAACTCCTGACTCTTTTCATACCCTTAAAGTGGGTGAGGGGGGTTGAGGATGACAGGTTTTTGACCACTCTGTTGTAAATGCTGCAGATGGTCTAGCCATGTGGTCTCTATTACTCCTTCCAGCAGACATCTATTTTAATCTTGTTACATGTGTTTATAAATACCTGCATTCATTATTTAACATAGTAACAGCCACCACTGAGTCCCTAATTTGTACCAAAGCACTAGGCCCTTTTTACAAACATCTCAGTTATTAACAAGTATGTTGGTAACTACTTTCTTTCCTAAGAATTTGTATAGTGAGTATTTTAAAATCTATGGAGTACATTATTCAGGTACTGAGTTTATTAAGATTCTCAGTAGGAAGAAATATTCTGAAAACCTAGTCACAGGACTTCAGAGGTTACGTAATCAACCCTACTCATTTCCTGTAAGAAGCAGCTGAGGTCCCCAAGGGCTGAGTGACTTGCCCAAGGTCATCATAGTGAGAGGAGATGAGAAGATATGAGTTTTCACTCATCACAGCTGCCTCTTATTCACAAAAAATACTAGATAAATGGCCTGCTAATTTTAATATTTATCAAACCAATGGTAGAAATGAATTTTTAATGCAAAATAACTATTTGAGTCTAAAAAAAGTGAACACACTGGGCTTTCAACACTACATAAAGCTGTATGAATCCCAACCTACTGTACAGGAGAATGGATTCTTAATTGAATCTGTGCCTCAGAGTGGAAGCATGATTTTTAAATGGAAAATCCTACAGAGGTAGCAGTGAGCGATGAGCTTTAGCCAGATGAATTATTCCAGGAGAAAGTAAAAGAGGAAACCATGCTAGCAAATGGCTTTTTCTTAAAGATCCCAAATAAACCAAATATGAATTTTGTGCAGTGAACTACTGTGTTTACTCCCATCTTCCCGGTCGTGGCACTGTCTCCTGTGCCCCGATCTTTAGACTATGGTCTCCAGGGTTTCCTATGTATACACAGCACAATGGTGATACTATTCATTTCTCTAACAAATAGTACTGCGTGCCCAGGATATACCATCCAGAGTTCTCAGACTTCAGTCCCATATGCTTCTTATGCAGCACAACAATCGTAGCTTTTAGGGCTCGCAGAAAACCTAGAGATAATTTAGTCCAATACTACATTTTGCAGGTAAGAAAGCTGAGGCTGGCTGTGGTGGCTCATGCCTACAATCCTAGCACTTTGGGAGGTCAAGGCGGGAGGATTGCTTGAGCCCAAGAATTCGAGACAAGCCTAGACAACATAGTGAGTCCCTATCTCTAAAAAAAGTCAAGAAAAGAAAAAAATTGGCCAGGCGTGGGTAGATGCCTGTAGTCCTAGCTCCTTGAGAGGCTGAGATAGGAGGATAGCTTGAGACGAGGAGATTGAGGCTGCAGTGAGCTAAGGTTGCACCAGCCTGGGCAAGAGTTAGATCCTGTCTCAAAAAGAAAAAAAAAAAAAAAAAAAAAAAAAAGAAAGAAAAAACTGAGGCCCAGAGAGGAAAATACCTTGCCCAGGAAGGTGACACAGAGAGTTAATGGCTCTAGTCACAAAGGATAAGCATTTTGACAGATTCATGGACTCTTGGGTAGCTCCATCTTCAGCTCTGAAGACCTCAAAGTCATTTTGTAGCCTGAAGTGCTAATTAAACCAGAAGAATCATGGACTTACTATTTATAGGGAGGAGTGAAGAAATTAGACCATGAAATCTGGGGACACAGAAGGAGATCTTGTCTCTTGAGATTCACATGTAACATCCAACTTTCATATTTTAACAGAACTTGGGTAATGCAGTCTCAATTTTCCTAATACTGGACTTATCTGGGTTGCAGTCTTGATGAACCACACCTACTACAGAGGTTTTTGCACCATAAGATAACCCCACTTCTTCTGGCAGATGCTGCCATTACCCAGTGGACAGGTTTATGATCCTTCCAAACATATCACTTGCTTCAAAAGGACCTAATTCAAAATCATTTTTGTTATTTTGAGAGCTTTAACCAGCAATACACAGTCAATATGCTTTCACTCCATGTACAAGTGAAAAGGACAAAGCAAAGCCATGACTGTTTTTAAGAGACATACCACTTGGGTTCGCAATTATCTCACATTTTTCGTCTTTTTACTGTTCAGCGTGGCTTTCCGTGTACTGCCAAAATCAAATCGCTCTCAGGAGGCCTACTGGTGTGAACAAAGGCGCTAAAATCAAAGAACTTCCAAGTTTTAATCTGTCAGAGATTGGCTGTGAAGTATGGGGGAAGAGTCATTTAATCTCTCTCCATCAGTTCCCACTTCTGTACAATGAGGGTAAAACTATGGCGGCACCTCTCATGGGTACTGTGTGGACTGCCTAATTAAAGCTAATTAAGCCCCTGGAAAGAACCAGAAAATACTACGTAAATGCTGAGTATTTATGTGCCGCTAACAGACACAAAAACTCCCAAGGGACAAGATTCTGTGCCGACAGCACATTCTCTATTGGTGATTACTAATCACCCACTGCTTACAAAGAAAGGCACTGTTTTCAGTAACAGGGTAGTTTAAAAAAAAAATCACACAATGTTGTTCAACAACACCATCTTTATTCAAAAATATATATCTATGAGACATTTCAGAATATACTGCTGCCGCCAACGACAGCCTATACTTCTAAATAGTCCTAAATTAATATACAAATTTAAGCTTTGAAAATATTCTTTAAGAAAAACAAACAAACAAAAACAAGGGAAGATTGAAGACTTTCTGAGGAATATGACCTAAAGGAAAGGTCCTTTGAGGCCTACAGATGCCCTAAGAAAGAAAAAACACAAAAACAAAAACCACCCACCCCACCCACCAAGTCACCTCATACATACAAGGAGGAAAGTTCATTTAAATTAAACAAATGAAGTAAGCACACTTTGGGAGGATGTGGACAGCAGAATTAAGATTTAAAAAACGAAAGCATTTCATCAAAACAAAAAACTAACTTCCTCACAGGAAGTCCACTAGTAACAGGTATTAAGAGGCCAACACATTCATTTACATAATTGCTACAGTTTCATTTCTTAACTTTTGCTGTAATAATTATGCACCAATTGCTGGTCAGAGACTCAGTTGGATAAAACAGAGCAGTGGGCTAAATCCATTCTGCTATATTTTCATCTAGTTGATCAGAGCAAATATCTACGATCCTCTTTTGGCTGGATTGTGGCTGCTCAGATCGCACTTCCTTGGTGAAAGCATAGAGTGTCCCAGATGGGCCTGCTCCAAAACACGCTCATCTAGAAAGCAGCACACCACGGGGGGTGGGGGAGAGGTTGGGGAGTGCAGCAGCAGCAAAGATTACAATTTATCTTGCAATTTTAGTGATGTCACCTATGGCCTCTGGAAGAAAAACCTTATAGACTCATTAATTTAACAGTGACAGAACGACAGGCAGTGTCCATAAGCAAACAACACACAGTCTGAATTCAAATCTGAATAACAGCTCAAACACTACTAGGTTCTACACAGAGTTAAACTGAGTATCTGCTATGACTTTTCATTGTTCTCACTTCATGACAAGCAGGAGAGCTTCTGGAAGGGAAGCCCGTTATGCTTTATAAACATAGGTTATGTTTCAATGTGTTTAACATGTAAAATTACATGTAATTTTTGGTGATCCTGGAAGTAGCAACACAAATTAATGGAGATTACAAAGCCCCCTCCACTGAATTCCTTTTTATATAGTTTGGGTTTCAGCCTCTGGTCTATAACTCCTATTACACTACTGGGGCAAATCGCTTTCTGCCCTTTCCAATGTCAAAAATAAGCCTGCCAAATTAGAATGATTTACAATTGGCAGGCTGAACCTTTACTATAAGCAAGATAAAAATTGTCTCTAACTACATTATATAGTCATAATGTCAGCTGACATGATAATAGAATTAAAACCCCCAATTAATATCCCCAACTCCCCGCTTCCCCTGCCCGAGACGAGCTATTCAATAACATCTGACGCAAGTACTCCCCGTCGTGTGGGGACAAGGACCTGTGCAGTGGCGTGACATGACAGACGGACCTGCTCAGCGTCCTATTTGCAGTGATGTTCGAGTTTAGCCACCGTACTGTGGACATGCACCCAGACAGCGGATTAAACGTTAGTGTGTACCCTACTCCCAGAAGAAAGGGTCCAAGAAACACCCACACAGATCCCAAATGCAGCACACCTGTGTGTGGGGCCTTCATCTTTTGGAGCCCACCAATGCCTGCCATCCCTAACAACTGCCTTCGCACCCACCAGGGATCAAGGCATTCTGTTTTTCGGAACGTGCTCCGACAGTGGAGAAGTGCAGCATGGGAAGGTTGTATCTAGGAACTTGAAGCAAATAAATTCCTTTTAATTCATGCTTGTGATCCCTGTTATTCTGTCTCTGAACTGTGCCTTTATGCTCCAGATTAGCTTTGAATCTTATTGCTAGATTCTCCAATCTGTTTACAAAATAAATGCACCTAATCTTCGTGCATCACTAGGAGAAGCAATGGAAAGGGAGGATCAGAGATTTGGCAAACTCTTTATGGCAACGCTACGACAGCTGTGCCTACAACCTTTTGGGGCAGATGCAGCTGGGAAAGCCAACGTCTCCAGGACAAGTGCCTTAGTGGAAGCCCACACCGAACTTGAACAAGCCCAGCCCAGAAAGGAGAAGCTGCTTTCATGATAAAATGCTGTCATGAGGGACAAGATTCTTTCGAAAGCTTCCAGAAGTACACATGATTTTCATAACTTCTTAGGTATAAGGAGACAGTTAAGAATGGAAAACCAACAGGGGGGCATGAAAATATGAAGTGGGAGAAAAAGTCTGTAGTCTTTGCAAATATGAATATAAACCAGATTCCAGTCGCCACTGTTCTGAACTGTGCTCAAGATGAGAGGCTGAAGAGGAGAATCAGAGTCTGAGGTTCTTTCTTGAGGCTGGGGGGCTGGGCGGAAGAAGGGATAGAACCAGGGGCTAGAAGGTTATTTCCAACCATGACTTGCCCTCTTCTTTCTGCTGGTACAAACAGAAATCTGGGACATGACACCCATCCTAGTCAGTTGAAAACAGGTCCCCAGCAGAGGGCAGGGGGGCTAAGCCCCCTGTGACGTTGGGCAGCAGTGAGAGGTCTGGCAAGCTCTGAATATGGGATTTCAGTTCCTTGCGGACCTGGGTTACTCGTGCAAGCTTCTGTTTGTATTCCTAAGGAGATAAAGAGAAGACAATACCGTTAAGTCTGTGCGTGCCGAGGGCATGGGTGCTGCTGGAGCCGGGCAGCTACTCTCGTCCTCGTGTTCTTCCTTGTCCCCACCAGCCTGCCCACCCTGTTCAGCTATATCACAAAGCTAGGGCTTCAAATGCTCAAAAGGCAAAACTTTCTATCAAAAAAGGAACGCAGAGTGCCATATTGGCAACAGTGAATTAAATGGTATTCAATTTAGGGCTTGAGATTTGGAAGTAGAAAGAAATAACACTTGGTATTTGCATTCTCTTTTTGTTGGTTCTCAAAAGTTTCAAAATGCTTTATAAAATAAAACAGACACCTGAGCCTCACAATTTCTTTGCGGACTCCACCTAGATATGGCAAGAAAAAAAACACTGAAGTTATACTTCCTATGTTAAAGCTTGGAGATTAACCTAAATTTATCATGTTTTGCAAACAAGCACTATAGAAGCTCAAAATACCCCACTGCTACTCCCTGTGACCAGGGCCTCCTCATTCCATAACTGAGTCACTGCAGTAAGTCCCTGGTTAGGCCTCCTGACCCCTAGGGCTCCTAAAATGCCACCAGACTTCTCTCCCAAAAGCCCAGCTTTCATGAAACCACTCCCTTGAGAAAGTGAGGCACGGCACCCCACTAGCTCCATGATCTGGTCCTTCAGAGCAGAGTTCAAGGTCTTACAAAATCAGCCCCTGCCTCACAACCTCCTAACCCTCTTTGTCTGTGTGGACCATTTTTTCAGGATTCCCCGCAAGCCTGGAGGGGGTCTCTCTCTTCTCCTAGCCCTAGCAAAGCCTGGCCTCCACTCCTCTGCTCCTTGGACTATCTGGACTCCACCTCTCTAGGAAAATCCTTGCTCTGCATCCAGGAGACGACTCCGCATCTCCTCCTGCTCCAGAGCTCTCCCTCACACAGGGTGTGTACCTGAGCCCCTAGCAAGCTGCTCTATGCTCTCTCCATACATGTGAGACTTCTATGTTCCTCTAGAATATGAATCCCCTAATGATAGGAATGGGGCATATTTTTTTTCTTTCCTCAGCTCCCGGAAAAAGGTACTCTTGATAAATCTGCCAAGATATATAGAAAACAACCCTAGGCCATGTGAAGTCTGGGGCTGTTGGCCCCCTTGGGGCTTAGTTTTTGTCCTCTCAGTGTCTCTGCAAGGGTAAGTAGGTCCCTGACGCTGGGCCCCTGCTGACTTAGAAAGCCCTTCCTGCAGGAATGTAACAAGAAGCCCTGGGCTGAGATGCAGAGACCTAGGCTTGGTCCTGGTTCTGCCTCTAACCTGCTGTGTGACCGTGGATGTGTTCCCTTCTTCCATATCTGAAAGTGAGGGAACTGGACCATAACACTTCTTTTCAAGTTCTAAATTCCTTGATACCAGATCCCTGATGCACACCTGAAGAGGCAGAAAGTAGAAGCTAGAGAATGTCTGGGAAGAATAATGAGGCAGGAAAAAGGTCAAATGGAGAATACTTAGTTCAAGTTGTAAAGACAAAAGTCCAAGCAAGGAGTGAGAGGAGGGAACCAGGCATATCCTCTCCCCATTACTGCAGGCAATCAGTCTCCCACCCGCAATGAGAGCTCCTCACACAGTCTACAAAGGAAGAGAAAAGGGTAGAGAGTGAGCTCTCCTAGCAGCCCATTTCTTTTCTTTGTAAACTTACCACAACTAAAATTAAACAATGACTTACGTAAATGATTAGCAATGACTCCCACATTTAACTAGTAAGCTCCTGGAGGCCAGGACCAGACCCATCTGCTTCCCCCAGCATCCACCAGGCTCCGCAGTGTCCAGCAAACAGTAGGCACCCAGCACATGTGCCGAATGAATGAGCCATATCTAAAACATAACATCAGGTAAAAGCATACCACATGAAGTAGCTCCTGAGACTCAGACTTTGGTTAACAGTCACCTTTCACGTTCCTGAAGTTGAAAACTATTTTCAAATTTGAGGATCTGAACCCCCTTTCTCCCACAAGTACTTTTCTTCTTTGGCTGTTTATACTTCAAGGGAAATTAATATAAAGGATGAAGGCAACTAATTCTCTATTTCTGGACACGGATTCATCTAATAAACTTCTCCTGAATGGAAGGTATAAAAAGGGTAAAATAACAAAACAACTACAGAACACGGACTTCCTGCCCCCTGCCTGAATTCTCTGACCAAAGCTGACAAATCAAAGCCACCTCGACTCAGAACCAACCACTCTTGGCAACTAGGGAGCCCTTCAGTTGAAGGAGTCCCTCAAGAACAATTTGAAAACCACCAAGTCTCTAGAAGCTGAGCTGGGATCAGAATCCAAGACTCCTTACTCTTGGGTTATCATCAGACCAACGTGGCAAGTTCATTGAAGTTAAAATGGAAGGCACTTTGCTCTAATTAGACACCACCTTAAGTTCAACTAACTCTCTCCTAGGCAATTTCTTAAAAATCCCAGTTGTGGCCAGGCGCAGTGGCTCATGCCTATAATCCCAGCACTTTGGGAGGCCGAGGCAGGCAGATCACCTGAGGTCAGGAGTTCAAGACCAGCCTGGGCAACATGGTGCAACTCCATCTCTACTAAGAAATACAAAAGTTAGCTGGGCAGGGTGGTGGGTGCCTGTTAATCGCAGCTACTCAGGGGGCTGAGGCAGGAGAATTGCTTGAACCCGGCGGGGCAGAGGTTGTGGTGAGCTGAGATTGTGTCACTGCACTCCAGCCTGGGCAACAGAGTGAAATTCCGTGTCAAAAAAATAAACAAAAAAACAAAAAAAACCCCAAAAAACCAAACAACAGTTGTTTCTGTTTGGAAGGGGGTATAGGGTGGGGTACGGGGGATTCCATCATGCTTAGGCTATTATATTCTGGACATTACCGAAGAAACTCATTTAACTAAAAAGAAATGTGTTCCACTCTTCAGGCCACTCTGGAAGTGGACGGATCCTGCCCAGAGCTCTTGATGCCACTGGGTGACTCTTCTCGCAGGGACGCCTATTGTAAGAGCAGGCGTCAGAGGAAGGAATCACTAGAGAAAGAAAGAGGGAGAGTGAGACTGTCACTGAAAAGGATTAATAAACATCAAGGCTGGCCTGGGCATGGTGGCTCACGCCTTTAATCCCAATGCTTTCAGAGGCTGAGGCAGACAGACTGCTTGAGGCCAGGAGTTCGAGACCAGCCTGGGAAATAGAGACCCTGTCTCCACAAAAAAATGAAAAACACAAAACACTGAGGCTGGTAAAAAGAAAAGATCTGTAGGCTAAGAGGTTTAAATGTATTGGCAAGGATAACCGGGTATATACTCTGAAAAACCAAATACAGGCAGCAATTGCCTTTAAAACTGTTAAAACATGTACCTGCTTAACTGGGACAGTCAAATGACCCAGATTAATTTCCTGAAGAGAGGCAAGCAGGCTCGAATTCATGGCAAGCTCTGATTAGGTTAAACTGAAGCTATAGTAATTTTTATAGTCCACTAAATAGACTCAAGTAGTAACTACTGTGATTTCCCACTCCCCATCCCTGCTTTTAAAAACAGATTCAGGCTTTCCAAACAAAGTCATCTGTAAACCTTGCCATGGACCAACAGAAGAAATTAACAGTGACTCCAGGCTAGACAAGGTGGTTCACGCCTGTAATCCCAACACTTTGGGAGGCTGAGGCAGGTGGATCACTTGTGCCCGAACATGGCAAAACCCCATCTACAAAAAATGCAAAATTAGCCAAGCGTGGTGGCACATGCCTATAGTTCCAGCTACTCAGGAGGCTGAGGTGGGAAGATTGCTTGAGCCCAGGAGGTGGAGACTGCAGTGAGCCAAGATCACACCACTGCACTCCAGCCTGGGTGAGAGTGAGACCCTGTCTCAAAAAAAAAAAAAAAAAAAAGACTGACTCCAAACAAAACTCCCCCAAATACAACTCCAGCCTTCACCTGCCTCCAAATTCTCTGGTTCTTAAGCTCTCTCAGTTGGGTCTTGCAGACCCTCACTAGCTGACTTTCCAGGTTATTCTCTTTGGGTCTGGAGAGATGAAGGAGAAAGGTCTCAGGAAAATCCAAGAATCTCGTGTCTCAACTTACCAGCCTGTCTTCTCACACAAGTGTAGTTCACGAGCTCTGCTGCCACGGGGCTCCTCAGCTACTCCTGCTCTCAGAAGAAATCCGGGCCTCTTTTCCATATCCCATAAAAACCAACTCCAACGTGATGAGACCCACTCAGATTCTTCCACCTTGTCTAAGTGTGCTGCATCCCATAATCTCTTTAGTACACCAAGTACCACTCAGGTAGAAAAATGATGTGCCCAGGTGGTCACATGCTTCTTGTTTCAGACACTTTACTCAGGACTATACTTTAGTCCTGTATGTAACACAGGACTAAACCTTTCATCCAACACCCACGCTCCCCTGCCTAGAACTGGAATTCAAGAGCTCCAGTCCTGTGCCATTTACAGCTGCAGGACGAGCCTGCTGCAGCGTTCTTGCCCATCAGTCTCCTCTCCCCACCAGCGCACTCTTCTCAACCACAGCGCACAACGCTCTCTCCAGCACTCTCATCTTCAGAGGGTGCCTTTCCTCCACGACCAATCTTATGCAAGAGAAGACATGGCAAAACCCAAGCAGTCTGGTTGCTATTCCTCTCCAGCGCACGCATTATTTATACTGAGATGTGGGGGGCTGAGGTGGGCCTTCCATTCAGCGGCAAGTACCTACTGCGGCAAACCTGCCCTAGCCCAGAAGAGCCGTGGGGGGCCCCGAATAGGGAAGAATCATATCTGACTTGCTGCAGCAAACCTGTGTCAGGATCCTCAAGAAGGGGAGGTGGAGGAGGTGGCAGGCACCTTCGAGAAACTGCCTGGGTTTATTTGACTGCCAAGAAATGTTTACAATGTAGAGGGTAAGGCCCAATGTGTAGTTCTGAGATAAAGCCTAGGATTTATGCTCTTGGCAAAGCTTTGGAATCTTGCCTCACAGACTCTCTAAACTTACAGGAGAAAATGTGTCTATAACATTTCCCTGCTTCCTGTGGATCCAGCTGACACCGTGAACTCCACCCATCACGGAGCACCCAGACAATTTGCTGAAGAGAGCAGGGCTTACACATTCTTTGCCTTTTTTGGTTAGAGAAGTAAGCCAGACCTGACACACTGCAGATGAGCTCTGGGATAAGTGGGCTAGAAATGACAGGGGCTGGCATTGCAATGACCTTTCCACAGGAATTTCATTTTCAAAACAAACAAAACTATAAGCGTTTCCTCTAGCAACACATCTAAGAAACAACGATCAAAATGTAAACATTATTAAACCTATTTTCCTTCTTGCTAAGTAGAGGACTCCTGGAAATCTCCATCATCTTGCCCTGTTGTGCTACAGGACATATGGTATATCAAAATCACCCACTGCTCGGCTACCCCCAATTAAGAGTCATAAAGGGTTATCGTGCACGAAGCAGTTTACGAAGGCCCCTCTTTTAAAGGTGACCTGCCACACTGAATTTAAGTCAAAGGACTGCTTCATAGTATGGAGGTTGAGAAAGCCAAGCCCAAAGGGGAAGCTGACCCACACCCCACCAATATTTAACACACCCGCCAAGCCCCCTCATCCTGCCAGGAGGCCTACCCCTTGCTACTAAAGCCACAGGACCTACACTTGAGAAGCACAGCCTCTTAAACCACAATTTCATTCCCTCATTATGTTTCTGGAAAATACAATATATGAATATTTGGATTGAAAATAAGAGTGCCATTTTAAAATTTTCTTCAAAGATCCCATGTGGGAAAAAAAAACCATCACTGACCTGCACCTCTCCCCCAGCCAGCTCCACGCTCCCATATGACCTAGTGGCAGCTGTGACGTTTCGAAATGACACATTCTGGGGTGTCACAGCACGGCGGGAGCTGCTGAGTAAGACACTGGGTAAGATACAAAGAAGAGAAGAAATTGTGGCTCCAATCCCAATACTCGGGGCCTCTCAGCTCCACTATCAAAACCCGTAATAAAGGTACACACAAAGTATTTCCCAAAAGGAAAAACGACAAAATGCCTATAACTGGAGGAATGTTCTTGGAGCAGTTCGGCCATCCACGGGAAACTCCAAATGGGAGCGAGCTTCTTAAACCTGAAATTGTACCACAGAGCATTTTCAGGGCATTGCTTTCTCCCCAGAGGCTCCTCTACACAAAAGGTGATAAGGGAGCTTCTACTGGCACAACAAAACCCCTGATCTCATAGGGACATGCGGAAGCAAGGGGAGAATGAAAAGTCAGTGTCTATACTAACTAAAAAAAACTAAAAAAGGAAAATACACTTTAGGACTGGACAATTTTCAAGCCTTAATATAATCATAAAGCTAAATATTTTCAATTTAACAGATGCTCATAAAATGCTTTAAAAAGATACAGATTAATAAATGGACCTGGATCCTTCAAAAATCCTTACATTTATGGAATGGGGTCCCTCACTACATAAAACCAGTAAAACCAAAATACTAAAGTATAAGACAAACTATTTAGTTTTTTTTTTAAAGTAAACCATCAAAAATGTATGCTTTGCACAAGTTAACAAAGACCCCACAAACTAGCTTCTTTAAGGACTATTTTAATGGAAAGCCAGATTATTGATTTTTGTGCAAACAAACATCAAAGGTACAGACAAAGGTTTCTCATTTTAAGCCAAATACTGGTAAAGTCAAGCATTCCTGGAGGACAGCTGAGAAACAAAGGGTAGAAAGGAAAAAGACAAACTAACAGACAAATTTTTTTGTGTGTGTGCTTGTGTATTTGGTTGTATCATGTAAAATTCTTTTAAGCAATGTTTATTGTAGTTTTTAGTGCTGGCAGATCTGCCCAGGGTAAGACAGTCTGTAGGTTACTTACTACACTGGAATACAGCTCTCTCTATAATAAAAAAAAATTTCAATTCCTTTCCATTAGCAAACAAACAATAAGGTTATGTTTCTTAGCACCTCCAAATGACTGGGAGTATATCATATCTTTTCTACTGGAGGGAGATGGCTGTGGCAGAAGTCAGAAAATACAAGTTCAGGCCGGGCGTGGTGGCTCACGCCTGTAATCCCAGCACTTTGGGAGGCCAAGGCAGGCGGATCACGAGGTCAGGAGACCGAGACCATCCTGGCTAACACAGTGAAACCCCGTCTCTATTAAAAATACAAAAAATTAGCCAGGCATGGTAGCAGGTGCCTTGTAGTCCCAGCTGCTCGGGAGGCTGAGGCAGGAGAATGGTGTGAATCTGGGAGGCGGGGCTTGCACTGAGCCGAGATGGCGCCACTCTACTCCAGCCTGGGGGACGGAGCAAGACTCCGTCTCAAAAACAAAAACAAAAACAAAACAACAACAAAAAAAGAAAATACAAGTTCAACCTCTATGCACACAAACTAGAAAACCTAGAAGACATGGATAAATTCCTAGAAACACGGAATCTCCCGAGATTGAACCAGGAAGGAATTGAAACCCTGGACAGACCTATTAACGAGTTCCAAAATTGAATCAGTAATTTAAAAACCTACCAACCAAAAAAAGCCCTGGACCAGATGGATTCAGAGCCAAAATCTACCAGACATATAAAGAAGAGCTGGTACCAATCCTACTACTGAAAGTATTCCCAAAAAAATCAAGAAGGAGGGAGTCCTCCCTAACTCATTCTATGAAGCCAGCATCATTCTGATACCAAAACCTGGCAGACACAATGAAGAAAGAAAACTTCAGGCCAATATCCGTGATGAACACAGATGTAAAAATAAATGAAATACTAGCACACCAAATCCAGCAGCACATCAAAAAGCTAATCCACCATGATCAAGTAGGCTTTATTTGTTGAATCAAGGTTGGTTCAGCATATGCAAAATAACAAATGTGATCCATCACATAAACAGAACTAAAAACAAAAACTTCATCATCATTTCAAATTTCAACAGATGCAGAAAAGGCTTTCGATACAATTCAACATCCCTTCATGTTAAGAGTCCTCAACAAACTAGGCATCGAAGGAACATACCTCAAAATAATAAGAGCCATCTATGACAAACCCACAGCAAACATCATACTCAACAGGCAAAAGCTGGAAGCATTTCCCTTGAGAGCCAGAATAAGACAAGGATGCCCACTCTTGCCACCCCCGTTCAACACAGTACTGGAAGTCCTAGCCAGAGCAATCAAGCAAGAGAAAGAAATAAAAGGCATCCAAATAGGAAGAGAGGAAGTCAAACTATCTCTCGTTGCAGGCTATATGATTCCATAGCTAGAAAACCCCATAATGTCTACCCAAAGGCTCCTAGTTCTGATAACTTCAGCAAAGCTTCAGGACACAAAATCAATATACAAAAATCAGTAGCATTTCTATAGACCAATAATGTCCAAGCTGACAGCCCAATCAAGAACACAATTTCATTCACAAAAGCCACAAAAAGAATAAAATACAGCTAATCAGGGAGGTGAAAAATCTCGACAACAAGAATTACAAAACACTGCTCAAAGAAGTCAGAGACAACATAAACAAATGGAAAAACTTCTATGCTCATGGATAGGAAAAATCAATATTGTTGAAATGGCCATACTACCCAAAGCAATGTACAGATTCAATGCTATTCCTATCAAACTACCAAAGACATTCTTCACAGAATTAGGAAAAACTATTTTTGCATGCACAGCATCTACTAACAAAAACAAAACAAAGAGAAAACAATATTCTAAAATTGATTCTGAGCCAATAAAAAGCCCAAATAGCCAAAGCAATCCTAAGCAAAAAGAACAAAGCCCAGGGCATCACATTACCCAACTTCAAACTATACTATAAGGCTACAGTAACTAAAACAGCATGGAAATGGTACAAAAACAGATACAAAGACCAATGGAACAGGGTAGAGAACTCAGAAATAAAGCTGTACACTGGCTGGGCACGGTGGCTCATGCCTATAATCCCAGCACTTTGGGAGGCTGAGGCAGGTGGAGCACCTGAGGTAAGGAGTTCGAGACCAGGCTGGCCAACATGGGGAAACCCTATCTCTACTAAAAATACAAAATAAGCCAGGCGTGGTGACGCATGCCTATAATCCCAGCTACCCGGAAGGCTGAGGCAGGAGAACTGCTCAAATCTGGGAGGCGGAGGTTGCAGCAAGCCGAGATCGTGCCACTGCACTCCAGCCTGGGAGACAAAGAGAGACTCAAGACTCAAAAAAATAAATAAATAAATAAAGCTGTACACCTACAAGAATCTGATCTTTGACAAAGCTGATGATAACAAGCAATGGGGAAAGTATTCTCTATTCAATAAATGGTGCTGGGATAGCTGGCTATCCATATGCAGAAGATTAAAACTGGACCCATTCCTTTTACCATATATAAAAACCAACTCAAAGTGGATCAAGACTTAATGTAAAACCTCCAACTACAAAGACCCTAGGAGAAAACCTAGGAAATACCATGCCGGACACCGGCCCTGGCAAAGACTCCAAAAGTAACTGCAACAAAAACAAACTGAAAAGTAAAATCTAATTAAACTAAAGAGCTTCTACACAGCAAAAGAAACTATCAACAGAGCAAAAAGACAACTTACAGAATGGGAGAAAATATTTGCAAACTATGCCACCATCAAAGGCCTAATATCTACAATCTATGAGGAACTTAAGTCAATAAGCAAGTAACAAAAAACCCCATTAAAAATAGGTAAAGGACACAAACTGACACTTTTCAAAAGAAGACATACATGCAGCCAACAAGCATATTTAAAAAGCTCAGTATCACTAATCATTAGAGAAATGCAAATCAAAACCACAATGAGATACCATCTCATACCAATCAGAATGGCTATTAAAGAGTCAAGAAATAACAGATGCTGGGGAGGTTGTGGGGAAAAAGGAACACTTATAAAGGGCTAGTGAGAATGTAAATTAGTTCAGCTACTGTGGAAAGCAGTCTGGAGATTTCTCAAAGAACTTAAAACAGAACAACCATTCAACCCAGCAATCCCAATACTGGGTATATAACCAAAGGAATATAAATTATTCTACCATAAAGACACATGCATGCCTAAGTTCATCACAGCACTATTCACAATAGCAAAGACATGGAATCAACCTAGATGCCCATCCACAGTAGACTGGATAAAGAAAATGAGTACATATATACCATGGAATACTATGCAGCCATAAAAAAGAATGAGATCACGTCCTCTGCAGCAACATGGATGAGGCAAACCAAATACCGCATGTTCTCACTTATAAGTTGGGAGCTAAACATTGAGAACACATGAACTCAAAGAAGGGAAAAATAAGACACCCGGGACTACTTGAGGGTGGAGGATGGGAGGAGGGTGAGAACTGAAAAACTACCTATCAGGTACAATGCCAATTACCTGGATGACAAAATTATCTGTACGCCAAATACCTGTGACACACAATGTACCCATGTTAACAAACCTGAACCCCCTGAATAAAATAAATAAAAGTTGGAAAGAAAAAAAAAAAAAGAAAATCCAAGTTCCTATCCTACACTTCCATGTGCCTAGGATATAACATGTGACAAACTCACTGGGCTCCTATGTATGAGATGGGAATGAAAACAACGCCTATGGCACGGGGGAAGCTTGGGTGAGAACAGGCACTTGCTAAACTGTTCCATTTGAATCGACAGATCTGATGGAGAAAGAACACTCACCCCTCCCATATTCTATTATTTTATGAGCAATACTTAATCTTCCTGATTTATAATATGTCAAGAAAAGACATGCAGAGTTGAAGAAAAAGAATTATTAATGGGATACAAGATCCTTTCTCCCAGAAACCATTTGATTATATCCTTAAAATTTAGCACATTTACTAGAAGCTGCCTTGAGAAAAGGAAAGGATCTTTGACCGAGGGCACCTCTTTTTCCTTAAAGGTCTACCTATAATATTGGAAAACAAAAAAAAATCACAGAATTTTTAAACTTGGTGGTACCATAGTCCAGTCAGTCCATCAAGCTATAGGCTTAGTGAGAAGAAGTCCATCGAGCAACATCCTCAGACTGGAAAGAGTCCCCATCAAAGGCAGACACCGACCTTGTCTAGAGATGAACCAAGTGACATCGGTACTTGCCACTCTGAGATCAGGACAGTGGGCCAAGTATCAGGAGTGGGTTGGACATGCCTGAGTGACAATACAGACAGAACTTTATGGTCTGGCAATAATCCACAAACAGACTGACAACCTATGTGGTGCTCTGAAGGAAAAAGCTAGGGAGCTAAGACAGTGTATGGGGCTGGGGGGTTGGGGTGGGGTCTGAGGAAAGACTGCCCTGAGAAAATACTGTTTGACATGAGATACAAATGGTGAACACAGGAATTAACTAGGTAAGTATAACTGATGGAAAGTAAACAAGGGGAAGTGTGTCCTGGGCAGAGAGTGGGAACAGCATATGTAAAGCCTGAGATCAAAGAAGGCCAAGTGCAGACAAAATGCCATGGGACACAACAAGAGATGTGGCTGAGGAAGTCAGCAGGGGCCAAGTCATAGGGCACAGGAGGGGGCCAGGCCAGCAGCTGGGCCCATAGTCTTTTTTTTTTTTTTTTGAGACAGCCTGCACTCTGTCGCCCAGGCTGAAGTGCAGTGGCACGATCATGGCTCATTGCAGCCTTCACCTCCTGGGCTCAAGTGATCCTCCTGCCTCAGCTTCCCCAGTAGCTGGGCATGAACCACGATGCCCAGCTAATTTTTTAATTTTTGATAGAGACGGGGTTTTGCCATGTAGCTCAGGATGGTCTCAAACTCTTGGACTCAAGTGATCCGCCTGCCTCAGCCTCCCAAAGTGCTGGGATTACAGGTGTGAACCACCACACCTGGCCACTGGGCCCATATTCGAAGAACTAGGAATAATGAGAAGCTACTTAAATGTTTAAACAGGGGAATGACATGCTCAGAGCTGCATTCTGAACACATCATAGGGCTGCCATGTGAAGAATGGATTATAGGGCCTAAGAGCAGATGTAGATGATCAGTCATGAGGCTACTGCAAGGATCCAGGGGGGACAGATGATGACAGAGTGGACTAAGGTGATGGAAGTGGAGACAAAGACGCAGAGAAGGGAGGCAGATTCATGAAAAATTGAGAGGGAGCAAAAACCACACTGGCGTAGCACCTACTCAGCTATGGAAGATGGTGGTGGGAGGTCAACCTGGCAGAGGCATAGCAGAGGAACTGAGGGAGAGGCTGTGACAAGGAGGCCAAAGCAACAGATTTGGGAGCTGAAAAAAATCAGGAGAAACACTGGATGAGGCCTAGTGTCTGATTTTGATGGATGGCACTGCCACTCTCCAAGCCAAGGAAAGAGAAGGAAAGGAGAGGTGAGAAGGAAGGAGACAGTCTGTCGCAGCCATACTGTCTGAGGTGTCTGTGGAAATGAGATACATGAGTCTGAAGTACATGGAAGAGGTCTGACCTAGAGATCTAGAGGTAGGCCATCAACATCCAGTTGGTAACTGAAGCCAGCCTAAGTATAAAGCACTCAAGGAAAAGGTCCAGGCCTGGTGCAGTGGCTCATGTCTGTAATCCCAGCGCTTTGGGAGGCTGAGGCGGGTGGATCTCCTGAGGTCATGAGTTCAAGACTCGCCTGGTCAACATGGTGAAACCCCGTCTCTACTAAAAATACAAAAATTAGCTGGGTGTGGTGGTGGGTGCCTGTAATCCCAACTACTCAGGAGGCTGAGGCAGAAGAATTGCTTGAAGTCAGGAGGTGGGAGGTTGCAGTGAGTCCAGATCGCACCACTGCACTACAGCCTGGGCAACAGCGAGACTCCATCTCAAAAAAAAAAAAAAAAAAAAAAAAAAAAAAGGTCCAGAATGAGAAAAGGCTAAAGGAATGGCAACATTTACAATAAAGGCATGGAGAAAAGCTTATTGAAGGATGAAAAAGCAGAAGAACCAGCAGAGGGTGGTACACAGAAACCAGAAATGCAAATACATTGTAATACAGTAATATTAAATGCTGCAGACAGGGCCAAAAAGAGAAAGGGAGCCAAGAGGCAGAGACTAAGAAGTACCTTTTGGGTTTTGAGATTAGACCACTGGGGGCAGGGGTGGGGGGAAGGGGGGAAATTCTGAAGACAGCCACTTGGGTGGAATGTAGACATGCATGCCAAGCTGCAACAGGCTGAGAAGCAGAGGCAGCAAGGGAAGTGGATATGGTGGTAGTTATAAAGGGAGGGTGGTGCAGAGGGTATGCTCATGTGAATGTGATGATTTCTTTTAAACACTGGAGAGACAAAGCATGCTACATGCTGAGGACCTTCAGCTAGTTTACTGGAGACTTCTCATGTGGGCAGGAAAATAAATTGGCCCTAAAGGTCCCATGTGACGAGGGAAGGTGGAAGCTAACAACTTCAGATTAGTTAAGGTGTTGGAATCTGTTGTCCCAGGAAGGTAAAGTGTTACTTTATCAATGAAAAGTCACATCAAAGATAAAACGCTGGGAGGACCACTGGCTTCAATGGAAAAAGCCAAAAAGAACCTGAAATATGCAAAGCAGATCATCATCACTGCACCATAATTGGGGTAAATGGTATCTTAAAGGGAACAATTCCTACTGAGTCTATGCCCCACAGAACAGACACACTGTGAGCAAAAGGAAAGGACTGGGAAAAGGACATCATGAGTAAAAGTAGGATTTGTCCATTCATAATTACTGTCCAAACCCCAATAATTCTCAGAAAGGCTGCTGGTAAATTTTTGTTGAGTTGAAGTTTGCGAAGTTATTGTGCTTGAAATTCTCAAAGTAGCTACTGGCAGAATTAGGCAAAGAGAGCTAATCATACTTCTTCCTACAGATGTTTAAAGATAAAGGACCTCAATAAGGAAAAAAACAAATAAGGAGGCTTGCACAGCCATCATGACAGCTGGCTAGTACCATCCTCTTCACATAAAGCATGCCATATCTTTGGGGCTCATGGCTTTCATCTGCAAAGGTTTCACTTGACTCCTGATTATAACCAGAATACTTTGCCCTGATCTCAGAAAATGACTCTTTCTGATCTATTTCAAGTCTAACATTTTAGAGACAGAAAAACAAAGTCAGAGATTAACTTCCAAGATTGCAAAGTATGCCACAATCCAATTTTAACTTTCTTCAGAATCCCAATTTTAAGTGGGAGTAGAAGGCCCACCTTAACAGTAGTAAGAACATTCATAAAGACTAAAATAGAACCTTGCTCAAAATAACTTGCACCCACTAGGTCAAACAGGCAGCTCAAATTTCTGCAATCTGAACCTTGCTCTCAATATTATGCTCACTCAAGTCAATGTTATAGTAGAAGTATGTGCTATTTTCACACAGCTATCTCAAATGTAAACAAGATCATTTAAAAGCCAGAAGAGAGCTCCATTAGTCTAATTAAACTATTCTGTGTTTACTCCTTCATAAAACAAAAGACTAATCCTTAACTTGTATAGAGGTTTATACAAAATAAGCTCAATGAAGTCCTAGACTGGTTAAGATGCTTTGGAAAAGACAAGAACTCCTACAGCAGGAACGCATTCTGGTGGCAGAGACCGTGAAATGTATATGACCTTCAGTATACTTAAAAGACAAGCAGACATCTGCACATATACATAGAACCACTTCTAGAAATCTACAGGAAGAAAATAATCCAAACACTGAAAGTTAGCCTAAAGCTAAGAGACAGAGACAGAAACATACAAGTGCTCAATACAAATAATCATTGACTATCCAACCACAGGTATTCAAGCAATCATTTACAATGTTTATAAAGTTTTTATTTACAAGGAAAAATAATCATGTTAAGAAAAAAGCATGACAGAAAATTATCTGCAAGTTATCATTCAGTTTAATTTTAAACTAAGAGGAAAAGGAAATACGCAAAAATTAAAAATAGTTATCTCTGGGTAATGAGACTAATTTTATTCTTTATACTTATTTGCTAAGTTTCCTCTGATGTATTACTTTTACAATCAAAAAAAGAAAACAAAAACAAAAACAAAAACCCTGAGTACTAGTTGAACCAGAGTGAATGTTCTGGCAGGCAGGAGTAATAAGAGGCCCAGGTGCTGTTTTAACTTCATATTATATGCATTCCATAAATATGAAAAATTAGTGCTACATATACCAGCTGAAACTCAGTGGCACTGTTCCATCAAGCAGGGGTTACACTGCCCACAGAAGTTGGGCTACAAATATGAAAACGGTACTATGGCTAAAGGCATGAATTCTTGCTGGGAAAGCCTTAAAACCGTGTCACTTTTTCAATGTAAAGTCTCAAAGTCTCAAATGTTGGCAAATCATGTTCTTAAGTCACTAAGTATGTGAAGTACATTATAATGTGGCATTATTTTCCTGGAGTGAAAAATAAGTATCATAGGTTTCACATTGTAATAAAGAAACACACACACACCCAACAGATAAAAGCTCCAGCTATAAACTGGGCCTAAGCAGTAGGGTCAGTAGACTAAAATGAATAAAAGAAATCCAAGGAACTCCAAATCACTCACAGAAGCCCACACATTAACTCAATAAAAGTCCTCACATATTGGAGGGAAACTGGCGGAAAAAAAGAAAATAAAAGAAAAGTAAAAAGAAAGAAAACTCCCACATCAAAGTAGGGGATGGAAAGGCAAGGGAGAGCAGTAAGCACACTACGGCCTGCTTCGTGGGAAGGTACTGAGTGCAAGGCCCCGTAATTACTTGGCAACAGAATGACCTGTTTTAACAACTATTCTAACAACCTGGGTGCTGACAGAGCTGCCAGCCTAGGGAGGACAGACTTGAATACTACAGAAGGGCAGTGAGTTTAGAGGACTGAGAGGAGGGGGCCGGCACTAGGCAGGGCCTCTCAGCTCCCAGGAGAACACAGTGGATGATCACTGTAGTTAGGAGTCAGAAGATCCAGGTACTGGTCCTCACTGGCTTCCTCTGTGACCCTGAAGTGTTCACATAAACCCAAGGGCTCTTACCTAAAATGACAATTAGATCACCGGCTCCCATCTGTCCTTACCATGATAGGACACTGAGATACTGGCTTTGATCATCATAGGAAAGACGAATTTACTCCAAAGTTGACAAAAAAGGAGCTCTCTATCTCCCCCTACTGCCTGGCCTAATATTGAAACAAAAGCTTCTAACCATCTGCACCCTGCAGGGAGGTGCTGCCAAAAACAACAATCTGCCATCATTTTGGTTGAGCACCCCTTCAACTGTAGCCAAAGAATTTCTCAAGTTGTTATAACCACAATCAAACAGAAATATGAAGAGTCATAAGGCAATGTTGGATTCTGAACCATTTCCCCCTTCCCAGCTGTGTTGTCTGAAGTCAGAGGCTCTACTCCTGAGTAGTCATTACAGCCAAGGGGGAGGTGCCAAGCGAGGAGAAACACCAGCAGCTTTAAGTTCATGAGCCAATTTCTCCCCTCCTATCAGAGCAAGAGCGTGAGCAGGGGTACAGCGAGGCAGGTACTTAGAACCTTGGTGGCAGAGTAGGTTCTTTCACACTTAGAATGCTTTCATGCAATCATTTTATGACCCCACATAAAATGTCATTTCTCTACAACAAGATTCTTGGGAACTGTTTAAATGATTAAACTTTGGCTACTATTCTGTGTAAGATGTCTTCCTGCTGTTGATGTTGCAGAATCAAAATTCTGAAATCAAAACAAAAGTACAAATCTGATGAAGTTACCAGATGTCTGCCTTGGACTCTATGCTGGTCTGCAGCTACCTCTCTCTCTAGGTTTCTTCACCAATTCAGAAGTCTGATTATATGATCTCTAAGGTTCTGTCCAGCTCAATAATCCTGCTAATCACTTTACTTAGATATCCAGGCCTCTATGTGTCACTTTACTTTGTAAAGCTGCTGTTGTGACTGTGCCCTGGTGACTCCATTGAGTCCATACACAAAATACTCATATCTTCTAGAGGTGGGGGTTAACATTATTGAAAGGTGATACCACTGCCCTCCATCTGTGGTCCCAAAACCTAGACAGGGCCTTTATAATATCAAATGCATCAGTAAATGACACTCTCCTAGAGTGCTTTTTAAAATTCTGCAGCAGAAATTGAAGACTTAAATAAATGTGAAGACATCCCCTGTTCATGAGCTGAAACACTTAAGACTGCTAAAATCGCAATACTCCCCAAAGTGACCCGCAGACTCAATGCATTCCCTAGTAAAACTTCAATTACCTTTTTTGCAGAAATGGAAAAGGTGATTGTTAAATTCATAGGGAATTGCAAGCGATCCTAAATAGCCAAAACAATACTGAAAAAGAACTCTGAGGACTCATACTTACTGATTTTAAAACTTACTACAAAACTACAGTGATGGAGATAGTGTGGTATGAGCATAGGATAGACATATACATTAATGGAATAGAATTGAGAATCCAGAAATAAACCAATACATCTGTGGCCAATTGATTTTTGACAAGGGTGCTGGGCATTCAGGTGGAGGAAAAGAGTAGTCTCTTCAACAAATGGTGCTGGGACAAATGGATATCTACAGGCAAAAGAATGAAGTTGGTCCCCCCCTACATCACACCACATACAAAAACTAACTCAAAACAGATTAAGAACGTAAATTTAAGACATAAAATTATAAAACTTCTAGAAGAAAACACAGAAAAAAATTGTCATGACCTGGGATTGGCAACAGATTATTACATGTGACACCAAAAGCATGAGCAACAACCACAAAAATAGATAAATTGGAACTCATAAAAATAAAAAACTTTTGCACATCAAAGGATATTACCTAGAAAGTGAAAAGACAACTTATAGGAGAAAATAGTTGCAAATCATTTATGTGATAAAGGTATATTATCCACAATATATAAAGAACTTTTACAACTCAAAAAAAGCAAATAACCCAATTTGAAAATGGGCAAAGGAATTGAACACACATTTCTCCAAAGATAAACAGCCGACAAGCATACTGAAAGATGATCAGTATCGTTAGTAATTAGCAAAATGCAAATCAAAATCACAATGAGATAAACCTGCACATGTAGGTTGTCGAAAATAAAGAGACAATAACAAATGTTGATGAGGATGTGGAGAAACTGGAACCCACGCACATTGCTAGTGGGGATGTAAAATGATGTAGCTGCTGTGGAAAACAGTCTGATGGTTCCTCAAAATGTTACATAGAATTACCATATGACCCAGCAATTCCACTCCTAGATTTATACATAACCAAGAGAAATGAAAAGATATGGCCACACAAAAACCTCCACATGACTGTTTATAGCAACACTATTCATAAGAGCCAAAAGGTGGCAACAACTCAAATGTCCATAGACAGGTTATAAACTGTGTCACATCCATACAACAGATTAGTGTTCTACCATAAAAGAGATGAAGTACTGATATATGCTACAACATGGGATGAATCTTGAAAACATCGTGCCGAAAGAAGCCAGACACAATTATGTTTTGGAACTTGATACAATACTGTGAACGTACTAAATGCCACCAAAATGTGTGCACTTTGAAGTGCATGGTTAATTTACGTTATATGAATTTCACCTCAACTAAAACAATAAATCTGCAGCTTGGAACAAATTTCTCAAGAGCTCTTCCCTGTGTGGCATATCATCTTTGTGTGTGTGCACCATGTGGCATGTGGGTCAACACAGGACTATCTGCTTTCAGTTCTAGATCGCTGACAGTCAGACACCATGATCTGAATAAAATTCACAGTTAAGGCCAGGCATGGAGGCGCATGCCTGTAATTCCAACACTTTGGGAGGCCAAGGCAGGTGGATCACCTGAGATCAGGAGTTCGAGACCAGCCTGCCCAACATGGCAAAACCCCATCTCTACTAAAAATACAAAAATTAGCTGGGTGTGGTGGCATGCGCCTGTAGTCCCAGCTACTCGGGAGGCTGAGGCACGAGAATCGCTTGAACCCGGGAGGCAGTGAGCTCAGATTGCTCTACTGCACTCTAGCCCTGGGCAACAGAGCAAGAGTCTGTCTCAAAAAAAAAAAAAAAAAAATCACAGTTAAGAAGGGAAAACTGCAGGTTCCTGACCTTTTTTCTTTCCTTAATACTTGTACAAATAGGTTTCTTTCTCACACACACACTCTTCCACATGCACTGATCATGCTAACAGAACATGTCTGTATCATGCTTTATTCACGCTGACAAGACAGGAACCCTATCCAACCCACTCACGCTATGTCTTATGAGCTTTGAGCAGACATCTGGGAGTAATGTAGTCACCTCTGTCAACCACAAACAAAGCTTCTCTTTGCTCTGGAAGTGAAGCTGGAAGGCTTTTCTGGTATCTTTGGCCTTTGCCTTTCTGAATGGGCTTTCTTCTATACCCTCCACATTCTCTAACCTCCTCTTTGGGCTGCCATTTGTGCTTCCTTCCACGTGCCTTCTCCATTTCTAGGTTTTCTCATGTTCATGACAAAAACATTACCCACAGATTTTCAGCAGCATTCCTTCCACCCTTGCCTGGTGTTTAAGGGCCAACATCATAGGCCAAAGTCAATCATGACACCCTGAAGCAAAAGTCAAAAACAAACAAACAAAAAAAGATGATTATCTCAGAATAAAGCATAATTCTACTTAAAGGAAAAAAGAAAAGTAGTACAAAGGAGAAAACCTACAGAAACTTCTAAAAATGGTTACCTTTCCGTACTAACATATTCTTTACAACCAATCATTAAATCAGATTTGTTAAGCCACTTTTAATGCAACCTTAAAAAAAAACCCTTTTCTCTATAGAAAAAGGTTACATCAAGTGATGGATTTCACAGAACAAGTATTTACTGAGGAACAAATATGTTCCTGGCACTGTGAGAGCACTCAAAGAGTATACAGTCTAGCAAACTTTGGGAGACCTGCTGAAGGCATTACAGTTTCAGAAACTGTCCATGATTTGATAACTCTCACAATTTTAATAAGCATCTGATCAAATTATTATTAGCATCTTCATTTTTTTCTTGGTCTATTTCAAGGTAGACACAAGTGAGAATATTTTCCTTACTGACAACCTATCTTGAATTCTACCCTAACCCCTTGTTTGCTGCTATTTCCCCCTGACTAGAGCATAAGCCCTTTGAGGGGAGAAGTGCATCGTGCCCATCTTTGTACATCTGGCTGGCACAGGCTTTGCTGACTCCCTGAATGAATACGTAGCTTCTTAAAGAGCACAGACCTTAATCTCCCACTGGTGGTCTGCAGCACCTCCTTCCCACATCTGACTTTGTCTTTCTTCAGATACCTGTCTGGTCCAGTCTAACTGCTCCCCATTTATAAACATGCTTCTCTTCTTCAACTGCTAGTTCCTTTTACAAAAAGGTTTTATTGCCTGACAGGAAGTTTGGACTTACCTTAAACCACAATCAGAACCGCCAAATGCCTCCTTAATCTACATTATGTACGATCAAGTGGTTTGGTTTTATGTTCACCTGTGTTTTTTATACCAGAATATGATTTCCTCGAGGGAAGAAACACAATCTCCTACTTTGAGCCGTAATTCCCTCTCCTACATCCTAGGCTCTGAATCATCACACGCCCTATCCTGACATGCAGGAGCCACCGACATAAAATTCCCAAGTGAAAGAGAAAAAGATGCTTATTACATAAAGCAAGATACAAAGTTAAAAAGGAAAGCACAAAACCTAAGTATATTAGAGCTTTGGGATGAAAACAGACTCGCAAGCAAATAACTACTTCTCCAAAGAGTTCTGAGAATTTCATCTATGTATATCCTGAAGGCAATGAAAGGATTAAAAAATAAAATATTTAATTAGCATTCTGATTTGGAAGTTTTAAAACGGACTGGCTGTGTTACAAAAATGAATGTTAAAAAAGTGGGTAAACTTTATGTACTGCCCCATCACGCAGAGAGACTTTTGGACAATCTGAAGGAATTCACAGTATTCACGCATCTTTCAAGGGGCATACATTTATCAAGTTCGGCCACCACCATAGGGATGTGATGGGACAGGACCAGTCTATTACAGAATGTGAGAGAAAAATCTTAGGTTCAGGAGAGCAGACTGCCTAAATTTTTAGCAAGCGTGGATAAAGAAAAGAACTAAAACCATCTCTCAAATCTTATATTGTGAAGCGGCCAGATCACTTGACGTCAGGAGTTCAAGACCAGCCTGGCCAATATGGTGAAACTCTGTCTCTGCTAAAAACAAAAAAAATTAGCCGGGCGTGGTAGTACATGCCTATAATCTATAATCCCAGCTACTCAGGAGGCTGAGACGGGGGATTGGTTGAGCCTGGGAGGTGGAGGCTGCAGTGAGCTGAGATCACGTCACTGCACTCCAACCTGAGTGACAGAGCGAGACTCCATCTCAGAAAAAAACCTTATACTGTATCTAGTCATTTGCTTTCTTTAATGCAGCAAATCGGCTCTATTTTTTACAATAAATGGTTCTGCTCATGTGCCTCGGAGACATGGTTTGAGATAAGAACCTTCAGTTCAGACTCTGTACGTTGGTTCCAGTGGTGGGGCCTTTCTGTTCCGCTTCTTCAGCAATGGAATGCCAGCCCCATTCCACTGAATGAACCGCGCAGAGCAACGCAGACTGGAAAGTTACAGAACGCATCCAAAGCTCTAATCTGTTTCTCCACCTTAATGCCCTCTCGTGGCGTCCAGCAAACCACTAGTTCTACAAAAACCAGAATGATTCCCCAACAATATACAGAGCAGAGTGCAACTGTGGGGAGGGAAAACAGAACAAAGAGTTAACCAGCTCTACCAACCCGATCTCCTCAAAGACTCTGTCCTCTATGGTTGCTTGCCACGTTCTACCCAACAACAGCTGCTCATGATAATCAATGTCTGACAGATCAGAGAAAGCCCTTAATGTGTCGCCAAGGGGCAGTTCAACAGATGGCATGGTGACTTACAACCAGAATCATTAATTACACTCTCTTATTAGTCCCGGGGCACAGTGCTGAAAATGCTTCCTCAGTGAAAGATGAGCATTTCAGATAAATGACCGTCTGGTACTGCCTGTAAAACTCCCTTTAGGATCTCTGGTCAGTGCCGATGTCTAAATCTAAGCTGTAGGATTTTTACAGCCCTTTCCCATCTTCCACATTCAAGCAGGCTACGAATGTGAAGTTCCTGCTACCACTACGCAACACAGTTCCCAGAATCACTGCAGGTAAGGATACGGTAAAAAGTGCCTGCCACTCATTTCCCCTCAAGTCAGATGACCATGCTGAAAGGCAAATACAATGATCTCAGCCTCAGAGATAGCTCAATGTTCCCTCCTTCTGTGCCAGAGCACGTTTCCTGAGCATGGAGGTGACATGGCTCTCCCTGTCCCTTGTCTACTCTGAGTGGGATTTAAGAAGTATTTCTTGAAATACAACATGACTGGCTCTCTAACTCAGAAGTGTCCTCCTTCACAAAACCACTGGCTGCAACTCTTTTCCATATCTCTTAAAAAAAGAAGAGCAGACATTCCTGAAAAGGAAGTGCAGCAGCCCGGGGCAGCAAAGTTCCCAAAAATCCACACTGCTGGCTCTGTTATCCCACGGGAGCAAGTACTGAGGGTAAACTACCATGTACTTAATTACGAAGCCAAACAAGTGTATGGTGAGGAAATGTTTCTGAACTCCCTCCCCAAGGTCACTCAGACTAATGTCCTCAACCCAGGGTAGAAATGAGGTCTTTTACAGTTTGAGAACTGTGCTATATAAATACTACTGTGACATTTAAGAGCTAATTACAGATAGATCTTGGAGGCAGACAACTTCTTGGCCGCAGCATGGATAAAGTCAGAAATAAACCTCCAAACGGCTGGGCGCGGTGGCTCACACCTGTAATCCCAGCACTTTGGGAGGCTGAGGTGGGCAGATCATGAGGTCAGGAGATCAAGACTATCCTGGCTAACATGGTGAAACCCCGTCCCTACTAAAAATACAAAAAATTAGCCAGGCGTGGTGGTGGACGCCTGTAGTTCCAGCTACTTGGGAGGCTGAGGCAGGAGAATGGCGTGAACCTGGGAGGCAGAGCTTGCAGTGAGCCGAGATCGCACCGCTGCACTCCAGCCTGGGCGACGGAGCGAGACTGCGTCTCAAAAAAAAAAAGAAATAAACCTCCAAATGACTTGAAAGAAACATTTTTCAGCACTTCCCAAATACTACCAAACATATTCTTTGGTTTTCACTGATTTGCTATCCTTTTTGTACCTCAATTCGTAATTTTTTTAAAAACATGAGTTCAAACGAAAGCAATATTAAGATCCTAAGGCTGTGATTAAGAGTTCACTGTTTGTTTCCTACAATCCAGTTTGTTCTGTCCTGGACATATAAGAACATGACTTCAATTTTTAACTGGGCTCAAATAATTACAGTATCTGATGGATGTTCAGAATTCACATCATGAATTTTTAAACGATAAAAATGTTGTTAATTAAAGCATAATAAAAACCTCCTAATGTGGGCTACAGGAAGGGAAACGTGGGCAGTCTGGGTCTGCCTTCAATGCACTCACCTCTAGTTTTTTCTCCTTCTCCGACAAAACATCTTTCTGATTCTGGGTATACTCCACCAACATCCGAGCCAGCTGGCGACGGTCCTCCAGTTCTGCTGCCAGGCGCCCGTTATATTCTGCTAGTAACAGACATGCTTCATCTACTGTTTTTGAAAGACGTTCAGCTGCCTCTTTGTCTAAGTACAAATGAGACCAAAAAATAGAGAAAATATACAAATCACACAGGTATGACTACAAACATTTCTGGGGGAGGTTAACGGTTTCTCTCCCAATATACAGAGTCTGAGAATAAGCCAGCACCTGTGGACAAACAATGAGTTGATTAAGCAAGAAATCCAAAGGCATTCACTCTGTCAACAAGACAGGACACTACTCAATTACCTGAAGTGAGGAAGCTGTACATGGGGGGAATCTGGCAAAGGCTTTCTAAATGCCTGTTCCTGCAAAAGCTCTCCTGACAAAACAAGCATAAAGAGATATTGAAGATCACCTGTGAAAAAATCGTTCCTTGTCTCTGAGAATTGCAAGTGCTTTCATTTATATTACGGTTGGCCCCTATATCTGTGGGTTCTGTATCTGTGGATTCAACCAACCATGAATGGAAAATACTCAGACCAAAAAACCCCACAAACCAATAAAAATAACAATTAAAAACCCAATTTTAAAAATACAGAATAACAACTATTTACATAGCATTTACATTGCATTAGCTATGATAAGTAATCTAGAGAGTATTTAAAGTATATGGGAAGATGTTTGTTGGTTATAGACAAATCCGACACCATTTAAGGGCCTTGAGCAACCTTGGATTTTGGTATCCTCAGAAGGTCTTGGAACCAAACCCCCATGGATATGGAGGGACCACTATATTTCATTAAGTAGTCTTTTTACTTTCCACTGGAATAAAAAATAGCATGCACTTATTTATTGGGTGTGGGAACTAAGACCCCCTCCCCGCCAGAAAAAAAACTACATGACAGGTTTCTATATGCAGTGAGCTGAGATGCTGGGGCTCGAAGCCAGATCTCTAAAATGATCTATAGCACTCTATCTCTTAAACTATGTAAGCCTTGGACGTGGGGATGAACTTCTTCCTACATTTGACAAAATGTAAAGTCTGATAAGAAAGAGGTTTTTAAATGTTTCTGAACATGACCCACAGCAGAAATACACTTATGTAAATACACAGAAAAATGAAAGCAGCGTTTCATAAAATACCCATTCTTACTATGTGTGCTCTATCTTCTATTTTATCTCTTTTTTTTTTTTTTGAGATGGTGTCTTGCTCTGTGACCCAGGCTGGAGTGCAGTGGCATGATCTCGGCTCACTGCAAGCTCCGCCTCCCAGGTTCATGCCATTCTCCTGCCTCAGCCTCCCGAGTAGCTGGGAGTACAGGCCCCCGCCACCACGCCCGTCTAATTTTTTTGTATTTTTAGTAGAGACGAGGTTTCACTGTGTTAGCCAGGATGGCTTTATTCCATTTTTCAAAAACTGTTGGTCATTAGCTACCAGACTGATTTCATATCCAATTAATGGGTTGTAACTCATGCTTTGGGGGTGGAAAAACATTAAGAAAGGGTATTTTTGGGAAGAAGTGATGAACAAAGGCTCATAATTAAGAAATGAGAAGAAAAAGCAGGATCTGTATTTACAAAGAACTGATATAATTAATTATGTGTGGGTGGTGGTGAGATTCGAATTTTAAATATGTATAACTCATTTTTAAAAGACCTGAATGAATCAAAAGAGTAGGTTGGTGCTTTGAAACAAAGGGCACCAGAGACTCCGGCAGTACCGTGGGACAGTTCCATGACATTCCCTATGGATACAGGCTGTCAGAGGTGAGAGCTCGCATTCTCCTGGGGAACTAGGATTTAAGAATCCCCAACACAGTATCTCTGGCAAACAGCCATCTGGCTTTTCGATGCCTTCTTAATGTGAATATTGCAAGAGGAACTGCTGAAGGATTCCAGATTGGGTGTGATGCCAAAGATTAGGAACCTCTACCCTCCTCAGGGATGGGAAACAAAGAATGTCCTTGGTGAAGGGGAAGAAGTGAGCGGAATGGAACACAAAGGAAAGAGATCACCTCAGTCACAGAGGATAAAGGACCGCCAACTTCTCCTTCCTGCTCAGTGGCTCAGTCCATGAGCAAGCTCCTGGGGTGGTTAGGTTGGTTTTAGTTTTGTTATTGCTTGACTGATCGTTTTTAAAAAATGGTTAATTCACTAAGATGTTTAGGTGCCTGTGGCAAAAAATGGCAAATACTAATTTTTAAGATTAAAAAGAAAATCAATTTGCAGCCTCAAGAACTTTTACAAAGGAAATAATTCATTTACACAAATAATTACAACCCAGAAAAGTAACTTATAATAGTTTAGTGAGTTATACAAATACGCAGTGAAAATGCAGAAGCCAGATGCTCGCTTCGGGGGACCTACCCACGCTGTCCTCACGCTCCCTGCTCTCCTTCACCCATCAGAGGAGTGGCAAGTGCCTCTTTCGGCCAGTCCTCCAAGCGGCATGCGCATCCCATTCCCTCGTTTCCTCAAAGACTAAACTTCTGCAGCCGTCCCATGTCTTCTCTACCTCAGCAAATTCTCTCTCTCCCTCCTAAGAAAACCACTAGCACACAAACCTGCTGCCATGTATTCCACCTACATACCACTCTCCCACTACTGACCTGCTTCCCTGCTCCCCCTTGCAGCTAAACTCTTTTCAGAGAAGTGTAGCCACCTGCTCTCCTCCTGAGCCCACCCCAATCGGGCTTTATGCCCACCAATCCTCTGCTCAAAACCTTCCAATTAGTTTAACAAATTTGAGTTCTTATAACTAGGCTCTTAGAAACAGCAGAGAATAAAAAGGACAAAAACTCTCTGCCCTCAAGTTTATATTATCAGGTAGGAAGAGAATCAATATACAATAAATATTATGCTTACTTATCAGCTGAAGAGAACTACAGAGAAAAACAAGGCAGAGGAGAAAAAGTGGGGCACTGGAAGGTGGGGGGGATCAACATTTTCAAAAAGGTGGTCAGGGTGAGCTTCGCTAAGGTGATACGTAAACAAAGGCCTAAGAAAATGAGAACCAGCTATGTAACTATCTGGGAGGAACGTTTCAGGCAGAGGGGACAGCAAGTACAAAGGCGCTAGGAGGAAAGAGTGACTGGCAAGGAGCCCATATGACTTGAGCAGTGAGTGAGGGGAAAATAGTAAAAGTCTTGCGGTAACAGAGGCCAGTGAAAGACTCTGCTTTAAAGCCAGGCAGGGGGCTCACATCTGTAATCCCAGTGTTTTGGGAGGCCAGGATGGGAGGATTGCTTGAGTCCAGGAGTTTGAGGTTACAATGAGCTAAGATCATGCCACTGACTCCAGCCTGGGTGACAGAATGAGACTGTATCTCAAAAAAAAAAAAAAAGGGGGGGGGGCTCTGGCTTTTAATTTGGTGATGGGGGGAGTCGTGGGGGTGTTATGTGGAGCGGGAGACATGATCTGCCTTCTACTAAGAGGATCACTCTGGTTACTATGTTGAGACTAGAATGATGGCTGAGCAAGAGGAACAAACGAAGTAGCTAGACCAGCTGGGAGGCTACTGCAATAAATCAACTGAACATGGTAGAGACCTGTACCAGGTGGCAGTGGTAGAGGCGGTGACAGGATATCAGATGCTGGTTTTGGTCCCAATCAACAGGAATGATGAGGGCCATTTACTGAGATGGAGAAGACCATGAGTGAAACAAGTTTTAGAGGAAAGGTCAGAAGTTCAGTGTGGGGCAGAGTAAGCTTGAAATGCCTATCAAGATATCCAACTAATAAAACTGAGTAGGAGGTTGGATATATGGGTCTCAAGTTCAAGGTGGAAGGGTCAACACTAGAGATGTAAATTAGGAAATCATTCGCAGAAAAACTCTTATTTATAGTCATGAAATTGGGTGAGAATGGCTGCCAGTGAAACCAGCTAAAGAAGGGGGCTAATATGAAGAGGTCAAGGAGGAGTGAAGAAACCAGCAAGGAGGCTGAAAAGACACAGAAAGAGAGGAGGAAAGCTAGAATAATGCAGGGTCCTAGTTCCCACTGCTACTGTAGCAAATTACCACAAATTTAGTGGCTTGGAATATCACCAATTAATTATCTTATGCCTTATCACAGTTGCTTCCTCCATCTTCAAAGCACATCGCTCCAACCTCTGCTTCCACGGTAATACCTCCTTCTCATTCCCCCTCTCCCACCTTCCTCTTACAAGGACCCTGTGATTACACTGGGCCCTCTTAAATAATCCAGGGTAATCTCCTCATCTCAAGATATTTAATCACACCTGCCAAGTCCCTTGGCCATATAAGATTACATATACACAGGTTCTGTGGATTAAAACATGGGTGTTTGCGGGGTGGGGGGTCAGGAGGCATTATTCCAACTACTACACCAAGTGAAGAAAGTATTTTCAGGAAGAAGAAATAATCTACTGGGCCAAATACTACTGGGGTGAAGTTAAGATGGGGGCAGAGAATCCACCATTGAGTTCAGCAACAAGGAAGTCATCAGCAACTGGGAGGACGGGAAGTAGAGAGACAGCACAGGCAATCCATTCAGGTGGTTTGGCTAAAAAGAACAGAGAAATGAGGCAGTAGCTAGAGGAAGATATGAGGTCAAGAAAAAAATCTTCCCAAGTGGGGGAAAAATTCATGTTTTTATGCTATTGAGAATGATCCAGTAAAGAGTAAAAAATGGAGAATGCAGGAGAAAGAGGGAGCATTGTTGGAGCAATGGCCTTGGCTAGATGAGAAGGAGCAGATCTAATACACAGAGAGGCGGGTTTAGAAAATAGCATGTCCATGTAGAGAAATAGGAGGAAAAGTCAACTCAGACATGTTAGTTTTTCCCAGCCACATTCCACTACACAGGTTCGGGAAAGGAACAGACAAAAAGCTAAATTTAAGAATGGTGGTTGCCAGGTGATATGGGAAGTGAAAAATGATGAGTTATTGTTTAACGGGTATAGAGTTTCAGTTTGGCAAGACGAAAAGAACTCTGGAAACTGGTTGTATAACAACATGAGAATACTTAGCACAACTAAATTGTACACCTTTGTGTTTTATGTAGCTTACCATTTTATATGTATTTTACCACAATTAAAAATCAAAATTAAAAAAGTATTTTAAAAGGAAGCTACATGAGACCTTTAGGTCAGTGAAACAGAGAAACAAAATTACATACATGGCTAGCTTTACATTAACTTGCTTGCAATTTTTGCAGATTATGATTTTGACAGTAAGAATAAATGAAGTGGTCCTTTTAGTAGTAAGTATTTTTAAAATGTGATTTAACCTGTTTAGGGATTTTGCCAGGAGACTACACTGAAGGGAGAAAGAGAAGAAAATGGGTTGAAGGTGTGTGTGAGGAAGTGAAAAGAGAGACTCCAATCTGAATAAAGAAGAAAATGAGGACTCGAGGACTAGGAAGAGGTGGGGGAGGAATCAAGAGACTGCAGGTCCCAGTGGGGTGAATTCCTGGGGTGGGAAAGCAGAGTGAGGGGCTGAGATGCTTCTTGCGTGACTCACAAGGCCTCCGAGCTGTGTTCTCCAACCCAGTACGCCCACTGCCTGAGGTCTTTCCCTGTGCTGCTTCCACTGCCTGGTGGCCCTTCCTTCCCTTGGATATCCTCATGGCTTGCTTCCTAATTTTTCGGGTCTCTGCTCAAGGTCATCTCATCAGAAAGGCTTTCCCCAAACACCTTTAAAATACCATTAATACCGCCTGCAATCATTTTCCGCTCCCACTGCCCTGCTTTATTTTCCTTCTTGACACTTCACTTGAGGGGATATAGGTGGGCCTCAAATATTTGTTGAGGGAAATATTTCATCAGTGACCTTGATTTCCTTTAGATAGATATGGAAGAAGTTAGAGAAGCAGCCAAGTCAAGGGACTGGAGTGGGAAAATGGTGGCCTTTGGAAGACAATGGAATGAAAGGTCTGAGCTTTTGTAAGGGGAGGAACATAGGCTTTGCAGCCTAGATTAGAATCCCAAGATCCACTACTTGTGTGACCTTGGACAAGACACCTATCTTCTCAAAGCCTCAATGTCCTCCTATGCAATATGGAGACACACATTTAGTCACCTCCAAAGACTATCACAAAGAACAGAAGTACCGGTGCAAAGCCTACTGTCAATATTAGTTCATGCTTCATTCCTTCCTTTCAATTTCCCATAAGGAAAGCAGGAATCGTGTCAACTGCCCCTCCCTGTTTAACTAGGGAGGTCACGACTAGGGCAAAATGACATGTCTAACAGACACCTGAAATTCCTGGCACTGAACGCACTATCATCTACGGGGCTTGTCAGAGAGCAGGGCACAAATCACACAGCCCTGAATCATAATTTTTTTTCTTTTAGTAAGAGGGTTATGAGTCTAACAGACAGAATAATACCTAATCTCCCCCACCCACCCCACACGCACACAATTTGTACTATGTTTTTAACAGACCTTATTTAGAGAGCCACAGGTTGTGGCACACCAGCATTTCTGCAATAATTCCTAGAATCACTATTCAAGCTTTGACTATTTCAAAAGTTTCTTTGTTCACCATGTGAGTTATGTTTGCAAATCCCAAGATGGTAGAGCAACCAATACAACATGGAAAGTAGTCTATACCTGCAGACGTTAAGTATGGCCTAGGGTTACTGCATTACAGTTATGTCCCTCTCTCCTCACCTTTCACCCAAACTCTACCTTCTCACCTGTTATTTTTTCCAATAGAGAAACATCTTGCACTTCCTGGGGCAGAGAAGCAATTTTCTGTCGGACAGTAGCATCCCCTGATGCGGCATTTTCCAGATCCTGCAAAGCTTTGATTAGTTCCTCAGTCTGTAAGATGAAAACACAAACAACACTACCCATTAAGACATGGGGTTTAAAGAAAATTAGTTGGAGTTAAATGAGGTGGAGGCAAATTCTAAAAACAGTCATTCCTGCCATTTCTTAAAAAAAACTGTTCTTAGCCCCAGAGCTTACATGTAAGTCAATGTCACGGACTCTAAGAAAATCCACAAAATTAGTTTATCTAAGTCCATGGCAGAACATGAATGAAATTCTGAATAATTATTATTATTTTTTAATTCTAAAAGAACATGTTTTTGGCAATTCAAAACAATGGAGTTTGGTTCATGTTGCTTAATTTCAAATGATGTATCATTTCCAGTATAGAATAAAGGTATAAATATCAGATGTTAACAACTGTGTGTTGTGGCCAGGTGTGGTGGCTCGCACCTGTAATCCTAGCACTTTGGGAAGCCAAGGCAGGAGGATCACTTGAGCCCAGGAGTTCGAGACCAGCCTGGACAATATAGCGACACCCTGTCTCTACAAAAAAATTAAAATAAAATAATAAGCCAAGCATGGTGGCATATGTCTATAGTCCCAGCTACTTGGGAGGCTGAGGTAGGAGTATCACTTGAGCCCCAGAGGTTGAGTTTGCAGTGAACTATGATCATGCTACTGCACGCCAGCCTGGGTAACAGAGCAAGATCCTGTCTCAAGAAGGAGAAGGAAAAAATTATATGTTGACTGATCAACCTACTTCAATTCTTTCTTGGGTTTTCTTGACAAAATGGATGTCACTCCCAAAATTAAATGTATCAAACTTATTATAAACCCAGGGGGAAAAAACAAGAAAAGTAAACCAGGGATACATTTTCTGTATATATCAAAAAGGAGTTTCTTAAATTGTCAGAAAACAATGCTAACAGGCCACTCCATAATCACCAAGGAGTAGCTAGCTCTGTAGATGGTAGTTAGATTACCCTGAAAGGTAATAATCTAGGCTGTAGTCTTTAAAGTGTTTAAATCCAAAGATATATGACCTAACACTGCTGTCATTTAATCCCTAGTCTAACTCAACACCGTAACATAACACAAACTAGACATGTTTCCTATTTACATAGGCTTTAAGCATGACCATGTGTAATAAAGCTGTTTTAGGCAAAATAAGATGAAGCCCCCCCCGCCCCCGCCTTGAAAAGAGCATGGGCTCTGAAGTCAGACACACCTGGATTTAAATTAAGACACTGGTCAAGTTACTTAAACTGTCACCTTGTGCCCAACTTCTTTCATTTAGATTTTGTAAGCTAACCTGTATAGCCAAATAACACAAACACATGGGTAAAGACTAACTCCTTGTTTCAATATTTAATAGGCTACAGTGCAGCAAATTTGCTATTGACACATAGACTGTCTTTAGATATTAATGAGTTACTTTATAAAACTACCATGCTACTGGAGACAGGCCATGGTAGACGACTTTTGAATATCTTTGTAATATTATCTATCCCTTTCTCCAAAATCTATTTTTAAAGAATATTCTTAATTTCTAGGATTGAAAAAACCAAGTCCAAGTACTTTATAAAACATAAGCCCATCCCAGAGTTATGGCACGCAAAGACATACTGACACCTGCCATCCGGCAAGCTCCTTTGGGCAGGATGATGCACGGGGCCCCTGAGAGGTGCCCTCTGATGATTCCATACCAGTGGTCACTGGCGCCACCTTGTGGCCATAGTCTTCAACTAGAGGTCACTTTAAGCCACTGTTCCCTACTCTCTGGGGGTCAAGACCTACCAAGAGGGGTCCTGCAGAAGGATCCTGAGGAGAGTAGCTGCCAGGGTAGTCGTCATCCTCCTCCTCCTGAATTTGCTGAAAAGTTCGTTTCAGAGATTTCTTCTCTTCTGTTGCTAGACAAAAGAGAAAGTAATAAATTTGAGTCACATATCCTGTAGTGATAAGTCACATGCTATGCACAATGGGCCACATGTAAAAACAGGGCAGAAGGGGCACACATTTTCAGAATGGCTTAATAGTAACCTTTATGCTAGTTATTTTAAATTGACTGTAGTTCCCTACATTACTGAAAAGAGTCAAACAGGTCTTTGTCCGTCATCTCAGATTGATTCTCTGGTAAAATACTACAGAAAACAGGCATCTAAAGCGAAAACTTACCCAACTATCACACTTGAGTAAGAAACTCATGGGACAATACAATGAAGCAAACCAACGTGTGCTAGGGTTTACAGAGAAGATATTGTGTATAAAATGAGATACGTTATGCTTTCCAGGGATCATTTCAGAAAACAGGAGAGAAAATTTTATCAATAAAATTGTGTCAAACACAAATATTCTTTACACTATTCCCCTAAAAATAAAATAAATCTAATTTTACCTTAAAATTAAAATAACCATTACTGAGACATGTGATTGATACTACTGAGAAAAATTACTTAAGTTACCATTTTAAATTTAACCACTTTTGAGGCTGACAGGTTACATTATTTATGATCTATCTGCACCGTATGTTTTTACATTGTTATGATAGATGTGTTAATTCCAAAATCATTCTTTTTGCATCAAATTAGACAATACAAAATAAATGCCAAACAATTGTGGGAAATAAATCTAAATGATAAATTCTAGTTTCGAAAGTAAAGAAATATTGGACACAGCCTGTGCCTGGCATTGCAATAGTTTCCTTTTAATCTTTCCAACAATTTTAAGATACAGCATCTCCAGCTGAAAGGTGAGAAAACAAAGGCCAGGGAGGTTAAATGACACACTTACGGTATGACTCCAAAACCTGTCCTCTTTCCACTGCACTCAAATTACTTAGCACCACACAGGTACCCTCTCATTTAGAAAAAAGGGGACACCAGGCACCTGCTGCAGATACATACACATTTTTTGCTTACACATTTTCTTCTGGAAACAAGTCACGTAGCTCCTGTTCTCTACATTATATACATCATATACTAACTGACCAAACTCACGTTTGAAGTGAAAGCCAGGTCAATATCATGAGTTTTATTTTTATTTTTTTTTTTTAGATGGAGTTTTTGCTCTCTTGCCCAGGCTGGAGTGCAGTGACACATTCTCAGCTCACTGCAACTTCCGCCTCCTGGGTTCCAGCAATTCTCCCACCTCAGCCTCCTGAGTAGCTGGGATTACAGGCATTTGCCCCCATGCCTGGCTAATTTTTGTATTTTTAGTAGAGTCAGGGTTTCATTCACCATGTTGGCCAGGCTGGTCTCGAACTCCTGGCCTCCAGTGACCCACCCGCCTTGGTCTCCCAAAGTCCTGGGATTACAGGTGTGAGCCATCACGCCTGGCCAAGTTTCACTTCTTCTTAATGATTCTGTCTATTACAAAAAAAGGAGACAGGAACATCTGCAATACAGGCCGTCCTCACTTTGCGCATACTATTATACACAGATTTGTTACCATGGCTTCGTTAAATGACACCAGTCCCTCAATAAAACAAGTTCAAACTTCAGTTACCATGGCATATTAACTCTTGAGTAGTTGCATAAAGTACAAATTTTGCTGCTAACTTCAGCCCCCAAATCATGATCAGGGACCAATCACATCATTCTTGAAGTCAATCAGTGATTGGTCACTGAACACCTGTTATGCAGGTCACACAAAGACAGCAAAGTGCTTCGCTGTGCTGTCTCCTTATCGCCCAGTGATAACACCCACGACATTTTATAAAAATGAACGATCAGAAGAGGGTATTGATCATAAAGACAAATGTGGAACAAAGAAACTGAAACAAAAGCTAATGCCGGAACTGAAATCCCAATGGCATATTAGTGGAGTTACAGAAGAAAGAGCACGCTGCAGGATGCTGCCACTGCCAGCATCAGAGGGAGCCTAGATCCATGGCCAGAGGAATGTGTAGAGGCCAACTTAGCAATGAAGAAAGTGGGAGTGATGAAAAGAATGACAACGTCCTAGAGGAAGAGACGCTAACAAAAAAAAAAAACTGCATGCTAAAGAAACTGAGAGGTATTTTACAATACTGAAAGCATAAAAGATAAAATGTTGGAAGCTGATCCAAACAAAATACAGTATGACAACTTGCAAAGCCACAGAAAAGATGTTTGCTCTGATATGTATCTAAATTATACCAGAAGAAGGCAACCCTTGTTCAAACTACTCTTGATAAGTTTGTTACAAAGAAAACACACTTTAATTCTCAATGTTTCTAATTTGTTGTTACAGCATATTAAATAACTATTAGTTTATTATCTCTTTTGTTTCCGTACACATTTGGAATCAACAATGAGTTTTTAATTCTTTGACAAAAAAAATTTTAAAAGTCACAGAACAATCATAATTTTCCCCACTGATTATAAAGATTGCTTTGCATGGGTTCAGCTTGCACAATCATGGTTATAGTCCTGCACTACTATGCAAAGCAAAGATTGCTATATTTTTAATATGAAAAATCTATTAGGATAAAATTTACATAAGAAACACCTAACAGTACTTTGTACATAGTAGCTGCCTAATTAATGTGTGCTATATGACCCATGCAGACACTTAGCCACTGTGGCATCAAAGTGGTCATGTGGAAGGAGTGGCCATTAGAAGGTAAGTACAAACTTCAAAATTTTTTATACTGTTCTGTTTGCTTTCAAGCACCTAGAAGAGCACTCAGTAAGTAACTATTAGATATGCTAAAGAAGGTAGAAAAAAATTACAAAACTTGAAATCCTTCCGTTTTCAAACTCTCACACAGAAATTATTATATATAAACATCAAACACTACCTCGACACTTAGAATTCCTGAATTTTGGCACTGGGAGGACTTAGACAGACCCATGCCTTTGTTTCCCCCAACTCAAATTTTCATGAAAATATCTAAGTCCACAGGTTGCAGTCTGCCCAAAGTCAGAGAGTTTGTTAGTGTAAATCTGGGTGCTACAGATCAAAGCCTCATTATCTGGAGTTATCTTTACCACTTCACACTGTTGCTCACGAACAGCATTACAAGACTTAAAATAAGAAATCATTTTAGGACAACTTATGTCCTTTGCCATCCTGCTGGCAGAGGGCACAATAGGTGTTAACCATTACCCTATTTTTCCAGTTTCCTCCTATTTCCATTTGGAGGACCTACTGGTGCTACAAACATAAGATTTCTGGACATGAATTACTAATCATTTCCCCCACAGGGCTCCTCATTCCCTGAGCTACCTATTTCCATTACGAACACTTTCACTGACCTGTCTTCCAGGTACAAGGCCTTGGAAACCATTAGAATCTATCCCAAGGTCCCAGTTTCTAGCAGATTCCATACCTCAGACTGATGCCTTACATACTCCCTCCCTTTGCTCCTTCACCTACACAGCCTCTTATCAGCAATCTGCCCTTTGTCACAGCTGGTTGAGACCACTGTCTCCCCGCCTCTAGTTGCTCCTTTCCCAAGTTAGACTATACAGTTGTCCCTCAGTATCCATGGGGGATTGGTTCCAGGACCGCTACGGATATCAAAATCTAGGGATACTCAAGATCCCTTACAAAATGGCATGGTATTTATATATAACTTACGCACACATCCTTCCGTATACTTTGTGTCTAGATTATAGTACCTAATACAATGTACACATGATATGTAAATAATTGTCACACCATTTCATTTTTAAAATATGTATTATTTTTACCCAAAATATATTCAATATGTAGCTGGTTGCATCCACAGATGTGGAACCTGTAAATATGGAAGACTGTATTCTGTTATTAAATTAATCTTCCTAAAGCGGAGTGCTCACTCCATCATGTCCCTATTCATAAACCTTAAGGGGCTTCTAATGATTTTACAGATTCCTCCTAAGTTCAAAGCCTAATGATGACAAATGGCCTCCAACTCCCACGGCACTCGGGCCTCTCTTAAAGCACCTGGCCTTGCTACTCTGGCCACTGGCAAGCGTTCTTCTCCGACAGGAGCACTTTGTGTCTTATTCCTCTACATCCCTGCAGTACCTAGGAAAGGGGTGACAGGTCGGAGTTTGAAACCGCTTGAAGGGAGGAGTCACAGAGCTTGGAAAATGCTAGTGCTAGGCCAGAAATGACTATCACTGCTACGAAGTCAGCAGTTATAGTGCCTGGTATTGTCAGTCTAGTCAGACAGCCATTAAAAATAACTTAGGATTTCCAGGTTTCCTTTTCAAAAGCTATACATTTTTTTAAAAATTAAAATTATTTTAAAAACTAGAATATGTGTCAGTTCCATTTCTACATCTGAATTTAAGGTAAGCCTTCCACTATCAATTCAGCTTCTACCACGGTATATATTTACTCTCCCTTTTTCACTCACTCAACCACTCTGTTTACAGGCAGGACAAACTGTGGGGGTAGCCAAAGTCCTTCTGTCCTCATACTGGGCACCTTCTATTCTATCCTCCAACTTGTCCCTGTGTCTCCAGCAGGCCTTGTACTCAGCTAACCTTAAGTAATCCTCGTTACCTAAGGGTTTATGGTATGCCTCTTACAACCTGATTGTGGGAGAATTTCAGACACAATGGCAGACTGTGAAACTAATCTTAAGGCAAAAAGCTGGCCTGCAGGTTCCCAAATCACATTATAATATGCAGCCATCTACCGTAAAGCTGGATCTTCTAGAGGATCCACTTGAAATTTTCTGTGATTTAAAAAAAAAAAAAAAAAAAAAAAAAAAACACCGCGTTTGGTCCGAGTGCAGCAGTGTTTACAACTAATTGATCGCAATCAGTTACAGGTTTTTTTGTTCCTTCTCTACTCCCACTGCTTCAATTGACTAGTTAACAACAACAAAAAAAACCACACCTATAGACTTTATATTACTTTTATAATGAGAAAAGGATCAGGAAATATTGTTTGCAACAGCTCCCTCATTCTTTGCTCCATCCCTGCATAATAAAGGACATTTTAATAAGGCACATTAAACTTTACTTGTGGAGAGAAAAGAACCTACAACAGATAAAGGTCTAACATTTGAGGCACAGTTCTACAAGCTGTCTACCCTTATCATCTCACTGAACTGAGTAGCCAAATCCAGGCATAAACCCAGGGAAGTTGTGCCTAGAACTCATACTCTTAGCTACCATGTTCTCCAGCCTCGCACAAAAACTGGGGGACTGAAAATATTAAAAACCTCTTCTTACTTTTGCGACCAGTTCATATATAGAAACTCAGCACATTAGATACTAGAACTGGCAGGGGCAAACAAAACTCGTATCATTGCCCCACTGATAATATCTTACCTGCATTATCTCAAGTAATCCTCATCACTATCCTAGAAGGTATTACCATTAATAGCCATATTGTACAGTGAGGATCTGAGCTTCAGAAGGATCAAATGCCATGGCCAAGGTCACAGAGCTTTAGAAATGACAGCTAGGGGCCGGGTGTGGTGGCTCATGCCTGTAATCCTGCCATTTTGGGAGGCCGAGGTGGGCGGATCACCTGAGGTTGGGAGTTCGGGACCAGCCTGACCAACATGGAGAAACCCCATCTCTACTAAAAATACAAAATTAGCCAGGCGTGGTGGCACATGCCTGTAATCCCAGCTACTTGGAAGGCTGAGGCAGGAGAATCACTTGAACCTGGGAGGCAGAGGTTGCGGTGAGCCGAGGTCCCGCCATTGCACTCCAGCCTGGGCGACAGAGCAAGACTTCATCTCAAAAAAGAAATGACAGCTAGGATTCATACTGTGGAAGCCTGAATAGCTAAACTATATTAAGATCCAGGAAAGCTGGGTAACCTACTCACAAATTCCTACCAAAATTCCTACCAATATTGAAACCGTGTGCTTTCAGGAAATACGACAGTGTGAAGAATATCAGCTTTAAAGTCGTATAGACCTGGGAATTCGCCACTTACCAATTATCTCTCTCTGAACAAAATTACTATACCTTTTTGAGCCAGTATCCTCATCTAAAGTATGAAAATAATACCAAATTCACAGAGTAGTTGTAAGGATCTAAAACAAATTAATATGAAAAGCAGCCAGCAGAGGCTGGTACATAACGGATGCTCAATAAATGCTAGTCCCTTTGTATCTACCCTCTCTCTCTAAATCCTTCTACAACCGTATACTACATGAGTCACATGTGGCTCAAATAAAAAAGTTCCATTCAGTCAAGCAACACCTTGAGTATTCTCAAGAGTAGAGAACTTTTCTCCTTTTCTTACTTTTTAAATTTTGTTTTTAAGTGACAAATAATAATTGTATATATTTATAGGGTACAGTGTGATGTTTTGAGAGACACCTTTAGAACACCTTGAGAGACAGGTTTATAAACTTAATACCCAGTTCTAAAACAGAATTCCTAAGCTCATGCATTCTCTAATGTTGTAAGAACTGTCAAAGTTCCATAGAAAAATTTTTATTTCAGAGGTAAACTCCATGAAGTTGCCTGAAGACAAAGAATTACCCATGAATCAAAGCTGGAATATAAAAGGACTACTCAAATTTGGAAATAAACTTCTCGAGAACTCATCAACATTTGAAAGGACTGTGGTAAAATATTCTGATAACTCAGGTCCAGAGAGTGAAGACAGAGTGAGTCAGCTGGGACTAACACACATGTTGAAATCTTTTGATGTGTGTTTTCATCTTTATAGAATAGAGAAAGAGAAATTATCTTTAGATTAGCATTATCCTCTACCTAGAGGAAACTGCCTCTATTATTGTTAATGTCTGTCTAGACTTTCAAAAAAAAATCAGAAACCCACTGAAGCTATTCCCAATACTATCACTGCCACAAATTCCACACATTCCCAGAGTGCAAACCTATTCCTCACTCTTTTCTCCCTCTTTCCTATAGCATCTAGCATATCTGTTTATTCAAAGTATGTGTCCAGCAAATGTACATTAAATTGAAATTCAACATTAGCTTCAAACATCCTCTTTCAAGGCTCTCCTACTTGCCCAAAGGTGTTCTTAAAAACCAGCACTGTTTACCAATGAACTCTAAGGCAGAGTAAAGAATGCTGAGTAATTCCCCAAAGCTGTACTGAAGACCTCCAAAGGACACAATAAAAACACCAGAATCCAAAGCAGGAAACATCTTGCTTTTCAGAAGCTACCAATCACCTGAGTGATCCTAAAATTATCTTCTAGCAACACCAAGTAAAACAACAATGACCTGCAGTCTGAAAGCACTTATGTCATTCACAGAAAGCCTCTAACCTTTGGTTTCACAGGAAAGTTACCCACTGCAAAATGCAAATAATTCCAGACCTGGAAAGGATCATGAAGGGTACACAAAAGGGTTACTCAGTGAAGGATACTGTCACACATGCTAATCATGACTAGGTTCTATAGCAGATGCATGTATAAAGTACCAGAGAACAAGGAGGGAATGACCACATGGGCCCAGACAAGCCAGGGAAGATGTCAGAATGAGAGTTGCATTCTTGGAGAATGAGTTCATCACACAGTGAAAGCGGTAGAAGGACATCAAGTAGAGGTAACAGCAGATGGAAAGGAAGCAGTGCCAACAGAGCATCCAGAGGGTAAACTGTCGGCAATTCAGTTTGGCCAAAGAATACAGTGTAAGTGAGGAAGTGGCAGGAGAAGAATCTGGAAAAACAGGCTAGTTCAGATAGAAAGGGTCTTCAATACTATCAGTACTTGGACTCGATCCTCCAGGAAACATGTATGCAGGCAGATCAGATCTGTAGCTAAGAAACATGTCATGCCAACTAGAATTAAACCACAACTAACCAGAAGCCAAGTAACTAAACAACATTTGATCTTACTCTTTAAAGAAAAAAATAGGCCAGGTGAGGTGGCTCACGCCTATAATATCAGCACTTTGGGAGGCTGAGGCGGGTGGATCACGAGGTCAGGAGTTCAAGACCAGCCTGGCCAAGATGGTGAAACCCTGTCTCTACCAAAAATACAAAAATTAGCTGGGCATGGTGGCAGGTGCCTGTAATTCCAGCTACTCGGGAGGCTGAGGCAAAGAACTGCTTGAACCCGGGAGGCGGAGGTTGCAGTGAGCTGAGATCATACCACCGCACTCCAGCCCAGGTAACAAAGCAAGACTCTGTCTCAAAAAAAAAAAAAAAAAAAAAGAAAAAAAGAAAGAAAAAAGAAAAAATAATATAAGCTCTTATTAAGGGCTTTGCAAAATTCACACACAGATGCACTTCCTAAAGATATCCTGGGTTCAGTAAAGATCAAAATCAGTTTTAAGCTGGGCGCAGTGACTCACACCTGTAATCCAGCACTTTGGGAGGCCGAGGCGGGCAGATCACTTGAGGTCAGGAGTTTGAGACCAGCCTGGCAAACATGGTGAAACCCCGTCTCTTCTAAAAATACAAAAATTAGCCGGGTGTTGTGGCAGGTGCCTGAATCTCAGCTACTCAGGAGGCTGGGGCAGGAGAATGGCTCGAACCCAGGAGGCGGAGGTTGCAGTGAGCCGAGATCACGCCACTGCACTCCAGCCTGGATGACAGGGTGAGACTCTGTCTCCAAAACAAACAAACAATCAACTTTAGACAGACACCATGCTGACAATCCTAAGGATATGTTTCAAAAGCACATCTACATTTAATTAAATCAAGTTCTTAAAAAGCTAAGAAACTTATCCAAGGTCCTATTGTAGTTAATGGCAGAGCAAGGACAAAATCTTAGTCCAGGCTACTTCCTAGTTCACCACAACTCTGAACAACTTTGTTGTTCCTTTCCTTGTGCAAGGAAAGTCTCTGAAAGACAGAAGCAAGCCAAGGAGAACAGAGAGCAAAAGTCAGGGTGTGAGAGGATGAATAGCATGAATACTAGAACCAGGCTTACACGCTGTGAGCACTACATAAATTCTCACCATCATTCATGATCATCTGTCTCTCTGAAGAATCATAAAATCGCTGGTGGTTCACAGCAAACCCCACTGCAGCTTTTCATATTTGATTCGAAAGTAGGCAAAGACCAAGAGCTGTAAACATGTGGTGATGTTTCTACCTTTGGGGGGAGGGCTCTTGGAGTCCTCCATAGACAGCTTCAGCTGCTGTATGAACTCGCCGCCATACACACTTCGTTCTTGCCAGATGTTCAGCAATCTTTCTAAAGGTTTTTTACAGCCTTCATCTGCCTCTCTGCCCAGAAAAGATGAAAAGATATATATAAGCTTAAGATTTTTTGCTTTTAATTAGGACAGACCTACTTAAAAAAAAAAGAAATCAACAACTGACTAAATGATTTACACATTTAAAACCAAATAAGGTACATATTGTAATACCTGGATACCCAAAACTTGACCACAAACTACATTCTTCGTGCAGTGGGAGGGATCATGCCATAATTGAAATCAAATAGGACCAAAAGTCAATGGCCAATTTTTACAGACAGAAAATTATCAAAACTCCATCTTATCAGTTGTGATAGCTTGCTTTTTAAGAAGACGTTAATTAAAATGCCAGACATTCTGCTGGAAATTAAAAGTGGATCAGAACTCTTAAAGATAGAAAAATGATTTTAAAAAACCAGATGTTTAAAACAGGAAATAAATTCACTGCAACTCATCAATTCTAACACACCAACACCTCTACATGTATAAACACAATCACATACATGTATATGTCAAGAATCATTCCAGTTCTAACCACTGCATAATTATTTTAATTCTGGGCTAAGTCCATAGTCCAGGTTCACACAAAGGTATCTGATAATCTTAGAACACACTTAATAATGCAGTCCTTCATAATTTATATCAAAGGATATGAATTAGAAGTTAGAAAATGTTTTCCCCTGACATGTTAACTCCTGAAACAGGATATAAAGGACTATAACTAGCACTCACTGAGAACCAATTGCCTACAATAAAATCTCAGACAGCAAGCAGAAGATTGGGTTAGACTTTCTGAAAGCAAAGTGAATTCAGTCACCATGCACTGTTACCATGAAATCTTCTGTTTTGTGAGGGGGTTTAAATGGCAACGATCTTATACTGAATGACTTTAAACAAGAAGGGATACCTCGACATCTTAGTATCTAAGTTAAATGGCTTTTAATAGGAACTTCAAGGAGAAACCATGCCAATTCAACTGAGATGGGAACTCTATTCACACCCGACCATGACAACGCTTTCATAAACTCAAGGAGAACTTAGGTTTCAGCCTAGCCCAGTCAGAATGTCTCACTTATGAATTATTAGTGGTAAATTTCACTGACTAAAGGACTCAATCAGAGTACATAAAAATTAATTCTTTTTTTGTTAAACTTTTTAAAGTCAGAAGTGAGGGTTCGGGAAAAAAAAGGAAAAACATTTCTACTGCTAATTTTATAAAGCTTAAAAATATGACCCAATTACTTGGTATTTGTGATAAAACACTTTTACTCCACCTTCAAAATATATCCGGAAATGAGTTATTTCTCATCTTTTCCTCTGCTATCAATCTGGCCCAAGGCACTATCATCTCTCGCCTGCATTACTACAGTAGCCTCATTACTGGTCTCCTCGCTTCCACCCTTGTCCTCCTACAACCTGTTCTCGAGTTTTCAAAATACAATTTTAGCTGCTGTACTAAGGCAGACCACGTCACTCCTTTGTTCAAAATTGCCAACATTTCTTCCCAGTATCCCTCAGAATAAAAGTCCTTATAAAGACTCCAAGGCCTTTCCCAACCCAGCTGTTATTTCCCTGGCCTCATCTCCTACCCACTCTTCCCCACCCCCGTCCTCCAACCTCCTGCCTCAACAACAGCTACCCTAGCACTGCCTCAGAGCCTTAGCACTTCAAAAGTTTGCTTTGCCTGGAACCACATTCCCCATGTGGCCACACAGCTCAATTCCTCTCCTCCTTCAGGGGTATGTTTAGTTACACCACCTTCAGTGTGTCATTCCCTAATCTCCACGTTGAAAATAACACTCCCTGCCCCTACTCAATTTTTCTCCATACAACTTTTCTGGTATGCTGTATATTCAATAGTTTACTTTTTGTTTACACGCTTTCCATTTGAATGTAATTTCCACAGGGGTGCAGATTTGTCATTTTCTCCCATTGCTATATGCCCTTGAACAAGCACAATGAATATCTGTCAAATTGTAATCTTTTCCAGAAAAATGTATATGGGTTTCGGTAAGTAATACAGTTACTTAACTTTCAACAATCATCTTACTGTATCAAGGTCATGGCAGAAATCAACTAAGCACTCCTCAGCTCGACCAATGAAGGTTTACAAAGAATAAGAAGGCCTGGGTCCTGACCTCTAGGGCTCGACTCAGCAATCCCTCAGACCTGTTTTTAGTCTCCTTTCCCTACCCTACCTGGAACTTTGCATTCCAGCAACACCCACCCGTATGTATTTGCTACTCAGAATTTGTTCTCTCATGTGCATGTGCCTTTGTTCATGCTATCTCTTCTCCTTCAAATGGAATAGCCAAAATTGAACAAGGCAAAGGGAAAGGAGTAATTCAAGTAGCTGAAGTATATGGGGGAATGTGCGGAAACTGCAGAAGAATCTGGAAGGAGGGTGGAATTCAATTACAGCGAGCCCTGAATGCCATATTAAAGCACGTGGCCTGCAGGCAATGGGAGGTCCCTAATGTGAGCAAATGTATAGCTTAGAAAAATAAAGTCATTATAATTAGTAAAACCAAATTGCAACTAATCAGAACTTAGTTAATGAACTAGCTGGTACTTTTAGCATAAAATCTGTTTGCTGCAGATTCTCTGTTCGCTTAAAAGAAAGAGAAACCAGTCTCGAGAATAAATTCTTATCAAGGACTTAGTTTAAAAGTAGGTGGGTATCACAACACACACCCACCACCCACCATTCCTGGAGATACTTGGGACTCCATTCAGGCTAAGACTGGTTTTGTGTACAGTTTCAGGCACAGTGGAAAATGATGCTCAAACCTGTTATAACCACAAAACATTTTCAAAAGGCTTTTACTACTAAAGGCCAAAAGGGGGGTTCTAGTTTAATTAGTGAATATAACTAACCAGGACAGATATTTCCTTGAACATTGTGGTAAATCAAAGTTTTGCTAGATAAGTTTCAAAGTTATACATAAAATATTCAAGAAATCTTTCTACTGATTAGGTTTTGAAGGAAGTAGCTCCAGCGAAATGGAAGTCACTTTGGCATCTGGAATTAGATACAACCAAAGTAATAAAGCCGTTTTATAACAGAAAGAGAAATATTTTCAGGTTGTACTAACTCCAATCTAAACTGAGAAATCTTTAAGTGGAAAAAAAGACTGAACAATCTTTGCCAACAATCTATGAATAAAGTGGAAGATGGCAAATAATTACATACACAACTTAATATTACGTTGAACACTTCATATTTTAATTCTGATTAATAACAAATTCAATCACTTTATTTTTCAATACAGATAGCAAAACTGACCTTTAAGAGTGAAAAATGTATATGATACACACAAACAGAATTGGCTGCTTGACGTGTCAGCTGGACACCTGAGTCCCTGCAAAGCCAGCCTTGGGGGCCTTTTCTTCCTCTACAGTTCTATGGCACTTTTTCAGTACAACCACAGTAATTTGTACAACTCTGTCTTATCTCATGCACAGCAGGCCTATGGTAGGCCTACTAAGGGCAGGAATTCTAAGTATTCCCTACACTTCCAACAGTACCTCATGTAAAGCTGGTTCAGAAAGGAGTTAACACAGAAGGCCAGACTGCTACCCTTAGGGAAGTGGTCTGGGAACTTGGGATTTCCGAGTGTCCCTACCATTTCCTAACTGGTAAGGGTGGTTTACTGGGCCTAAATTGTTTGTGCAAGCAATACGGTTCTTAATGAACACCTGAGCCTGGCGCGGTGGCTGACGCCTGTAATCCCAGCACTTTGAGAGGCCAAGGCGGGCAGATCACAAGGTCAGGAGATCAAGACCATCCTGGCTAACATGGTGAAACTCCGTCTCTACTAAAAAATACAAAAAATTAGCCGGGCATCATGGCGGGCGCCTGTAGTCCCAGCTACTTGGGAGGCTGAGGCAGGAGAATGGCATGAACCCGAGAGGCGGAGCTTGCAGTGAGCCAAGACCAAGCCACTGCACTCCAGCCTGGGCGACAGAGTGAGACTCCGTCTCAAAAAAAAAAAAAAAAAAATGAACACCTGATTTATTTCTGGGAGCTTAGAATTTTGGCAGAGGGTGTCTACATGACCAATCCAATAAAAACTCTGGGCACAGAGTCTTTAATGAGCTTTCCTGGTAGGTTACACATCATACACATCACAACTCAGTGCTAGAGGAATTAAGCGTGTTTGTGGAATAACACTGAGAGAGGACTCGGAAGCTTATACCCAGAGCGCTCCAGTCTGCTGCGGGTACTGCATGCACATCACCCTCTGCTGCTGCTGCTGCTTTGGATCCTTTAGCTGTAATGAATCACTGCCATGACTATGACTACATGATGAGCCCTGTGAGTCATTCTAGGGAATCACCAAACCTGGGAGTGGTCTTGGGGCCCACAACAATAAGTAAATATCATGTGGGTAACTCTCAAATTTATGTCTCCAGAAATCAAGTCTCTACTGAGCTTCAGACTATTTTATCCACCTGCCTATTTGGCATCACTCCTTGGAATATTCACTAGCCACCTCACACTCGGCCTGGCCAAAACAAAACTCGTGATTTCCTCCACCAAATCTTTTCCCCAATCTTCACTTCAGTAAAGGGCACCATCAGTCATTCCTTACATCAAAAACCTAGAAATCGTCTTTGATTTCTCTTTTCACTTACTACCAGCTCCCACTCAACGCCTATAAATCCTATCAGTTTTACACTGGAGAGGTGGGGATCCTCCCACGAAGGAAGCACTCAATAAATGGAAGCTATTAGTATCTTCCCATTGCTTCTGAGTCCTAGGCAATGTCACCTCTAGCCTGCATCACAGCAATATCCTCCAAACTCATGTCCCCGCCCCTCCCTTGGCCTTTACAATCCATCCCTCTACACTAAGCCATTTTTAAAGAGGGATGTTTTAAAAATGTATGTTGGAATATATTGGAATATATCATTCCCCTGGTTAAAACTCTTCAATGACATCCCATGAGAAAAAAATCCTAACTTCCAAGACTTACAGGGTGTATGTGACTGCTGCATGTCCACCTCTCGGACCTCATCTGGATATCACTTTTCCCTTTGTGCACTATATTCTAACCACACCAGCCTTCATTCTGTTTCTCTTAGAAGGCCAAGATGATCTCTGCCTTAAGTTTTTCTTAATAGCTGCTCCCGCTTCGCATGATTACCGCAAATGTCATTTCCTTAGAGGCCTTCCTGAACCACACTACCTGTGAGATCCTACTCTAGAACATCACTCCATTTTACTATGTCCATATTGTCCTGCTCTGAAAGTATCTTGCTCATTTAATTGTCTTTGCCTGCCTTGTTCACTGCTGCTCCCCCCGTGTCTGGATCCATACTTGGCACATAGAAGGCACTCCAATACATGTTGAATGAAAAATGACATGGACAGCTGTCTCCTCACTGGGAAGAAAACAAGGCACTTGTATGAAAAGCAAGTTTGCAGTCTGGTTAATTAAACTGCTATTCAAATCAAATCTATCCTATGAACTTGGCAGCTTTCTCTGACTTGAGAGTTTTTTTTACTGTTTGTTTGTTTTGGGTGTGGAGGTGTCTTTTATCATAAAAATATCCCTCATCAATTTAGTCAACAGTAATGGGTCAACTATCTTTGTTCATCAACTGACCACAGAAAAAGCACACAGAAAGTATATGTTAATTAGGCTACTCCTACTGTGGACGAGCTGCATCACGGTTGAAGCAGAACTGTTGGACTTTCTGTCCCAATAATGGGGTATAAGAAAGGAGATTGGAAACATGGGTATCCTGAATGTAATACCCAAGCAGAATCTTAAAAGAACCAGAATGCAAACAGAAAGGAATTCGGGCTATTTTATTGAGAAGGACCAGGTTTATCTTCCTCACACTGCCACTGAATCTGCCAAGACACCTAAAACCTGGCTAGTTTTTAAGGTGTTCCCAAGAAAAAAGGAATTTTTAACCCTGGTGTTGCCCACCCCCTTTTCCACCCCTTTCTATTTACTTTTTGGTTTCAGGACAGCTAAAGATTACAGATCGTTTGTCTGTTTGTAATTTAGAGACAGGGTCATGCTCTGTTGCTAAACCTGGAGTGCAGTGGTATGATTATAGCTCACTACAGCTTTGAACTCCTGGGCTCAAGCAATCCCCCTGCCTCAGCCTCCCAAGTAGCTAGGACTACAGGTGCACACCACCATGCCTGGCTAATTTTTAAAAAATTTTTTGTAGACACAGGGTCTCACTATGCTGCCCAGGCTGGAATTTTTTAATAACACTGTTATGTTTACTATCCCTACAAGAAATCATTCCAGCCAACTCCCTAGACCAAATCTCTTCCATAATGAGTTAACATTAATTAACTCATTTAACAAATATTTACTGAACGCCTACTGTGTCAGGGCAGACCATAATGTTGCCCAGCTCCTGGGACACCACTTACATGGAGGCTATATAAATGGTATTCCTTCAAGCTACATAACTCAGCAGCTCTGTGCCAGACACTTTACTAGGTGCCTGGAATATAGGAAAAAACAAATGATCCAATGAATGAGCAAATGTGGAACAGGCATTGTACTACATACTTTTAAACATATTGTCTGTCTTTACCCTCACAACTCTTATGAGGGGGAGTGGTATCCTCCCCCTTTAGCCAGTTAGGAAATTTGGGCTCAAAAAGTTAAGTAACACATCCAAGGTCACTCACATAGTGTCTGAGGCAGAGCTACCATCAATTTCTAAGCAACTGTGAACTAAATCTCATCAAAGCAAGAAAATCTGTCTATTTCAGATAGCTCCTCTAGTAGTCTGTTCTAAGCTTACTCTGTTATGAAGATTCAGTATTTTTTTCAAGTTAATAACACATTTTGCTACTTGCGCCCATGTTGATCAAAAGGTGAGCCAGTTATGTAACTTATCCACAAAAACCATCTTTTTCATCTCTAGAAAGCTAGGTGTCATTTCTTTCTCTTGGATTTCTAATTTTATTCCTTCAAACTTTTCAAATCCTGCAATGAAAGCAGGACTTCATTTCTCATTTAAGGCCTTTCACTATATTTTAGACCTAGTAACAATTTATGTTTAACCTACTAGTCTCCCATTCATGTTTCCCAATTCCTTTTGCAAATATCTGTTTATATATTTACTTATAAACATAATATTCTAATGAACGATAGTTTTTCTTTGCTTTTCCTGGGCACCTAATTTAAGCCCACAGAAAGCTTTTGTTTTTACATGAAGTAAAGTAATTTATAAAACTTTTAATCCAATGTATGCTTTCTATGGTATTAGTTGTATGAGTGCCACTCCTCTCTGCCACAAAACACAACAGCACCAGGCTTAATACAATATAGCCAGAGCAAACACCTACTTTCTACACTAATAATTACTATTATTGCAGTTACAGTAATGCCTACTATTTTTAGTAAACTAGACATCTAGAAATCCAGAAGGAAATAAAAAGGAAGGCATTTGGCAATTAATTTCTTGCTATTAAGTTATGTTACTAAAAGGTTCCCTTACTAGTTAGCTTTGTTTTTTGATCATAAGCTGATGAGACAACTCAACCAAACCAAGGAAAATACCATAACCAAGAAATAAATTCAAAAAATGAAAATGAATATATCTAGAAGAAAGATAATGCTAGGCTGAATCTCTCAAATGTATCAGAATGTTTACATGTCTCGATAGTTCTTGAGGGCTCAACAAAACATAAAACCACAATTCGGCCTCCACAACTCTCTGTAAAGTAGGAAGTTGTCAATTTACAAAGGCTATCACAGAAAAGGAAAGAACAAAAAGGTGGGAAAGGCAATGAATTTAAAAACAAATCCAAAAAACAGACAACATACCTGGCAACATGAGAAAAAGCATCCACAAGGACAGATTCAAATTCTCTAGTGAATTCAGGTCCTTTCCTTTTACTGTTTTGGATGACATCATTCGCTAAATACAGAAAAGTAAGCTTTCTATTTGATTTGGCTGAAAAAAAGAAAAGAAAAGAATTTAACTTACACCAAAGAAATTCTCAATTCACAATTCTTTTGCCCTGGGCTGCTCCTAAAAAAACATTAAGACAAGTATTATCTACCTGGGGGGTCAAGTAGATATGTTTAAAAAGACCACCTAAGGAATAGGTTTGGGAATACCATTTCGGAAAAAAAAAAAAGAAAAAGAAAAAGAATGGGCCATCTTCATTGCTGTGTTGTTTAAACCAGGGTAATTAATTGATAGTAAAAATTAAGATAATCCAAAGAGAATTCCTAAAGGATAAGCAGTCAGTGTTAATGTTGAAACTAGGGCTTTTATTTATTCTACTGCAAAAATGAGCAACTTCTAACTCACTTTTAATTATCAAATATTTCAGAATGAAAGACTGAGTTGGCCGGACGCAGTGGCTCATGCCTGTAATCTCAGCACTCTGGGAGGACGAGGTGGGTGGATCATTTGAGGTCAGGAGTTTGAGACCAGCCTGGCCAACATGGTGAAACCCTACCTCTACTAAAGATACAAAAATTAGCCGGGTGTGATGGTGGGCACCTGTAGTCCCAGCTACTCAGGAGGCTGAGGCAGGAGAATCGCTTGAACCCAGGAGGTGGAGGTTGCAGTGAGCCGAGATTGCACTACTGTACTCCAGCTTGGGCAATAGAGCAAGACTCTGTCTCAAAAAAAAAAAAAAAAGACTGAGTTAGGTTTCAATTTTAAAATGGTTTCGCCGAGCGTGGTGGCTCATGCCTGTCATCCCAGCACTTTTGGAGGCCGAGATGGACGGATCACCTGAGGTCGGGAGTTTGAGACCAGCCTGACCAACGTGGAGAAACCCCGTCTCTACTAAAAATACAAAATTTGCCTGGCGTGGTGGCACATGCCTGTAATCCCAGTTACTCAGGAGGCTGAGGTGGGAGAATCGCTTGAATCCGGGAGGTAGAGGTTGTGGTGAGCCTAGATCATGCTGTTGCACTCCAGCCTGGGCAACAAGAGCAAAACTCCGTCTCAAAAAAAAAAAAAAGGTTTCTTGTAATTTTGCTCCTAAACTGAGAATTTCTCTGATACTCCAATAACCATAATCAATAATATAGAAGAATCTCTAGGTGCACCAATAGATATTAGCTCAAATACAAGTATACATTAACACTACACTCTTATTGAAAATTTACACACGTGTGAAATCTAGATATGCAAAATTAGGGCTTTCACAAAAACCATAATTCTCTCTTATTTATATGAAATGTGGTTATTCCCTATTACTCTATATGGTATCATATATTAAACCATAAAAACCTCGTGCAATATGTCTGAGTTACAGTTGCTTTGGGGAACATTACTGAATTCCCTGGCTTCTATGCACATAATTTCTCAACTATAAAGTTACATCCCTACAATTTTTGGTTCCAATTTTCTTTTAAAAGAAATAAATAAGAACATAATTAGATGTTTCAAAACACAAAGTTTTCTCCAATGCTAAAGTACCTGAAAAACACAAGCTCTTTATCAACCTTAACACACCTGAGTAACTCTATTTCTCTCTGAAACCAGTTGTTTCTTTTGAAATGTACAAAGCATTGATATGTCTGACATAGCAGGCATAAGATCTGACATTTTAAAATGTAGCTACAGGAGGCTGGGCACAGTGGCTCACGCCTGTAATCCCAGCACTCCGGGAGGCCAAGGCAGGTGGATCACCTGAGGTCACGAGATCAAGGCCATCCTGGCTAACATGGTGAAACCTTGTCTCTACTAAAAATACAAAAAATTAGCCAGGCGTGGTGGCGGGCGCCTGTAGTCCCAGCTACTCAGGAGGCTGAGGCAGGACAATGGGGTGAGCCCAGGAGGCGGAGCTTGCAGTGAGCCGAGATCACACCACTGCACTCCAGTCTGGGTGACAGAGCAAGACTCTGTCTCAAAAAAAAAAAAAAAAAAAAAAAACAAAACAAAAAAAATCAGCCGGGCGTGGTGCCAGGCGCCTGTAAACCCAGCTACTTGGGAGGCTGAGGCAGGCGAATCACTTGAACCTGGGAGGCGGAGGTTGCAGTGAGCCGAGATCGCGCCAACTGCACTCCCACCTGGGTGACAGAGTAAGAGACTCCGTCTCAAAAAAAAAAAAAAAAATGTAGCTACAGGAGAGTAACCCAAGTTAAAAACATGATTTTAATAGCACATTACAGTTTAAACTGATGAAACTGATGTCTTAAATGCTCATAAAATTAAATATGGATACCCTGAATTGTCTTAACCTTCTGGTAATAACCTAGTTTAGATGGCCAACTGATAAGAATACTAGGAACCTGGAGCTTTCTTCAACTTTCTAATTATTATTCAAAAGCAGAACAAAAGTGTCAGTAGTTACAATATCTACTGTTGCTACAAAGGTATGATTATGGCAAAACGTGCTTTTTTGTTAAAGCAAACCTTGCTCTGCAAAGTTGATGTAAGTGAAACTACTACACCTATAATCCCATGCAAGTTAGCAGATTCGAAAGCAAAACAGAACTTCAACAAAGCAAATTTCATTAAGTGAAGCTTTAAAATTCCATACACTTTATGTTGAAAAAAAAAAAACCTAGAATCCATATTGTAAAATGTCAGTGTGGACATTCAAGACCTGATATATACTTCTCAGTAGACAAACAAGGTATCTAAGGGGCTTGAGACCCAAGGTTTTCACTGTTTACAATGCCAATTAATTTTCATCACCCCAGAACTTAACAATGGGGATTTATTTAGGATAAACTGTATCCCTCCATATTCAACATCCTCAACAGTCAACATAAGCACCATGTGTGTCAAGGTGATATGACAAAACCCTAGAGCTCTTGAGCACACACAGTCACAATACACACAACATGCACACCCCTCCATCCCAATCCTGGGGGACAACTCACTTGTTCAGATGTCCTTCCTATACGACAGAAATAGGTCCTTTCACTCACTACCCATGTCCATTCCAAACTGGTCAAACTAGTTGTTGAGTAAAATTTAAACAACTGGTTAATCAAAACTTTTCACTTGTTTGGCTGGTTTTGACATCTACAGAAAGTCTTAAAGTAATTCTGCAATAAAAGCCCATTACCTACATTCAGGCCAAGATACAAAACACCATTAAAAACATTCATTTAGGAGCACTTTACACCAAAACTAGTCCATAAAGAAGGGGAGACGTTCTACTTAGAACAGAGCTCAAATGGGATAAATTAAAAATTATTCCTAGAAAATGGAAAGACAACACATCAGGAATAGAAGTATTTAAGCAAGAAAAAAAGTTAATTTTTATAAATCTCATATATTTTGAAGGCAACTCAGAGACAGTCTGTGAGCATCTCAGCTACGGAAAATGACTTCACCCTAGGTAGAACCTACAGGGCTAATCAATCTGAACATTAGGGCACAGAATCCTTTTCTTTCAGTGTGGGGGCATTTTCAGTTCATGAAATAAGCCTGGATATTCGGAAGCTAGGTATTGATGCTTGGAAGAGCATCTTTTTTTAACTCTGCACTGTCCAGTAAGTTAGCCACTAGCCACGTGTGGCTATTGGAACACCTGAATTGCAGCTGGTAAAAACTGGAAACTAAATTTTCAATTCTATCTACTTAAAACTTTAGTTCCTTAGTCACACATTTTAAGTGCTCCATAGCCACATATACCAAGCGGCTACCTGTTGGATGGCACAGATAGAAAACATTGCTATTATCACAGAAAATTGTATTAGATAGCGCTGTTTATATCCTTTATGCTGCTATCATAGAAAGTTGTATTGGATAGCGCTGTTTAGATCCTTTACTCAACCACGAAAATTCTATCAGAGACCATGATTTAATTCCTATTTTTAAACTATATAACAGGCACCACGCGATATCCTGTGGTGTTGCAAATAAACAAGAAGGTCTAGTTCCTCTCTCAAAACATAATCTAATGACAAAGATGTAACCAGTTCAAATGAACAGCTAGTAGGAACAAATTAAATGCTAAACTGGTATGATGGGGTGGGAGGCACTCATTAATTCTAATAAATGAAAGCACCACAGTTTGATTGCAGTCAGGTGACCACCTTCACTTATTAAATGCATTGAGGCACTGAGTACATGAAAAAGAACACATTTTGGCATCAGGCAGCCCTGGGCTCATGTCCTAGCTGTATGTCTGTGGACAAGGCACTTAATCCCTCTATACCTTTATCATCTCATCTATAAAATGAGGATAATAATGCTAGCCTACTTGCAACATAAGGCTTTACCACGTAAGATTAGGGATAACGGAGCTTCATACACAAATGTACTCTCTAATTTGCTTTTTTTCAGTAACTCAACTAGGGTGAGGCAAGGAATCAAGAAAGTGTCACAAAAGAAGTGACACTTGGCCAGGCGTGGTGGCTCACACCTGTAATACCAGCACTTTGGGAGGCCGAGGCGGGGGCATCACAAGGTCAGGAGATCAAGACCATCCTGGCTAACACAGTGAAACCCCATCTCTACTAAAAATACAAAAAATTAGCTGGGTGTGGTGGCGGGCCCCTGTAGTTCCAGCTACTCGGGAGGCTGAGGCAGGAGAATGGCATGAACCCGGGAGGTGGAGCTTGCAGTGAGCTGAGATCGCACCACTGCACTTCAGCCTGGGTGACAGAGCGAGACCCCCATCTCAAAAAAAAAAAAACAAAAAAAATGACACCTGAGATGGACTTTAACTGCCTCTTGAGGTCCCACCCAATAGAATTCTGTACAGTGGCAATTCACATTTCAGCACACTCTTCAAATAATTTCTGAATGGCACAGTGGGGTACATGAAGAAGGCCCCATAAACTCCAGGCTCTACCTCTTCCCGGAACTGCCCGAAGGGCTGAGGGGATCCCTATCTCAGTACAGTACGCGATATTTGGGGGCAGTCCCTGCTAAAGGGCTAGAACTGGGTCTCCTGAAAAAAATCATGAAGATTTTGGTGTTTGCCAGCCTGTTGTAGTCTGAGCCTGTTCAGTTCGAAAGCCTTGAAAATACCACTTAGCCACTTCAGTTTCCTCACCTGTAGAGCAGGACATCTGTGGTGTCCCCAACTCACAGATAGTATAGAACACTTGTAAAGCCACTTCGCTATAAAGGCCTACCACATATAGGGTGTCTGGAGCAGCTCTGAGCTTCATTTCTTCAGTCTTCCATTATGAAACTCATCCGGGAGTGTAGGTGTCCATCTTTCCCCACCAGACTGTAAGCAACTTGAAGGTAAAGACCATGCCTCACAGTGAGTAATCAAAAGTCTCATCTCACCATAATCTGCTGAATGCCTACACTGTGCCTCACCCCATGCTAAATGTTCATTTGGATTATCCCGTTTACTCCTCACCACGAGATGAGTCTCAGTTTTTCCTCTTCTGCAAAGTTCCTACTTCATAGGGCTCCGAGAATTTTTTTTAATGGCAATGTATGTAAAGATATCAGTACTGCACTTCGCATGTAATAAAGACATAGTAAATTTCAGTTATCCATTCTGTAGATAAGAAAATTAAGGCACAGACAGGTTAAGTTGCTGGGGTCAGTAAGGCGGCAAAGTCAGGCTTAAATTCTAGGCAGTTGGCAGAGGCAACATGCTGCAAGTGTCCAAGCCAGTGCCTGGCACATAACAGAATGAGTTCAATGAATTGTCTGTCAGAACCTGAGCAGGGCCTGAAATCAATGACAACTGCATGAGAGAGGAGAGGAGAGGAGAGGTAAGGTCTGGGTGGCCCCTTAACCTAAGATGGGAGAGACTACCTACTTCACAGGGCTGTTCTAAGGACTGAGTGCGAGGATACACACAAAGGTCTTAGTATAGTGACTGGTATGAAGTAAAGGCTTTGTAAGGGGTAGCTATCCTTGCCTCCCTCTTACAGATGAGAAAACGGAGACACAGGGAGATGAAGAAACTCTCCCAGTATTATTCAGCTGGCAAATAGCTGAGCCAGGACTCGATCTGCAGAGTCTGACTCCGGAGCCCACTGGCTTTTACTCCAAATACCCAGCACTGGGCCCGACATGCTAGGGCCAGTACGGCAGTGAATGCAGCCGAGATAATAACAGCCACAAATGTCAGGGGGAAACTGAAGGGAAAATGGCTTGATGAACTAGAAGTCTGGACACCTGAGTCCCAGTCCGTGGACCCTCAGGCAAGTACCTTAAACCTTCCCGGGCCTCAGTTTCCTTCTTCGAGAAATGGGGCTAACTTTGTCTCCCATCTCAGAAGCTCGATCAGGCCTGGAAAGCAAGGCTCAATGAAGAGGCTTAGAGGGGCCTAGGTTGTATGTGGGCGAGAGGACAATCCGGGGACCGTCCAGGGGGTGGGGATTTGGTGTTTACCTTTGCGGAGCTCGCGGTGCCACACGGAGACGATGGGTCCCGCGTGCTTGCGGTGGTGGATGAGCCAAAGGGACAGGGTCTGCACGCTCTGCTGAGAGTTGCTCAGCTCCGAGAGCTTCTTCTCCAGCGCCGACTCAGAGAAGGAGGACATGGTGGCGGCAGTGAGGCCCGGCAGGGAGCGGCCTGGGCCGCCCAGTGCGGCGGGAAGAGCGACGGCACGAGGCCGGGGCCTCACCTGACAGGCTGCGGGACTTTTTACCGACTGACAGACTGCCAGGGGTGCGAGAAGGGGGAGGGGATGGGTCTCCGCAGTAACAGCCGCCCGCGCCGCCGCCACAAGATGGCCACCCGACCTCTCACCCTGCCGCGAGAGCGAGGTCAAAGGGCAAGGGCCGGAGCAGAGGGGCACCGAGAGGCGTCGGAGCTCTAGAAAACCGTCCCTTTGGAGGCGGCGGCCGCTCTGAACCTCGCGCAGAGCACTTCGAAGGAGACAGAGCGAGGCAAGGAGAGTAGTTCCCCGGGCCCCCGGAAAGAGCTTTGACCGCTCGAGCCTGCACACCGGCGCAGTGGATCTCGCCGGAACCCTTTTTCCCGCTCCCTCGGAACCTTTCTGGCGCGATACGGCGCGCTACTTAGCGCGTCACTTCCGGCGAGGCAGAGGAGGCGGGAGAGTGAGAGAAAGGCTGGAAGACGAGGTAAGGGAAGAGTGGCGGGAACCAGAGGGAGCCCAGCAGCTGGGACCCTGTAGAGGGGTATCCTGAGGGGACATTGAGTCTGAGAGATCATGATCTGGATATGGGAGGGGGATTTCCTTTCTAATCTGGCGGGCCCCAGGCCGCATCTTTCCTCCATATGTGTTCGGCTCTCTGGCTGTCCCCCAAAACACTTAGTTTTGGTTCTTCCAAGCCACCCACGTGCCCTTTTCACGCCTCCACGCCCTGGCGCTCGTTCTCTGTCCGAAAGTGACATCCCCTTTCTCACCTGGTGAGCTCCTACTCAGCCCCCCGGAGCACCCTTTAATGTCCTGTTTTGACCTTTTAGTCTGTAACAGCGCCGTCATGAAACACACATTTGGGCTCTCGGCTCTTAAGTGGGTTCTCACTCAGGGTATTATTACGTGCTGCTTTTGCCGTCTGCGGGTCCAGTTGACTTTTTCGAACTTAAGTGAGGTGTTAACTTTAGGGAAAAGGTGGAGGGAACTAACTTAGCCTTCCCAATGTGTCTGTTGACCTCATGTTGAGACACACTATTTGAGGCCTGGCGCAACGTCTCTTGCTTGTAATCCCAACCCTTTGGGAGGCCGAGGCGAGAGGATAGCTTGAGGACTGGAGTTCAAGACCAGCCTGGGTAACAGCGAAAATTAGCCAGGCATGGTGACGCTCACCTGCAGTTCCAGCTACGCGAGAGGATACCTTGAGCCCAGGAGTTAGAGGTTACAGTGAGCTATGATCGTGCCACTGCACTCCAGCCTGGGCGATGGAGCGAGACTCTTCTCTGAAACAAAACAAAACACTATCTGAGACTCTAAACCTTGACCCTATTTTTTTTTTAAGTTTTAAATCCCAGGTATCAAAGCAGCAGAGAAATTTTGTTTTTCTTACTGCCACGGGGGTGATGGTAGGGAGTTAAGTTATAGACATAAGAGGGTTTTAAAATTTCCTGATCGTGGTATAACTTCCTAGTTGTGGGCAGACTCTAGTTTAGGAGACGTTCTTCTAGTTGATGCCTGCTTTTGCTCTTATTGCACTGTATTGCAGTTCTTTGCTTACATGCTTTTACCCTTCCTCCAGACTGGAATCATAATCATAGCTAACGCAGTGAGAGGTTACTATGTGCTAGACACAATTCCCACACAGTAACTCATTTAATCCTCACAACAAAGCTGTGAGGTATTATATTATCCCCCTTTGGACAGCGTAGGAAACAGGCTCAGAGAGGTTAAGTGACCTACCCAAGATCACATTACTAAGACTTGAGGGAAGGGGCTGCAACTTAGCCATCTTTTTGGCCCCAGTTCCTGATTTATCAAGTGAGTTAGTGTAAAAGAGGTGAGTAACCTAAAATCATACAGTGAGTATCTAGTCATAACTGAGGGCTTTTGTGTCGAAATCTAGATCATCTTTCCATATTAATAACACTGTCATATACTGAGCACTTTTATACCAAGTCACTGTCTATTAAGCACATTACATACTTTTTAAATTTAATTCTTACATCAGTCTTAGGAGTTGAAATTATTACAATCACTATTTGATAGACGAGAAAATGTAAAGCATGGTTAAGTACCCTATGTACTTGGACATAGTTAGGAAATAGCAGAGCCAGGAGTCAAATTAGGGTTATCTTATGTCTGATCCCAAATTCTTGCCTCCTGAACCAATAGTTTATTCATTCATTCGGAAAATAATTTTTCAGCACCTATGTCCAAAGCACTCTTCTAAGCTAACAGACAAAATCCACGTTCTCAGGAACTTACTTTCTACTGAGAAAGATAGAAAAACAAACATGCAAGTTTAGAATAAGTCAGAAAGTGGTAAGTAACTTCAATAAAAATCAAGGAGATAAGGAGGATAAGGAATGTATATGTGTAGGTGGGTAGTCTTTTACTTATGCTTCTCAGAGAAGGCCTCATTGATAAGATGTCATTTGAGAGACAAGCCATATGCCATTGTTCCAGGAAGAGGGAAAACCAAGTTTATACCATTGTTGGCATTTTGGAGCAACAGCAGAGAGGACAATAAAGCTGGAGTGATATGAACTAGAAGGGTGGCTGGAAATTAGTTCAGAAAAGTACGAAGGGACTGCATCACATGGTGACTTGTAGGCAATAGTATAGACTTTAGATGTTACTCTGAATGAAATGAAGTCCACTGGGCAGTTTTGCACAAAGAAGGAGCATTGTGGCTGTTAGGTAGAAAATAAGACAGTAAGAGTGCAAAGGTAGAAGCAGGAAGGACCAGTTTGGCAGCTGTTGTAGTAACCCAGGTGAAAGGATAACTCAAACCAGGGTGGTATCTGTGGAAGTGGTAAGAAAGGGACAGTTCTGGGGATATTTTAGAGGAAGAGGTAACAGGATCCGCTGATAGATTGGATATGGGGTGTGAAAGACATATGAGAGTTGAGATAGCTCCAAGGGTTTTGGCCTAAGCAACTATAAGAATAGCGCTTCCATTTACTGAATTACAGAAAAGAGTGGGTTTGGAGAGTAAGAGCAAGCATTTGTATTTGGACATGTCCATTTGGAAATGCCTATCTGAGTATAGATGTCTAAGGGGCAGTTGGGTTTATGGGTCTGGAATTCAAGGAAGAGCTATCTGGGTTAGAGATAAAAATGTGAGAGTCATAACGGAATAAGGTGTAAAAAGAGACTGAGTCCTAGGATTCTTCAACATATAGAGGTCTGAAAGGTGAGGATGATATGATTATGTGATTTTTCTTCTTAAGCTTGTTAATAGCTTGTTAGTATTAACAACTCTAATTGATTTTCAAATATTGAGCCAGTCTTGCATCTCTGAAATATACCCCACTTTATCATGGTGTGTGTGTGTGTGTGTGTGTGTGTGTGTGTGTTTTACATACTGCTGAATTTCCTAATATTTTCTTTAGGATTTTTGCATCTATACTCATGAGAGAAATTGGTCTATAGATTTTTTTAATTTTTGTATTGCCTTTGGTTTGGTATCAGGATAATACTGGCTTTATAAAATGGATTGGAAAGTGTTTCTTCTTTTTCTAGAAGAGTATGTGCAGAATTGGTGTTAATTCTTCATTAAATGTTTGGCGGAATTCTCCAATGAAACCATCTTGGTTTGGAGATTCCCTCCACTCCCTGCTTCCCTCCCTCCCTCCTTCCTCCTTCCTCCCTCCTCCCTCCCTCCCTTCCTTCCCTTCTTCCTTTTTTTTCTGGAGTTTTTAAGTGACAAATTCAGTTTATTTAAAAGTTATAAAGCTGTTAAAATAATCTCTTTCCTATTGTGGTTGTGTTTTTTGAGGAATTAACCACTTCATCAAAGTTGTCAAATTTATATGGGTAAAGCTATTTGTGGTATTCCCTGTCTTTGTTTTCTGTTGCTTATAACAGAATACCTGAAACTGGGTAATTTATAAAGAAAAAGGATGTATTTCTTACAGTTATGGAGGCTGAGAAATCCAAGGTCACAGGGCCACATCAGGTAAAAAACTTTCTTGCTGGTGGGGACTCTGCAGAGTCCCAAGGCAGTGCAGGATATCACAGGGCCAGGGGGCTGAGTGTGCTAGCTGAGGTCTGTTTTGCTCTTATAAAGCCACCAGTTCCCATGATAACCCATTAATCCATTTATGAGGGCTTATAAAGACTCCACTTCTCAATACATTGGGAATTAAATTTCAACATGAGTTTTGGAAGGGACGGATATTCAAACCATAGCATTCCCATATTACCCTTTGATGTCTGCAGGGTCTGTAGTACTGTCCCGTTTCATTACTGATATTGGAAATTTCCAGTATCAGTGTCTCGTCTCTTCTCTCTCCTCTCTCTCTCTCTCTCTCTCTTGCTCACTCACTCCCTTGTCAATCTTGCTAGAAGTTTGTCAATTTTATTGACCTTTTCAAAGAACCAGTTATTTATTTCATTGACTTTCTGTGTTTTCTGTTTTCAGTTTTGTCAGTTTCTGCTCCTTATTATTTCTTCTGCTTGCTTTATTTTGCTCTACTTTGTCTAGGTTCTTGTGGTAGGAGTTTACCTTTTTCGTTTGAGACTTTTCCCCTTTTCTAATATATGACTTAGTACTATTAATTTACATCTCAGCATGGCTATAGCTGTATCCACAGATTTTGGTGTGTCATATTTTCATTTTCATTCATTTCCCTATTTTTTTTCTAATTTCCCTTAAGGTTTCCTCTCTGTTCCGTGGATTATTTAGAAACATGTTGTTTAGTTTCCAAGTATTTGGAGATTTTCCTGTTATCTCTGTGTTAGTGATTTCAAGCTTGATTTCATTGTGGCTGGGGAATGTCACTCTGTATGATTTCAGTTCTTTTAAATTTGTTGAGGTTTGTTTTATGGCAGGATAATCATCTGTCTTATGTTCTATGAGCACTTGAAAAGAATGTGGGCTAGGCACTGTAGCTCATGCCTGTAATCTTAACACTTTGGGAGGTCAAGGCAGGAGGATCACTTGAGCCTAGGAGTTCAAGAACAGCCTGGGCAACATGGCGAAACTCGGTCTTTAAAAAATACAAAAATTAGCTGGGCATAGTGGCATGCACCTGGAGTCCCAGCCACTCAGAACGCTGAGGTGGGAGGATTGCTTGAGCTCAGGAAATTGAGGCTGCAGTGAGCCATCATCGAGCCACTGCACTGCAGCCTGAGCAATAGAGTGAGATCCTGTCTAAAAAAACAAATAACAACAACAAAAGAATGTGTAGTCTGCTATTGTAGGATGGAGTGTTCTATAAATGTCATAGGTCCTGTTGGTTGATGGTGGTGGTTTTTCTATATCCTTGTGGATTTTTGGTCTAGTTATCCTATCCATTGTTGAGAGAGGAATATTGAAGTCACCACCATCTATTGTGAATTTGTTTCTCCTTTTAGTTTTATCCATTTTTGTTTCACACATTTTACAGCATATACATTTTAAGATTGCAGTATGTTCTTAGTAGATATACCTGTTATTCATTGTACTCTGTCTCTGGTAATTTTTTTTCTTTTGCTCTGAAGTCTACTTTATCTGGTGCTAATATAGCTACTTCTACTTTCCTTTGATTAATGCTTACATGATAATATCTTTTTCCATCCTTTGATTTTCAATCAGCCTCTATAATTCTGCATAGTGAGTTTCTTATAGACAGCGTGTAGTTAGATCATGTTTTTAAATCCACTCCGCCAATCTCAATCTTTTAATTGATGTATTTAGACCTTTTATGCTTAATACAATTATAGTTGACCCTCTATATTCATGGGTTCCGTCTCTGTAGATTCAGTCAACTGTGGATTGAAAATACAGTAGACCCTTGAACAACACAGATTTGAACTGCGGCCATCTATTTATATGCAGATTTTCTTTCCCTTCTGCCAACCCACCTCCTCCTCAGCCTACTCAAGGTGAAGACAAAGATGAAGACAGACCTGTGTAATGATCTACTTCCACTTAATGAATAGTAATTGTGATTTTCTTTTCTTTCTTTCTTTTTTTTTGAGATGGAGCCTCGCTCTGTCACCCAGGCTAGAGTTCAATGGTGCGATCTTGGCTCACTGCAACCTCCGCCTCCCGGGTTCAAGTGATTCTCCCACCTCAGCCTCCTGAGTAGCTGGGATTACAGGCACCTGCCATCATGCCTGGCTAATTTTTGTATTTTTGTAGAGACGGGGTTTCACCATGTTGGCCAGCCTGGTCTTGAACTCCTGACGTCGGGTGATCCACCCACCTCAGCCTCCCAAAGTGCTGGGATGCAGGCGTGAGCCACTGGGCCCAGCCTGTGATTTTCTTAATAACGTTTTCTTTTCTGTAGCTTGTTTTATTGTAAGAACACAGCATATAATACATACAGCATAAAAAATTTATGTTAAACAACTGTTTATGTTATCAGTAAGGTTTCCAGTCAACAGTAGGCTGTCAATAGTTAAGTTTTTGGGGAGTCAAAATTTATAGAGATTTTTTGACTGCTCGAGGGGGTTGGCACTCCTAACCCCCACATTGTTCAAGGGTCAACTGTATTTGAAAAAAATAAAAAGTAAAAGATAACAATACAACAACAAAAATAATACAGATTTTAAAACAATATAGTGTAACAACTGTTTACATAACATTTGCATTGTGTTAGGTGTTGTAATAATCTAGAGTTGATATAAAATATATGGGAGGATATGCATGGGTTATATGCAAATACTACACTATTTTCTATAAGGGACTTCAACATCCTCTGATTTTGGTATCCATGGAAGTCTTGGAACCAGTCCCTGGTGAATACCGAGAGATGACTATATTTTGTTTCTTTCTGTTTATTCTCTTTTTCATTTATCTGCTTTCTTTTTGTAGCCTTCCTGTGGGTTACTTGAATGTTTTTTAGAATTCCATGTGATTTATCTATGATGTTTCTGAGTATATCTCTTTGTATGTAGCCCTTTTAGTGGTCCCTCTAGGTATTACATTGTGTGTACATAACTTACCTTTACCTAGCAAAGTATAGAAACTTTATTTCCTTTTATGTCTCTTTACTCTGCCCATTTATCATATAAATGTCTTAAACATTTTCTCTACATACATTTAGAACCATGTCAGATGGCATTACAATTTTTGCTTCAACTGTCAAACATAGTTTTGAAAACTCAAGAGGATAAGGAAAGCCCGTTGCATTTACACATATTTTTGTATGCCATGTTCTTTCTTCCCCCTTAATGTTCCAGGATTTCTTATCATTTTCTTTCTGTTTAGAGAACTTTCTTTAGCCATTCTTTTACAGTAAGTCGGCTGGTGACAAATTCTCTTTGTTTTCCTTCTTCTCAGAAGTCTTGATTTCCACTTCATTCCTGATGCACATTTTTTGCTGAGTATATGGTTCTGCGTTGACTGTTTGTTTGTTTCAGCACCTGAAAATTATTGTGTAACTTCTTTCTGGCCTACATGGTTTCTGATGAGATTGTCATTAGAATTGTTTTCTCCCCTCTGGGCATGGTGGCTCACACTGTAATCCCAGCATTTTGGGAGGCTAAGGTGGGTGGATCACTTGAGGCCAGGAGTTTGAGACCAGCCTGGCCAACATGGTGAAATCTACCTCTACTAAAACTACAAAAATTAGCCGGGAGTGCTGGTGCCCACCTGTAATCCCAGGTACTTGAGAGGCTGAGGCAGGAGAATCATTTGAACCTGGCAGGCGGAGGTTGCTATGAATGGATTTGGCACCATTGCACTCCAGCCTTGGTGACAGAATGATACTCTGTCTCAAAAAAAAAAATTGTTTCTTCCCTGTAGACAAGGTATAATTTTTCTCTGGATGCTTTCAATATTTTTTGTTGTTAGTTTTCAGAAATTAAATTATGAAGAGTCTTGGGATAAATTTCTTTGGGGTTCACTCAGCTTCTTGATATATAGATTTATGTCTTTGCCAACTTTGTGGCGTTTTCAGCCATTATTTCTTTTGAGTACTTTTTCAGCCTGCCCTCTTGGTCCCACAGGTTCCCTGAAGCTCTGTTTATATATTTTTCAGTAGTTTTTTCTCTGTTGTTCAGATTGGGTAATTCCTATTGTTCCATCTTCCAGCTCACAGATTTTTTTCTTCCCTCCATTCTGCTGTTGAGCCCATCCACTGAAGTTTTTCTTTGTTACTGAAATTTTCATTTCTAAAATTTTCACTTGTTTCTTTATATCTTCTTTTTCTTTTTCGAGGCTTTCTATTCCTTCATTTGTTTGAAGTATATTCATAATTGCTTATCGATACATTTTAATCGTACTGTTTTAATGTCTTCATCAGATAATTCTGACATCTTTGTCTCTTTGTCATCTTGGTGTTGACATGTGTTGATTGTCTTTTTTTCTTTTTCTTTTTTTTTTTGAGATGGAGTGTCGCTCTTGTTGCCCAGGCTGGAGTGCCATGCCACAATCTCTGCTCACTGCAACCTCCACCTTCCGGGTTCAAGTGATTCTCCTGCCTCAGCCTCCCAAGTAGCTGGGATTACAGGCACGCGCCACCATACCTGGCTAATTTCTATATTTTTAGTGGAGATACGGTTTCACCATGTTGGCCAGGCTGGTCTTGAACTCCTGACCTCAGGTGATCTACCAGCCACAGCCTTCCAAAGTGCTCGGGTTACAGGTGTGAGCCACCACGGCATACCGATTGTCTTTTTTCATTCAGTCTGAGTTCCTCCTGGTTCCTGGTATGAGTGATTTTTATATTGAGATTCGGACATTTCTGTATAATGTTCTGAGACATCTGTTGAGGCTGTTTTGTCTGTTTAGGCTGTTTAGTCTAATGTTTAGACTAAACAATCTCTGACACCATTCCTGGTAGGAGAAGGGGGTCCGTACCTCATCACTGCCAGGTGGAGGTAGAAGTCCAAGTTCCTCACTCAGCCTCCATTGACACCCAAGAAAAAGGTCTCCCCACTACTGCTGAGTGGAGGTGTACTGCTGGGTGGGTGTGGCAGTCCCAACTCCCCACTTGGTCTCCACTGACATTGGAGTGGAGGTGGCATCATTACCACTGGGCAGTGGTGAAAGTCCTGACTAGGTGTCCTGTGATGCTACCTCATTACTGCCAAGTAGAAGTGGAAGTTTAGGCTCCCCGTGTGGTCTCCACTGACACTGGGGCTGGTGGGGATGGAATGCCTGCTCCTACTTTGTCTTCCTTCACACCATCCCTGCAGGAGTGTTGAGGGTGCCTCATTACAGACTTATGAGAGTGGGAGTCTAGGCTCTCCAATCAGCCTTTGCCACCGTGGGTGGAGGCCGCCTTATTTTCTGTAGTGTTTGGCTGGAGTAGAGCGTTTGTTGTCCAAAAGTTTTTTGTCTTGCGAGGGTGCCCATTCCCCTACTCCTTTGGCTAGAGAGAGCAGGTTTTTGTTGGGGTTTTTGTGTCTGTGCCCATTGGTGCTTCCAGGTTGCCAGCTTCTTCAGCTCCAGGGCTTGGGTCTATGAGGCAGAAAGAAAACCTGGGGAACTCAGCACTGTGTCACTCCCCAGGTTCTGGGGTCCCTAACCAGTCTGCTTTCTTCTTGTATTTGCTTTATATATAATGTCCAGGGGTTTTAGTTATACTTAACAAAAAGAATAGGGAAATGTATGCCTACTCCATCTCCCGAGAAGCTTAAGTTTTCTATTTGTATTCATGTGTGTGTGTGAACAGAATTTTTGTTTATATTAATATTTATAAATAAGTAGAATATGCAAACATACTTTAGTTACCTGAAGAACTTACCCAGTTTCCAGTGCCAGGTCATAAATCGGGGGAGGGCAGGAGGTCATTTGTATATATATTCTGTGTACACCCTCTTCTAAGTTAAGAATCCCTTTTTTAGAAATGTACTGTCTAGCAAAAAAGGTCCTGTCTAGTGGAGGGAACAGGCACATAGTATTAGTGTAATACAAGCCACAGCTTCACATATTTTCTATAAGGGACAGCTGTAAACTAAGCATTATGTGAGCCTAGAGTAATTTCCGGAAATATGTATGGGAAGTCTCCTTGATTCCCCTCCTCCGCATGTTCTTCCTGTTCTGCAGTACACTTCCCTTACAGTGTTAGCCTCTCTGGTTAACATTGTATCTCTCTTCCCTTGTCAAGAATTTAGCACACTGTATGGGCAAATAGTATATGCTAAGGAAACATTTCTAGATAGAGGGAAAGATGAGTAGCAATCAACAAAACTTCAGAATATGCTGAAGGGTTAATGTTTATCCAGCTTCTTTTACTTATTTATTAAACAAACAGTGAGTGGGAACTGCTTGGCAGACAGCAGCAGATGCTGGGGAAACCACAAGTAAAGCTGTAACACTATACCATTCAGCTGGGAAGAGAAATAAACTCATCATTTTAACCCAAGATAGTAGTCCTCCAGTGTACTCTGAACACTGCAACCAGATGGATTATTGAACAAGAACCTATTTCATCATACGACTTGTTCTTCAGAAGGGAAAGCACATAGAGAATATATACAGTGCAAGGTTCCCACACCTCAGTGGCCATGGGACTGACCTTGCAAAGTTTTAAAATTGTAGATTCCCAAGCATATCTGCTCCCCCACCACATTGATTCTGATTCCGTAGATCTGGTGTGGAGCCCAGGAATCTGTAGTTAAATTGTTCCTCCTTGATTCTGATAAACAGCCAGGTTGGGAACCTCTGGTATAGTGGAAAGAGTACATACAGCCTTTGGAGTCAGGCGGGCTTGAGATGAATCCCAAGTCTGACACCTGCTTGCTGTGTGGACATCACTGAACCTCTCTGAGCCTTGTGCTGCTCAGCTTGTGGATGAGGAATACAATAAATACCTAGCACATTGCCTGATGTATGATGGGGGTTTTTTCAACAACAAAAGAAAAATGCTTTCCTCCTATTCAAGAACTTGTATTGGCGATTCTTACATCTGAACTCCTATCTCTGGGCTCTAAACCCAGTCGTTCTTTCCATAGGCTAGTTATTCAAAGGTGGAAATTTTGGAGATTTTCTTATCCATAAGTTTATTTTATATTGAAGAAGATAAAATTCATGGAAATCACACAGCCAGGTACTGTAAGAGCCAGGGCTAGAACCCAGATCAGTCCTCCAGTGTACTCTGAACACTGCAACCAGATGGATTATTGAACAAGTACCTATTTCATCTTACGACTTGTTCTTCAGAAGGGAAAGCATGTATAGAGAGAAAATATACATGTTCCCTCTGTCCCAGTTCTGGAAATAGTCTAAAAGTGGGCTGGAGTACAACCAAATCTAGAATTATGATTACCCCATCAGAATGAATCTAGCAGGACCCTCCCAGTGTAGACGAGATCAACTACCTGTAGGAAAAACTCACCCCAAGAGAAGAAGAGCATGGCAGGTTTTATCTAGAATCCGATTCGGAATAGCTGATATCAGCACTCTACAAATGACAGAACCAGATCTTGCATTATGACCACTAATTCAATGAGCATTTATTGAATACCTACTGTGTGCCAAAAGCAATTAAGAAACCAGTCAAAAATCACTGATTCTAGTATTCTAGTGAAAGGAGAGAAACAGTAAACAAACAGGTAGATGATCTGGTTTGACAGCTGTTGTGAAGTGCTAAGGAAGAAAATTTTAAAGGCAAGGAAAGGAGATGAGGAGTAAGCATGGGTAGCAGTGTTAATAGGGGTGATCAGACAAGGCGTCACTTGAGCAAAGCCCTGAAAGTGGTAAAGGAGCGAGCCCTGAGGACATGGGGGAGAGAACAGCAAGTGCAAAGGCCCTGACCAAATGATTTCATCTGAATGGATGTGTGAGGCCTGGCTCACCTGCCACAATGGCATCTCTGTCTCATCTCTGCCTTTATTAGGTGCTATGACTTTTCTCCCTTCTGGCCTTTGCTTGTGACAGGCCTTGCACCTTGAGCAGCCTTCTCACATAGCCCAAAGTGTATAGTACCCCAGCTCAACACAGATCCTTCTCCCTCTTCCTTGTTCGTATTCATTCTGTTTCCAAATTCCTTTTGCACTTTTTCCCCTCCCTTTTTCACTTCTTGATTGTGTGATACAGTAAGTACCTTGGGATCTAAGTATCTGTAAAGTATAACACCGTCTCCTGTACAGATTGTTCCATTTGTCTTCACCACCTTTACACCATGGCCCAGGGATCTTACTTATAGCCCACCCCTGTTACAAGTTAGGTAGAGGGGAGGGGAATAGGCTTGCCGGGGGCAGTGAGTTCATTCATGCTGTCCAATCACAGATCTCATCTCCCACCTCTCCAGTGCCTACTTGCCAACTACTTTCCAGGACCACAGTGGAGGGCCACTAAACTAGAAAGGGATTAGGTGTCCATTAGCAGTCAAGAACTGTTTGCTCATGCTTATGTTTATTCATGTTTATTCAGTCACTCTGAGCTCTGGGTGGTTTTGTCTACTCATCCAGAGAATCCGTTTGTTCTGAATGCCTCATCCCAGTATAACTTTCTGGACCAGAATGCCCCTGTTGCTGTTGGTTATAAATATCAAACTTTGGTGCAGCACCACTCTAAGTAATCAGGGTTGCATTTTATAGGAATAGAATGTAGGATTCCTAAGGCTCTAAATCTCTAAACAATTCTTTCTGTAATTGACATATTGTCACACAACTGTGATTTCATGGCCATCCCATAAAGCTATATGATTGCCTTTTATAGTCATGTCAAAGTAGCAATGTGTTATGCCAAAGTAGCAATGTGTTATGCTGTCTTCCTTAGAGAAAGCTGGTTTATATATTTCTGAGCCTATAACCCAGACTTTTGAAGATCTCTGATTGTGGTAAATCTTCATCTGTATAGTATTTCATAGAATGTACTACAGTTTATTTATCCATTCTACTACAGATAGGCATTGAGGTAGTTTTCATTTTAGGGTGATTGTGTATAGTAAATTCCAGAATATATCTTTTGATAAGCTTATATGTACATTTCTATTGGGTATATATCAAAGAATGGAATTGCTAGATCATAGAGCATATATATATTCACCTTTGAAATAATAGATACTGCCAACGAGTTTTCCGTACTAGCTGCACTGATTTATACGCCCACCAGCATTGAATGAGAGTTTTAGTTGCTTTGTATCCTTGCCAGCACCTAGTATTTTCCCTTTTTTAAATTTAGCTCTTCTCATGGATGTGTAATGATATTTCATTGTGGTTTTAAATTGCATTTTCCTGACTAATGATATTTAAAGTCTTGTCATATGTTTATTGGCTATTTGGCTATCCTTTTTTGTGATATGTCTATTCAGGTCCTTTTTCATGTTTCTGTTAGGTTGTCTTTCCTTTTTTAAATGATTTTTTAAAAATCTTTTGTATATTATAGATATGAGTGTTTTGTCAGATATATAGCAAGTATCTTCTGTCACTTTTTGAATTGCCTTTTCACTCTGTAATAGTGTCTTCTGATGAAGAGAAGTTCTTAAATTTTAAGGTAGTCCAATTTATCAGTTTTTTTCTTTTTGTGTCCTATTTAAGAAATCTTTGCCTACTCCAGGATCACAGAGATGTTCTTGTCTGTTTCCTTTGGAAAGCTTTATTGTTTTACATTTCACATTTAAATAGGATGTGATGGAATCAAGATACATACATATATATATATATATATATATATATATATTTTTTTTTTTTTTCATATGAGTAGCCAAGTGACATAGCACCTTTAATTGAAAAGGCCATTCTTTTCACCCCTTCATTTTACTGTCATATTTGTCAGGTGTGTAGCTGGACTCTCTATTCTATGTGTGGTCTATTTCTGAACTCTGTTCTGTTCATTTTTCTTTATGCCAAGTATACACTGTCCTTTAATTATTGTATCTTTATAGTAAACCTTGAAATCAGTTAGTGTAAGTTCTGTAACTGCATTCTTATTTTTGAAGATTGTCTTTTCTATTTTGGGTCCTTTGCATTTCTCTATCAGTTTTAGACTCATCATATTTCTGCAGAAATCCTACTGGGATTTTGATTAGGATTATGCTGACTCTACCAATGGTACCAAATCCAGGGACAATTTTTGTCCTTGACAGGACATCTAGCAATGTCTGGAGACATTTTTGTTTGTTACACCTGGGTTGGTGCTACTAGCAGCAGATAGATGGATGGCCAAGATACAGAGGCCAAGGATGCTGCTAAATGCCCTGCAATGCACAAGACAGCCCTCCACCAACAAGTAATTATCCCACCCAAAATGTCAATAGTGCTGCTGTTGAGAAACTCTGCACAAATGTAATCGCTGTTTTAGTTGTACTTCAGACTTCTGTCTGCCATCTTACTTTTTGTTTTCAATTTGGCTCACTAGTTTTATTTCTTTTTTTTTGCATTTTTGCCCTTTTTTTGATTAATCAAAAATAGTATCCCATTTTTTACTGCCCTGTAATCTTGTTAGGTAGCTATTCTTTTACAATTATCTTAGAGCTTACTCTACAGATTTCAACATGCATTTAACATCTTGACATGTTATGGTCTAATACAGATTATTTTATCACTTCATTACACTACTAGACTCTTAGACACTTAACTCCTTCCCCCTCCCTACCTTTTGTGAATTATTCTTGTCTTGCATTTTAGTTTTATATATACACAAACTACAGAAGACATAATAGTTATTGTTTTGTACAGTTAATTTTTTTATATTTACCTATTTCATTTTCTTCATTCCCTCTTATAGTTCCATGCTTCTGTCTAGGTTTATTTTCTTACATTGTTTTTTCTTTTAGTGTTGCCCTGATAGCAATGAATTCCCTCAGGTTTTGTTTGTTGTAAATATCTGAATTTCACCCTTGTTTTTTTTTTTTTTTAGACCTGCTCACTCTGTCACCGAGGCTAGAGTACAGTGGCACAATCACAGCTCATTGCAGCCTCAACCTCCCAGGCTCAATCGATCCTTCCAACTGAGCCTCCCTAGCAGCTGGGACTATTAGTGCACACCACCACACCTAGGTAATTTTTGTATTTTTTGTAGCGATGGAGTTTCGCCATGTTGCTTAGGTTGGTTTCAAACTCCTGGGCTCAAGTGATCCACCCACCGCAGCCTCTCAAAGTGCTGGGATTATAGGTGTGAGCCACCCATGCCCAGCCTTACCTTTTTATTGAAAGATGTTGTTTTTATAGGCTGTAAAATTCAAAGTTGGTTCCCTAGTCCATAGATTAAAAAAAAAAAAAATCAAAGTTGGGAATTATTTTCTTTAGATAGCATTCTATTGACTCCTGGATTTTGTCATTTCTTTTGAGAAGTCAGCTGTCATTTTTATTGCTTCACTGCTTTTTAAGGTTTTCCTCTTTTTCTTTGTTTTTCAGCAGTTTGACTATGATGTCTGTGTGTTCTTTTCTTTGTATTGGCCAAATAATTGGGTTGCTGAGTTTCTTAAATCTGTGGGTTGATCTCTTTCATTTGTTTTGAACATTTTAGTATTGCTTCTGCTCTATGCTGTCTTCTGAGACTCATTTATTCACGTCTTTTATTCCACGTCTTTTATGTTCTTATCTGTGTTTACCATTCATTTTTCTAATTGAGTTTGAATATTTTTTATTGACCTATCTTCCAAATCATTAATCTTGTCTCCTGCTAAGTCCAATTTACTGTTAATATCTTATATTAAATTCTTAATTATAGATACTGTAGTTCTCAGTTCTAAAGTATCCATTTGATTTTTTTTATAGATTTCAGCCAATTCTGTGATAAAATTATTTATCCTTTCATTTACTTTGGTCTTTTCCTCTGTTTCTTGACTTTATTAATCTTGGTTATTTCAAAGTTCTTGACTACTAAACTTCAGTAATTGGGCCATCCATAGGTCTGCTTCTAATGTCTGTTTTTTCTCTTGATTACTAGCTGTGGGCATTTACCTCCACACATGCTTAAAAAACTTATTATATACCAAACATTATATAAAAGAATCATAGTGGATGCATATATCTTCCACCATCAAGGTTTGCCCCTTTCTTCTGTTAATTAAATACTTCAGTCTAGTCTGACGTATTTCAGGGATTGAGCTAGGTCACTGCTGGGTTGCAATCCTGGTAAGCCCCAAACTTACTTTGGTTCATCCTTATTAGAGTATGGTCCTCCAGGGCTTTCAGTTGAAAGCCTAATAGGCTATTTGTCTCCTTAGACATGAAAGCCTTTAGGAGGTTCACTTCTGCCCCTAAGGTTTTCAGCTTAGTTATTTAGCCTACCACTACTTCACATCATTTCAAAATTGACTAAATGTCTTGAGGAAGACCCCAACCAAGTAAGTATTTCGAGTCCATCAAATCTCCAGCTTTGTTACCCCAGCTTTGAAGAATACCAAAATCTCTACTGGGTTGTCTTCAGCAGCAGCCTTCTTCCAGAAGTTGGGTATTTGGAGGTCCCTCAAGATTGCAGTTTTGTCTGTCCAGCCCCAGGTGACCATCGAAAGCATTGTGGTTTCTCTTTCCCCAATGATAACCACACCCTAATCCCAAGCCCACGTCCAGGATCAACACATGCACCAAAGGCTCGTGCGCACACACCAAAGGCGCGCGCGCACACACACACACACACACACACACACACACAAGCTATTGATTGTTGATTCCCTCTGAACATTCTCAGTCTGTTAGTCCATCTAGTCCTTGTTGCTTCCACAAGTATTGGATGCTTTAAGAAATGATTTTTGTAATTTATTTGGCTTTTTCTAGTCATTGGCAGGAGTATTAGCCTGCCAAACCATACTATATCCTACTTGGAAGCAGAATCTGTACAGATGTTTTTGAGGGCTTGCCATGTGCCAGATGCTCTTGTAGCTTCTAGGTATAGGATTGCCCTGCCCTCTCAGAGCCTCTAGTCTAAACTAGGTAAAACAGACATATACACAAATAATACAGCATGCCAAATACTGTCATAGAGGTGTGTACAGGGGTAGGAAAAAGGAGACAAATGTGAACTAGCACCACCTGTTTAGAAAATTGCAAGTTTTATAAATTTTACATGATTGCAGGTTAGAGATCAAAGTGGTAGAATAATGAAAAATGAGGTTGGCAAGACAGGCAGAAGCCTGATGGTGAAAGGCCCCGTATGCCATGGTAATGCTTAGGTATAGCTTCTACCTAGAAGTATCTGCCCTTCATGCAGGATGGAGAGCAGTTTAAGAATTAAGCCTAGAGAATTGCGATCAGATTTTTCTTTTAGAAAGATTACTTAAGTGTCATTGTGAAATGTGAATTCGAGGAGGGCAAGAAACAAGCCAAAGGGCCAGAGAGGAAACTGTGAGAGTTGACCCAATATGAAACACATTGGTTATCATCATCAGCAGATTTGAAAGGTGTCAAAGGGGTGGAATTGATGAAATGTAGGGAATGTTGGGATTAAGAGAGGGTGAAAGAAAACAGAGATTCTAGGGTTTCTAGCTTGACTATAAATCACCAAGGGAATATGGCAGAAAGCGATGAGGTCAATGTTAGACATACTGTGTATTCCCATTTCATTAGCTCTATTACGGTTTTTGTTATATAATCTGAGAATGTAGTTTAGGAACCACCACCCTGTCAGGGGGCGGACCCCAAGTTATCTTCTTGAAACTCCTACAGTGAAATAAGAGAGAGAGCCCTAGGCCATTGCCTTCACCCTGGATTTTACAAGACACCCTCTGATTTTGTCCATTTTGTATACCAGGCTTCCACTTAAACATTGTATTTGAAGAAAATTCTCCATACTAAAAGAAAAAAAATTCCTCAGCAGTGTAAGTGTCTTCTTCTGGTGGGATATGTGGGTAATACCCTCTCTTGCATGTTGTTCTTCCATCTTGACAGAAGAACATCTTCAGTGGCATTTGGGGGCCACAATCCTTTATTTGCAGTAAGTAGGTGCTATTCCACTGTCTTCTAGCATCCATTGTTGCCAATGAGGAGTTCAAAGCCAGTTTCTTTTTCTTTTATTTGTTATTTGTCATTTCCTCCTCAAAGCATATGTGATTTTTCTCTTCATATTTAGAGTGAAGGAATTTTACCAGAATGTGGTCAGGTGTGTATCCTTCAAGGCTTTTCGGTCTCCAGATAAATCTTTTTGCAGCTAAGGGAAATGTTTCTCCTTTCAAATTCCCCCTTACATGCTGGTTCTTCCAGATCTGTCCTCCAAGTCTCACAGTTTGCGTCTCTGCATCCCTGCTTTGGGTAAGACAGGTCCACTTGATCTACTAGGCCACTAATTGGGTTTTGGCAATTAACTGTCTTTTTAAAAATTTCATCAGTGGAGCTTTTTTGTGTGTGGAAAATTATGCTTTTAATTCTAAGAGACATCTTTGGTGTCATAATTGAACTTGGTCTTTTTATTATTATTATTATTAAAATTCTTATCTGCCTCTTTTTCTGGTTCTGTTAATCTAAGATTCACCACCTCAAGGAGTGCTCAAATGCTTTTTCTACCCATGACTGCTGGATCCCATTAAGCAATTCTCTTTCTTTCCTACTTCTTGATCCAACTACCAGTATCTCAGGCAGGGAGGTGGCAAAGCAGCCTCTGGTTCATCAGTGTATGAGCCAGTGCACATGGGATGTCATTAGACCCCAGCCAAGCTTTGTGGCTGCCACGCGTGGCATTTTTCTAGCCTGAGATAGGGAAGAGTCAAGCTTCTTCCCTTCTCTGGCTTCTTGGGGCCACAGAGAGCATGAGATACACCCCAACGAAGCCTCACAGTGACGAACAGTGCCCTTCCTCATAGGGTTCCAGGGAGGTCAGTAGACCAGACTCTCCAGCGTATCAGAGTCTCTCCATGGGGAAATTTGGCACCAGCTCTCTTTCTGGACTGAGCAGGCCTTGCTCACGCCCGCTGGCACGACTTGCCTGCCAATCTATAGCCACCGAGTTCGGGAGTGTTCATGGAATTGGGGGTAGACAGAAGCAGCACAAGCACTTTCTTATCATCTCTTCAAAAGCCCCCAGCAAGTAGAGAAAAAAGAAAGACCACAAGACCACCAGACTAGATGATCTCTAAGCCTCCATCCAATGCCGACATTTTACAGTTATACACATTTATGGTCTCCAACTCAGCTCAGTCCTCAGTACCCTTGGGCCACACTTTTGTAAGTCTTCCCAGCATGCTCTGCTTCCCCAAAGGGAGTATTTGAGACTTTTATTTCTCTCCTCAAGCCCTCTGTTTATCCTTCTCCTTGTTCACTGTCAGCCCATGACTTTGAATTTCTCTTCACAAAAAAAAAGACAGACTCTTGGATATTGAGTTGTTCTTTGCTTTCCTGTAATCCTTTCTCCTTTGCCTGCTCGCCTGCTTGCCTGCCTGCTGTCCATCTTTCCATCCTGCTGGACTCTGTCTTCTCCTGTGTGTTCTGTGATAGTGTGTGCTCCCAGTTTTCCCATCTCTCTGGGTACCCCCTTTCGCTTTATGTTGCTGTCAGTCTCACCCAGTTCTGATCCTTCTCCCATATTACAGGCTCCTGGGGGATCTTTTCAGTGCATAAAGTTGACCATATCACCCCTTGCTTTAAACCTCTTAATGACAGGAACAGGCAAAACATGTCTGTAGTGATAGAAGTCATAAGAGTGGTTACCTCCAGGCAGGTGAAATAGGAATCAATTGCAAAAGGACATGAGGGAGCCTTCTAGGTTGTTGGAATTATTTTGTATCTTACTTCGGGAAGTGGTTACATTGTTCTATACAAACACAAAAATTCACTGAGCTGTACATTAAGATAGTGCATTTTACTATATGTATACCTCAGTTTTAAAAAGATGAAACCTGAAGGTTTAAATCCAAACTCCTGAAGGTTAAAATCCGAACTCCTGAAAATAGTCCACAGATTCCTATTCCTTCCTCCCTCAAGTCTTGCCTCGAGCATAATTTTCTTGTGAGACCCATCCTGGCTTCCTCAGGATATGACTTCCACACTCAGGACTGTAAGCTTAGGCCTGTCCTAATCCTGAAGAGACTTTATTGTAACTGTACATGTACTTCCCTCACTAGACAGGGGGCTCAGTTTCATTGCACCCCTAGTGCCTTGTGCAGTGGCTGGCACATAGACCCCAGGTAAATGTCTGTTGAATGAATGAATGCAAGTTCACTTCATACTTGCTTTGAACTTGACATTTTTACTGAACAGTTTCCTTCCTCCAGCCTGCAGGATGTTTCCTCAATGAGGGGAAGGCTGCTGCACAATGGCAGTTTTTGATACTCCTGAGGAGGCCTTTGGTGTCTTACGTCCAGTCTGTGTTCAGCTCACAAAGACCCAGACAGTGGAGAATGTGGAGCATCTGCAGACACGACTACAAGCTGTGAGTGACAGTGCCCTTCAGGAACTTCAGCAGTACATCCTCTTCCCTCTGCGATTTACCCTGAAGACCCCAGGTCCCAAAAGAGAGCGTTTGATCCAAAGTGTGGTGGAATGCCTCACATTTGTCCTTTCTTCAACATGTGTGAAAGAACAGGAGCTTCTCCAGGAACTCTTTTCAGAACTCTCTGCTTGTCTGTATTCACCCAGCTCCCAAAAACCTGCGGCTGTGTCCGAGGAGTTGAAATTGGCTGTGATCCAGGGACTTAGCACATTAATGCACTCAGCTTATGGGGACATCATTCTGACTTTTTATGAGCCCTCCATTCTGCCACGTTTAGGATTTGCTGTATCTTTACTGTTAGGCCTTGCAGAACAGGAGAAATCAAAGCAAATTAAAATTGCTGCCTTAAAATGTTTACAGGTTCTACTCTTGCAGTGTGATTGTCAGGACCATCCAAGGTCATTGGATGAACTTGAACAAAAGCAGCTGGGGGATTTGTTTGCCTCTTTTTTACCTGGAATCTCAACTGCACTGACCAGGCTTATCACAGGAGACTTTAAACAAGGTCACAGCATTGTCGTATCTTCCCTAAAGATCTTTTACAAGACAGTGAGCTTCATTATGGCTGATGAACAGCTCAAAAGAATCTCAAAGGTCCAAGCAAAACCTGCAGTTGAGCACAGAGTAGCAGAGCTGATGGTTTACAGGGAAGCAGATTGGGTAAAAAAGACTGGCGACAAGTTGACTATCCTTATTAAAAAGATAATTGAGTGTGTTTCTGTTCACCCACACTGGAAGGTGAGACTGGAACTGGTAGAACTTGTGGAGGACCTTCTTTTGAAGTGCAGTCAATCATTGGTCGAATGTGCTGGTCCCCTTCTGAAGGCCTTAGTGGGACTAGTAAATGATGAGAGTCCTGAAATCCAAGCCCAGTGCAATAAAGTTCTGAGACATTTTGCAGATCAAAAAGTAGTGGTGGGCAACAAAGCCCTCGCTGACATCTTGTCAGAAAGCCTGCATTCCCTTGCCACATCTCTTCCTCGCCTAATGAACTCCCAAGATGACCAGGGCAAATTCTCTACTCTTTCCTTGTTACTTGGTTATCTGAAACTCTTGGGCCCAAAAATAAACTTTGTCCTCAACTCTGTGGCCCATCTCCAGCGGCTTTCCAAAGCACTCATCCAAGTTCTAGAGCTAGACGTGGCTGACATCAAGATTGTTGAGGAACGGCGTTGGAACTCTGATGATCTGAATGCTTCTCCAAAGACCTCAGCCACACAGCCTTGGAACCGCATCCAGAGGAGATATTTCCGCTTCTTCACTGATGAGAGAATCTTCATGCTCTTGAGGCAGGTTTGTCAGCTACTTGGTTATTATGGGAATCTTTATTTGCTTGTGGATCACTTTATGGAACTTTACCATCAATCTGTGGTTTACCGGAAGCAAGCTGCCATGATCCTTAATGAACTGGTTACAGGGGCTGCTGGGCTGGAGGTTGAGGATCTTCACGAAAAACATATTAAAACAAACCCAGAAGAACTGAGAGAGATTGTGACATCTATACTTGAAGAATACACAAGTCAAGAAAATTGGTATTTGGTTACCTGTCTTGAAACTGAGGAAATGGGAGAGGAGCTGATGATGGAGCACCCAGGCCTCCAAGCCATCACGTCTGGTGAACACACCTGCCAAGTTACATCTTTTCTAGCCTTCTCAAAGCCAAGTCCCACTATTTGCTCCATGAACAGTAACATCTGGCAAATATGCATTCAGTTGGAAGGAATTGGCCAGTTTGCATATGCACTAGGAAAAGACTTCTGTTTGCTCTTGATGTCAGCCCTTTATCCAGTACTGGAGAAGGCTGGAGACCAAACCCTACTCATTAGTCAGGTGGCTACCAGCACCATGATGGACGTTTGCCGTGCTTGTGGCTACGACTCCCTGCAGCACCTGATCAATCAAAATTCAGACTATTTAGTGAATGGGATCTCTTTAAATCTGCGTCATCTGGCTCTGCATCCTCATACCCCAAAGGTCCTGGAAGTCATGCTGCGGAACTCAGATGCTAACCTGCTTCCTTTGGTGGCAGATGTGGTTCAAGATGTCTTGGCCACCCTGGACCAATTTTACGATAAGAGAGCTGCTTCCTTTGTCAGCGTTCTGCATGCTCTGATGGCAGCATTAGGTACATTGAGAGCCCTTTTTAATGCTGATGTGTGGGGGACAGGACTCAGTCTCCTAGTTTGCTTAGCCTCGTTTTTTGCATTGTTTGTGGTGATGCTATGGAGGACGTTTTAATCATTTTCTCTCCAGTCCCATAGGTTATGGGGGGGTTTCACTGTTTATCTTTTATACTTTCAGTAATCTCTACCATTTATTGAGCTCCTGCTCTATGCCAGGGTATAAACCCTGCAGAATAAATGTAAATATTATTTCTATTTTATAAATAAGAAAAACTAAGGGTCAGTGACATCCTACTTAGCCAGGGTCACACAATTAATAAATGATAAAATCAGGATTTATGACAGTTTTGTTCTTTCCAGTATAGCAAACTGCTTCTGATGATGCATAGAGTTAGCAGTATCTATGCTAATGAAGAACAGATATAACGTGAATTATTCAGTCACATATTGTCTAGAACGGTACTAAGAGAAGTTTCTTTGATGATAGAAATAATCTTTATTCGTTCTATCCAGTACAGTTACCACTATACACATGTGGTTCGTGCACCTGAGGAACTGAATTCTATATTTTACTTAATTTTAATAGCCACATGTAGCTAGTGACTACCATACTGGACAGAGCAGGTCTAGAAACTTCCTTTTAACCTTTTAATTGTGTGAGTTGGTTTAAGTTTCTCTTCTTCCCACTGATCCTATTGGGTGCTTACCGAAGATGTTAGCCACTATTAGAATGGCAAAATTGGCTGGGGGCGGTGGCTCATGCCTGTAATCCCAGCACTTTGGGAGGCCAAGGCAGGCGGATCAAGAGGTCAGGAGATCGAGACCATCCTTGCTAACATGGTGAAACCCCGTCTCTACTAAAAAATAAAAAAAAAAAAATTAGCCAGACGTGGTGGCGGGCGCCTGTAGTCCCAGCTACTTGGGAAGCTGAGGCAGGAGAATGGCCTGAACCTGGGAAGCGGAGCTTGCAGTGAGCCAAGATCGCGCCACTGCACTCCAGCCTGGGTGACAGAGTGAGACTCTGTCTCAAAAAAAAAAAAAAAAAAAAAGGAATGGCAAAATTTTGGACTTCAATTATAAGGAAAGGAATCCTTCAACTGGATAGTCAATCTTTCAATGAGAAAATAATAAGCTGTATAGCTTGGGTCCCTTTTATTTAAAGAGCATATTTCCAGTATTTATCTCAGTACTGCTAATAGCCTCTGAGAAGGTGGAATGGTCACTGGCCTCATTTTGTCAGTTGAAAAAGCCAAGACCTTGTAAGAAACATTCTCATGGAAGGTAACTGGGGCAGGGACAGTGCACTGCCCTGTAGCTAATGCCATTTCCAGTGTTTGTTTATTCATGCATGAGCATTCACGTTCAGCATAAATGTTCCTTTTTCATTCATTCATTCAAGAGTGCCTGCCATATGTCAGACACTGTGCTAAGTAATGAAGATAGAGCAGAGAAAAAGACGAATAAACTCATGGAACTTCCCTGCCACTGCAAGAGAGATGATAAACAAGTAAACAAATCATTAGACAAGCTCACGGCAGATTCTGATAAACACCGTGAAGGAAATAAACACCTCAGTGTAACAGACACAGGCTCCTATAAGTTCAGTGGTCAGGGAGGGCCTCTCTGAGGAAGCAACACTAAAGCCAAAACCTGAAGGATGAGAAAGGCCCATCAACACATAGGGGGCTATCACATTTATTTTTAAGAACATTCAGGCCGGGTGCCGTGGCTCACACCTGTAATCTCAACACTTTGGGAGGCTGAGGTGGGCGGATTGCTTGAGCCCAGGAGTTCAAGACCAGCCTGGGCAACCTAGTATGGCCTCGTCTCTACTAAAAATGGAAAAAAATTAGTTGGGAGTGGCGGTACATGCCTGTAATTCCAGCTACTTGGGAGGTAGAAGCATCACCTAAGCCCAGGGAGGTCAGGGCTGCAGTGAGCCATGATTGCACCACTGCACTCCAGCCTGGGTGACAGAGGAAGACTGTCTCAAAAAAAAAAATAAATAAATAAAAATTCAGGTGGGAAGGCCCAGAAGGAAGAAGGGGCATGGGTCTTTGGAGAATGGAAAAGAGGCCTTTGTAGAGAGTGTTGCAAGATGAAGTTGGAAAGAAGGGCAAGGACAAATCCTGGTAGGGCCTTGAGGAGCAAGAGAAGGAGTTTGGATTTTATTTTGCAGCTACTTGGAAGCCTGTGTAGTGGGCTAGTCACTGGGGAGTCAGCCATGAATAAGACCCACTTAGGCCTGCCCTCGTGGAGCCCCTCATAGGACTGACTGGTTGCTTATGCAGACTAAGACTGGCTTCCATGGGCCAAATATATCCCACCTGTACTGCTTTAGCGACCTATGCTATGTTTCAATTTGAAATTTTTAAAATGTAGGTTAAGAAAAGCCCTGTGAAATATATCTCTCAAGAGGTATCTGAATTTGGGCCTTCAAAATTGAATTGTCTTAGATTGCTGATGTCTTCGGTCATCTCTGAAGGAGGAGTGTCAAGACTCCTGTGTAGCTTTGTAGTGCTTTTAAAAAAAAAAAAATGAGGTGGAGGGAGAGGGTCTCCCTTGCAGAAAGGAAAATTGAATGGTTAAGACTGACTCTGGGGCTTCCTTGGAACAGAAGCAAACTTAGAGCTAGCTTTTATGAAAGTTTTGAAATAACCCAGAATACACTCACTTTTTGAACAGGAAGTAGTACTCAGGTGGAGTTGGTATAGTCACTCATAAATCAGAGTAGTACCTTTTGCTGTCATTTCTGTTTGTCATAGAATTATCTAACTGACGTCCACTCTTTTAAGATGGGTGTGGAAATGTGTTCTCAGAGAACTTCTGAAAGGCCTTAGAAGAACCCAGTAAGAGCTTTAGGAAATTGAGTTATCATTAACATAGTGTGTCACATGCAGTGACTAAAAAAGCATTAGGTGCCACGGTAAGGGCAAGAAGCATCAGTTAATTACTGCTTAATCCCAACTGCTGGTTAGCTGATTATTCATAACAAGAAAAAAATAGGGTAGCTTTGAAAATAAGTATTTATGTCACATACTTCACAACTTGGAGAATGTGCTGCTGCATTCTTTTTATGGCTGCATAGTATTCCATCACGCGTCTGCACCATAGTGTATTTAACCAGTCCTTTCTTGGTAGACATTTTGGTCATTTCCAGTCTTTGGCCACCACAAAAAATGCTGCATTGAATATCTTTGTAGGTCATTTTGGACATGTCTCAGTATATTAATAGGATGAATTTCTGAAAAAAATGCTGGTTTAAAGGGTATTACGTTTAAATTTTTGAGAGAGTATCAAATTGCTCTCTAAGAGGTTGTACCAATTTAAACTCCATCAGCAATGTACGAGAGTGCCAGTTTTGCCACGCCATCACCCACACTGTGTATTACCAAGCTTTTGATCTTTGCTAATCCAATAGGAGAAAAATAGCACCTTATTATAGTTTTAATTTGCATTAAACGTGAGATTGAGCTTCTTTTCATATGTTTAAAAGCCATTTGTGAGCAAAGACATTTTAATGTCTGTCACCAGCCTTGAATCTAGAAATAATCTTTGCAGCATATCTAGTCTTAGCAGTGTAAATGCTGGGTCCAGGTTTTAACTATTTGGGAACCAGTGCCTTAGAGTGCACTAAGTAGCTGATAGACAACTGGGGATGCAGTTTGAAGAATGTCATAATGGATCCCTGGGTGTAGGAACCTCCGGCTCACACCTCACACATTTGCTCTCTGATACTGCCAGTTGCCTGGCCCTGTCATCTCCCATCTGCTGCTGCTCTTGCTCTGTGCAGATGCTCTTTGATGAAAAGGAGATTAGCAGGTGCTAAAGGTTATCAGAGTTTTTTTCCCAGCTGTCTGCAAAAGGAGGGCACTGGACCAGAGCAGTGATTTTCAGGCTGTGGGATTTGTTGTTGTTGTTGTTTTATTCTTTAAGTATTAAGAGCCTTTTTTGAAATGAAGCCTTTGGGGAACCCTGATATACAAAAATAATTGAAATTAGAGCTGAGTTGTTTGAAGGAATAGAGACCCTGGAACCCATGCCTGTAGCCCACCGTCTCTTGGTGCCCTCCCTGTTGTGATCCATGAGACATTTCTGTGAAGCCCTAAGGCTCCTCAAGGCACAGTTTGAAAACCACGGGACCCAGTGATGTTAGAAGTTTATTCTGTGGTGACTTACCAGAGGTATTTGAGCACCACCGAATAGGGAAGACTTTGGAGAGAAAATGGCCAGCTTTCTGAAGCATTTTATGTGAGAAATACAAGGTGAGACCATCCATTCTCAAGACTCTGTAAAGCCTGTATTCTGCTAATGAGTGGTATATTCTGTACTCAGAATTTTGTCACTTGGACGTGTTTGCCAGTCTTGTGTATTTTTTCTTTTGCATATACTTTGAGCACCCAATATCTTTGTAGGTCATTTTGGACATGCCTCAGCATATCGATAGGATGAAATCCTGGAAAAAAATGCTGGTTTAAAGGGTTTATGTTTAAATTTTTGAGAGAGTTATCAAATTGCTCTCCTAAGAGTCTTTGTGGAACCCTGTCATACAAAAATGATTGCAGTTAGAGCTGAGTTGGTTGAAGGAATAGAGATGCTGGAACCCACACTGGGCATATTAGATTTCCAGTGGTGACCAATGGAACATAGAGTCTGATGGGAGGCTCAGACACTGAATAGTACACACAAATAAATAGATACGCAAATATATAATCACATATTGTGATGAGCTGATATGAAGAGAAAGAGCAGAGTGCTATATAAGACATCATGTAAGTGACCTAAGTTAAACAGGGGAGTCAAGGGAGGGCCTTATCGGGCAAGTTCTATGTGTTCTGAGATGTGAAAAGTGATTTGGAGTTAACCAGATGTGAAGTAGATGGGAGGTATTCCAGACACAGAGAACGGCCTATGCAAGAGTTCTGAAACAGGAAAATGCTTGCCGCATTGGGGGAACTGGAAAAGGATGAGTTAATGGGCAACTGGGAGGCCGGGGAGCCAGGCAGGGACTGAATCATGTGGGGGCTGTGCAGGCCAGGGCAGAGAGCTTATTCTGTGTATAAAGTACTCATGCCTGTTGTTAATAGCCAAGGTGATCATTGTAACACTTTATTTACAGCCCAGTGGTTCCCAGACACAGGTAATCTTGGGCACCTCCAAGAGCAAAGTTTAGGAGAAGAGGGAAGTCATTTGAACCAAAGACCAGCAGCTCTTGAGAAGAGCACCACCACAGCTGAAGACATCGAACAGTTTTTGCTGAACTACCTCAAAGAGAAGGATGTGGCAGATGGAAATGTCTCGGATTTTGATAATGAAGAAGGTAACTTGTTTATTTTGGCTTAGCTGGTTTTTTCTTTCTGAAACAGATTATTGTAAAAATGGTGAAACATCATTACAGAAAGGGTAGAAATAAGAAAAGTTACTCATAACCTTACCAGGCTAACATAGCTATTCTCCTGTTTTGTGTAATCTTTTTCCATTCTTTTCTGTTACAAAACTGTTTTTCCGTGGTTGCAGCTGTGTACCCTTTTTGTGTTTAGTTATAAGCAACTCTGCTTATTGCCGTTGAATTTTGATCATTAACGTTTTAATAGCTGTTACTAAGTGTCCATCCCCTGTAGGACATTTAGGTTGCTTCTGGCTTAATAATAACTCTAATAAACAGTGCTGCGGTGGATGATTCTGTGCATGTGACCTTTTTTTTTTATTTTTTTTATTTTTTTATTTTTTATTTTTGCATATTTCTTTAAATTCCCAGAAGTAGGATTTCTGGGTCAAGGATATGAACATAATTTAATGCTTGCCAAATTGCCTTTCAAAAAGGTTGTGTCAATTTATACTTTTCCTTCGGCAGTGCAGGATGAATACTGGTTTCACCACAGCCTTACCAACATTGGCTATTTCCAGTTTTCTTCCTAAATTAATAGGTGAAAAATGGGTCTTGTTATCTACCTTGCATTTCTTTGATTACCAGTGAGGTTGAATGTCTTTATAAGCTTCTTTCCTAACAGGTTTTTTTTCCTTATTCCCATTGTCTATTTATATGCTTTGTCCATTTGTTTGTTGGTGGGAGGAGATTGCAGTCTTTTTCTTACCAATTTATATGATAAAGAAGAAGGGAGTTCAGGCTAGTTGAAGCTCTGGCCTGTTGTTTTATTCACAAGCTCAATCTGGAGCTTCAGGTCACGGAAGGATTAATAAATTATTAGGATCTCCTCTGCAAATATAAAATGCCAAGTCATAATGAGCTTGGTGGTCTCAGAACCATCCTAAATCGAACCGAGTCCCAAATTAGTTTGTGAGGTTGGAATAAAACGTTTCTTTTTCTTTTTCTTTTCTTTTCCTTTTTTTGTTTTTTTCCTCCTTTTGGTGATCTCCACTGTGAGATTCTGGTGAACTGAAGCCAGTACTTCCAGCAGTGTAACAGGAAATAGTAGCTTGATGCCACTCACTACAACAAATTCCTTCTAAATAGCAGAAAAGGCATCACAGGGCCCAAATAATGATTTATGCAGAATTGAGTCATTGCTCTCCCCGAGGACAGAGTTTTCTGATCAGAAATCTATCAGGCTTTTTCTTCTCAGATTTGTTTCTCGAGCCAATCCAGTCCTTTTTGTGAACTGCACCCTTCACCCAAACCTGGAAATGCTGAAGCAGGGGAGGCATTCTGATCCCTCATAATCCAGATTTGCCATTCTTGTTTAAAATTTGAGCACTGTCAGTGAATCCATTCCTTCATGATTAGGATCTTCTGGTGTTAGTTGATGTTCACGTAGAGCAGACTGAAAGAGTCAAACCCTTCTTCCAATAACAGGAAAATCCACATCCCTCAAATAAGATTCTGCAATAGGTGAATTTCAAACAACAAATTCCCCTCTGGGGAAAAAAGCACAGGCCTATCATGCTTATCATTCATCAAGTACACACCACACACTTGGCATTCTAAGGAATGTTTGCCTCAGTGCTGGCTTGACATGAGTTTTTTGTTTTAAGCACATAAAAGCACCTTGTATATCTGAGGTCCCTTTCTCCAAGAAATCCAAGCATTCTACAAATGCATTTTAATTTATCTTTTCAGCATCTGTTAGAGACAGGTGCAGCCTCTACTGTAAGAGTCTGTCTTTCCAGCAGAGGGAACTGAAATGGGAAAAAGTTAAGGGAGCAGTGCTCTGCTCAGTGGAAATGAGCACAGCTGGTAATCAGGGTTGGCATGAGGCTGGGGGCTGTAAGTAGATCAGGAAAATTTTTCAGGGTAAGGATTTTGACCTGGGTTTCATGCAATTCTCAAATCTTGTGGTGATGTTTCCGTTTACAAACTTACATCTATCTCATGCAACGCAGCACTCTAGACAGTGAGAATGATAATGACTGGTAATATCTCATTTAATGCTCTCAGTAGCATGTGAGGTATACATGCTCTATCCCTTTTTTTCCAGATGAGGTAATGTAGGATGAAAGAAGTTGCTAATAGGTTTTAGAGGCAAGACTTGGTCCAACCTCCTCTAACCAAACTCCATGCCCTATGAACTACACCAAGCTGCCCTTGTTACCTCACCTACAAAGATAAGTAAGGTTTGATTCTGGCCATCAGAAGTTCTTACAGGCTGGTGGAGAAGACAGATGTGCACCCCCCTTTTAATCAAAGGATGAATCAAGAGGAGACAAAAAAGTGAAGGACAGAGCAGAGGCCAGCCATGGAACTTCCCAGCTTCAAGGCTCCTCCACACGAGAACCCTGCTATCTCTCCCTTTTTTTTTTTTTTTTGAGACAGAGTTTTGCTGTTGTTGCCCAGGCTGGAGTGCAATGGCACGATCTCGGCTCATTGCAACCTCTGCCTCCTGGGTTCAAGCGATTCTCCCGCCTCACCCTCCCAAGTAGTTAAGATTACAGGCGCCCGCCACTATGCCCGGCTAATTTTTGTAATTTAGTAGAGATGGGGTTTTGCCATGTTGGTCAGGCTGGTCTCAAACTGCTGACCTCAGGTGATCCACCTGCCTCAACCTCCCAAATATCTTGTTTTTATCTTAAATATTCATTAATGGAAATTTAGAAAAGACCAAAGGCATAGGGAAAAAAACTGAAGTCATCTGTTATCTCATTACCCTGTCACTTTTAATATTTTGCTGTACTTCCTCTCATGCAAAAACGTATGTAGTAGTGTTCATGCTGCATATGCAATTTTGTGTTGTGCTTTTTGTCTTTTTAAGACAATATTATTTTATAAGCATTTCTCTTGTCATTAAAACCCATGCTTAGCCTGGTGTAGTGGCTCATACCTGTAATCCCAGCACTATGAGAGGCCACGGCAGGGGGATTGCTTGAGCCCAGGAATTGGAGACCAGCCTGGGCAACATAGTGAGACCCCCATTTCTACAAAAAAATTTAAAAATTAGTTGGGCATGGTGACATGCACCTGTAGTCCTAGCCACTCAGGAGGCTGAGGTGGGAAGATCACTCGACCCCATAAGTTTGAGATTGCAGTGAGCCGTGTTCACACCACTGTACTCCAGCTTGGACAGAGCAAGGCCCTGTGCCTAAAAAAAATAGGGACCTCATAAAATGCCATTATATGGCTATATCATGGTTTCTGTACCTATTCCCCCTTGAGTGGAGGTGTCTCAGTCCATTTGTGCTGCTGTAACCAAATACCTAAGACTGAGTAATTTATAAAGAACAGAAATTTAGGTATCTCTGTTTTATCACTCATACAACACTGCCCCCAGTTGTGCTCTTTTTCCAGAGGAACAGTCAGTCCCTCCCAAAGTGGATGAGAATGACACCCGTCCAGATGTGGAGCCACCACTGCCATTGCAGATCCAAATAGCCATGGACGTGATGGAACGCTGCATCCACTTGTTGTCAGATAAAAATCTGCAAATCCGCCTGAAGGTCAGTGCGCAGCTGCTTCTCTGCATTCCCAGAGTAGCAGGACTAAGGTGTGGCCTGGTTGGCAGTGGCTACACGGATGAGCACGTAGCTCCCCTTATCTCCTGGTCCACGTGTGGTGGCCAAGAGAAGGCATCAAAAGGAATTTGTCTGTGGGGTGACAGTTTTACATCTTTCTGTGTCTGCTGAGATGCCAAAGGGAGCTGAGTCTCCTGCATTAAAAACCACAAGTTTTGGGGATTCACTGAATTTCCAAGGAAAAGAAAGCCATGTGCTTTGGAAAGGATATTATTTTCTCAGCTATGTAGGATGCAGGTTTTAATACTTTAATGAGATCATTCTTCCAAGCCTGACACTAGCCCTTATCTCTCTGTTTTCATTCTAGGGAAAACTTGAACACTTCCTAATATAGACTGGCTTGCTGGCAGTTTGCCAAGCAGCACCCCCATCAGCAAGGGCTGAAAGCATGTAGTAGTGACTGCAATAACAGGATGCAGTGGGGTGGGGTAGAAGTGGGGGGCAGGGCTTTTAGAATCACCCTGGAGAAGACCTTACACCCAAAGGGAGACAGCATTCCTCTCTACCCCCAAGCAGGAGTGAGAAATACAACTGTCGGCCAGGCGCGGTGGCTCACGCCTGTAATCCCAGCACTTTGGGAAGCTGAGGTGGGCGGATCACCTGAGTTGGGAGTTTGAGACCAGCCTTACCAACATGGAGAAACCCCATCTCTACTAAAAACACAAAATTAACCGGGCATGGTGGTGCATGCCTGTTATCCCGGCTACTTGGGAGGCCGAGGCAGGAGAATCGCTTGAACCCAGGAGGCAGAGGTTGTGGTGAGCCAAGATCGTGCCATTGCACTCCAGCCTGAGTAACAAGAGTGAAACTTTATCTCAAAAAAAAAAAGAGAGAGAAACACAACTGCCTTAGTGACTCACTGTTAGTAATGAGTGTACATTGCCTTGCTCAGGGGTGATGGGCTAGGAAACCCTGATCCACAGATTATCTCAAATCTCAGCGCCTGTGTTGTGTGGAGTTTGTTTAGTCTTCCCAAGACAGCTCTTAGCATTCATCTGTTGTTCCATTCAGCAAGCACTTACCTTTTTACCTGCACGGCTTTAATGTAGGTGCCTGGCTGATACATTCAACATACTGCTGTATATCCTTCAAGACCTTCCTTTTTGTAGAGGATTTGTAGCAGCTGTATACATACCATAATTATTAAGAACATCAGTGTTGGAGTCAGACCTACATATCTGAGTCAGTCCAAATCCTGTTTCTGCCTCTTATTAGCCATGTGACCTTGAGTAAGTTAATTCATCATGTTGAGCCTTAGCATCTTCATCAGTAAAATGAAGATGATGGTACCTACCTCACAGGGTTGTTGATTATAAATATAAAACAGCATGAAATAAGACACATACACTCATTCATGTGCTAAATGCTTATTGAGGACTAGTGCAGGTCAGGCAGAGGATGTGTAGAGGGGATGATGCAGACACAATCCCTGTCTTCATGGAACTCCCTGTCTTTTGTGGGGAGAGAGGCAATACACAGACTCATACATATTGGAGAAAGGCTGTCAAGGTAATAGCACGTTCTATTTGATAGAAAATAGTAATTCACCCATGCGGCAGATACGTGTTGGGTACCTACTCGGTGCAAAACCCTGCTGACTAAGACAGAGCTTACCTTCTGATTTAGCCTAGGTCATCGGGGAAGGCCTCTCTGAGGTGGTAACATTTCTCAAGGCTGAGAAGGAGGCAGCCCTGCAAAGGGGCAAGGAGAACATTCCAGGCAGAGGGGAAATGTACATCTTTGAGTCAATGAAATATAATGTAACTTGTCCCATTAATGACAGAGCTCAAATTCCAAGCCTGTCAGTGATACCAAAGCCATTTCCACTCTGCTCCCCTGATCCCCTGCTCCCCACTGTGCAGCTGAGCTTTCTCTTACTCCCTGGCCTAATTATTCACCCCTCAATGGCAGGGTCTCTTCTGTTCCAGTCTCAGTGTGGACCAGCACATAGTAGGCGCCCAGTAGGGTTTACTGCTTTGTGTTGGCCGGCTTCTCTCTGTCTTGCAGACTAACGAGTGCCTCGCCCTGTGAAGGTTGGGCGTCCATGTGGGAGGGAAGCCTGCGCTGGCCGCCCACGCGGGAGGGAAGCCTGCGCTGGCCGTCGTACTGACCGCTGCCTGTGACACTGATGCAGGCAGTCTCTTTTCAGTGAGTTTGAGATATAAGAGATCAGGAAACAAGGAAGGTAAAATATCAGTTTATATGTAGGGTAGCCTAACCCTTTCTGGTGAGATTAACCTGTACCTCAGCTGCCTGCTGGGCCTCTCCATGTAGTGGTAACAGAACTTGGTCTCCCCTAGCCGCCCAACTTTCTCCTCCCGCGTGCTCCCCATCTCATTCAGTGGCATCTGCATCTCTTCAGTTGCTACCCCTGAAACGAAGCAGCTCTTTTCAAACCCTCACTTCCCCTCCCCAGTATCCAGTCCTTCAGCAATTTAAGCCACGTCATCTCCAAAACAGATATCCAGTCCTTTCACTTCTCTCCTCTGCCGCCATCACGCGGCCACATCACTTTGCTCCTCTCATGTGGATCCTAAAGGGCCTCTTTGTTTCTCTGTCACCCTTCAAGTCTCTTCTCCACTCAGCAGCCAGAATGACCTTTCTAAAACATGAATTGTATCATGTCACTTTCCTGCTTAAAACACTTTGACGGCTCCCCACTGCACTTAGTACAAAATAAAAAAAATTCCTAACAAACCCCTTTGTAGTTGGGCCCCGTTTTACCTCTTCTCTGTAATGCTCCACGCTGCCCTTCTTTCACTTCTTATGAAAGCTCTGTTCCACCTCTGAGTCTTCCTCATCACGGTTTCCAGTTGCATGAATCTTCACAGAACTAACTCCTACTCATCCTTTGTGTCTTCTTTTAGAAGCTCCTTCCCCAGCGAAGCCTTCCCAACAGTCTGTGGTTTAGATCCTTCCCCTCGTTTCTTTGCATTTCACCTTTGACTTCCCTTCTTGTCCCAATTGCTAATCATCTCTTCATTTAGGCGTTATCTAATTAAGGTCTTTCCCCAGCTGACCATGAACCCTGCAAAGGCAAGGAAACGTGTATTTTGTCTCTGTGTGTCCCCTCAGTACCTAGCTAGTGCTTGGCATGTAGTCAGCACTCAGAAAACAATTATCCAATTAATACGTTTCTAAATGTTATTCTTTGAAAATGGTGACTTGATCCCAGGTATCTGTTTTCAAGCCTATACCATCTGCTGAAATCGTGTCTCTTTCAGGTCTTGGATGTGCTGGATCTGTGTGTGGTTGTTCTTCAGTCCCACAAAAACCAGCTGCTTCCCTTGGCTCATCAGGCCTGGCCCTCGCTCGTTCACCGACTCACACGGGACGCCCCCCTGGCAGTGCTTAGAGCCTTCAAGGTACTGCACCAGCATCCCCCATGGTCTGTTGTGAGGGTAGAGTTAGTAGGCACAGAGCTCACCGGGGCCTTTTGGATTGGTTCTCTTCACCCGATTGCAATGTCACATACTGTGAAGAAAGTATAGAAACATAAGAAAAGCACAAAGAAGAAAGTAACAGTCTCCTTTTGAACTTGAAGCAGATGAACTAGTAGATGAAAAGGCCAGGCAGTAAGCTCAGCACTCCTCCACAAAGGAGTTTGTCTCCTTACAACCACTTTGCAAGGTAGGTATATTGTCTTTACTTTTGGCAGAGGAAGAAAGAAGCTCAGAGAAGTTAAGGAATTTTCTCACAATCGAACAGCTAGTAAGTGATACAAACCCAGAGCATTGAGTTCACACCATATTTGCACTGCACAGGAGTCAAGGCGAAGGGGCTGAGGTTCTAGCAGTGGGCATCCTCTGCCCAGCTGAGTGATGCTGACAAAACCCAGGACCACCCATTTTCGTGTTGGGCTTAGGAACACCTAGCCCACCTTTCTCATAGTGTTGTCAGGGATAAAATGGGACTGTTTGGTGAAATGCTTTGAAAAGCTAACAGTCCTATATATATGTAAGGTATTATTCTCCCTGGCTTAGTTTGGCTTACATTAGCACGGATATTTTAGCTTATTTATATCCTTTCTTGTTCTAAAAAGCCCTTAAGGCAACCTGCAGAGATACATACCACAGCGAGCTGCCATAAATTAGAAGAAGGTGCGCAAGATGAGGCAGAGAGAAAAGATCTGTAGGGACACAAAATGAAGCTGGTAATGCACCAGATACCGTTGGCCAAAGTAGTTTGATCTTCTGTAAATTCTTCAGCATATACTAGACCAAATTAAAATATTAAAAATTGTTAATGTTTTTTTCCCAAAACAAAATGCACAAAATGATACGTGTGTGTGTGTATGTATGTGTGCCAAAGAAAGAGGGAGATTAGGCCAGTCGCGGTGGCTCATGCCTGTAATCCCAGCACTTTGGGAGGCGGAGGCAGGTGGATCACAAGGTCAGGAGTTCAAAACCAGCCTGGCCAAGATGGTGAAACCCTGTCTCCACTAAAAATACAAAAATTACCTGGGCGCAGTGGCAGGCGCCTATAATCCCAGCTACTCAGGAGGCTGAGGCAGGAGAATTGCTTGAACTCGGGCTTCAGAGGTTGCAGTGAGCCAAGATCGTGCCACTGCACTCCATCCAGCCTGTGCGACAGAGTGAGACTCCATCTCGAAAAAAGAAAGAGATTAAGGGAGAGGGAGGTGGTATTGCTAAATCTTATCCAGATGTACTGCAGGGCGGGGTTTGGTGAGAATTAATAGGTTGTCTGAAATAACAGCAAGCATAGAAAAATGAAAAAAAATAAAGATGTGTACACAATAACTGAGGCTGCTTTCCCCATGCGCAGACACGATGATGACACTGAGGTCTATAGAAGCTGTGCCATTCAGCTGAGGGACCTAAAATGAGAGCCTTGTTCTCTGCAAAATGAGCAAACACTGTGCTGGTTATGCCTTGCTTACCAATTTTTAAAGAAATTCCTATTATCCTGTATACTCAGTCTTGTGCAGCAGGGCAAAACATTTCAATATGTTCTGCTAGAGAAAGTTTAAAACAAGACATGCAAAGAAACTATCTGTTCTGAAAGATAGAATGAGGGTGATGTGCATAAGAGATTGTGCAGCTGAACAGAAGGAACACCGAGTCGGCTGCAACTTCAGGGACCCTGCCTTGGTTCAGCCCAGGGACCTCGGCCCAGTCACTAACCTCCTGATGCCTGCATGTGGCAGCAGCTGGACCATAGTATTTGTGTTTGCTCAGCTAGCTAGAGTTTAAAGCATACATATTTTCTCAAGGGATGTTAGGAAGATTCAAGAAATGATCTATGTGAACTGCTTTAAGCTCTTCTCTTTTTTTTTTTTTTAACAAAAATGGGAGGGAAATCAAGATATTAATCATATTATTCATCCAACCCAAGATTCCTTTGAATTATTCCCCATGTAATCTGTATTTATGGGTAGAAGCAGCCATGCCTTGGGAGCAGAGACCTCCAAATTCATAACTGTCAGAATCACAAACCATGGGCAAGGAATTAACAGCAGTAATTCTATTTTTTTTTTCCCCCAAGCAGAGACCTAGATGAAATCGAATTACCAAGCATTCTTTAGCTCTCTTGCTGCCTTGGCAATGTTCACTCACCAGGTTGGAGGCTGTTTCTGCAGGTTTTACGTACCCTGGGAAGCAAGTGTGGTGACTTTCTTCGCAGCCGGTTCTGCAAAGATGTCCTGCCAAAGCTGGCTGGCTCCCTAGTCACCCAGGCCCCCATCAGTGCCAGGGCTGGACCAGTTTACTCGCACACGCTGGCCTTCAAGTTGCAGCTGGCTGTCTTACAGGGCCTGGGCCCCCTCTGTGAGAGACTGGACCTAGGTGGGTACCAGGCAGTTCCACCTGAACACACACACTTAGCATCTGTCTCACCCCTGCCATCATGCCCTCTGCTCAGTCGTGCCCCCCTCCCCTCCCCTCTGTGTACCTCCTTCCGTCTTATTTTGGCCTCATTTGTCCATTTATCTTGATGTGTTCTTTGGCGGGATGGAGTAGAGAGCCCAGAGCATCTTGCCTAGCTGTTGCAGTTTCTCCAGACACAGTTGGTCACTGCTTGTCCCAAATGAAGTGTAAGGGCTGATGCTTGTTTTGTTTTTCTTTTCTGCAGGTGAGGGTGACCTGAATAAAGTGGCTGATGCCTGCTTGATTTACCTCAGTGTCAAACAGCCCGTGAAATTACAAGAGGCTGCCAGGAGGTACGTCTGCCTGATCACCCGCATCCCTTTACGTTTGTTCTAAATTACAGATGATTTGCTAATGGCAAGCAGAGTTGAGGCATCTCTGCTCTTTTCTCTGTCACCCTGCCAGGTTAAGATAATTCTTTAACTGTGCCAGCACTAGAGATGGTATTTTTACTAGATGTGTTTCTCTTTGCCAGTAACCTTTTCCTCTGCTGCAAAGTCAGCAACAATTCCAGAGGGTCAAGAAGCAGAAAGACGGTGTGCTAGAGAGGACTCAGCACCCTCCTGGTTGGAGGGGAATCTGCTTCTAGGCCTGGAGACCAGGTGCCTGGCACTTCTTCATGCCTTGGCTTCTTCAACAGCAAAGTGAAAGTGCTGGGTTCCTGATATGGCATATGTCGACTCCACGGCAGGTCTTAGATGGGCATCGGTGCCATGAACCCTCACAAGTGCAAAGCAAAATTGTTTGTGTGCAGGCAGGTGCACATGTGCCTTTTTCTAATAGGAACCATTCATAGGTTCTAATAGGAATCTGTGACCCGAAGAACCTTAAGAGTTGCCAGACTAATGGCTTAAAGGGCCTTTTCTGATTCTGAAACTAGATGATTCCAATTTCTAAGAGTTTGACCATGCTTATTTGAGAAAAGCTGTATCACCTCTAGGAGAAGAAGCTGTTGCTGGTTACTTTAGGACTAAGAGCTAAAACTCAGCACAACAGCATTCCCCAGACATGAGACCCCAAATCTACTCTGCCCCTCTTCTCCAAGCTTTCCTTCCAGGTGGGAGCAGCCTGCATCCTGGAACTGCCATCCCAGGGTAGGTCTGCTGCTGGGGCGAAAGCTGGGCCTGGCACTCTGTGCCGCTCTGAGCCCTGCAGCTCCTTCAGCCTCACCAGCTTCACGCCTGCAGCGGAATCCCTGCATCTTCCTAGCTTCTAGAGGCACATCTCTGATCCTCTTCAGTGGGGTGGGAGTTAGGAGTCAACTCATTCCCTGAGGAGTGGAAAGGCTGCTCTGACTGTGCAGTGAGGAGAGCCAGCTTGCTCCTTAGAAACCTTGCACTCCCTGGGAGTGATGGTAATATCTTCTTGAATTGATTTATTGTCCTTTGCTGTTTTTTGCTCTTGATTTCCCATTTCCTTTTTTCTTCCTGTCCCTTTCCCGTCACATCCCTTAGTCCCAGAATCAGTCATAGTTTCATGAGCACAGGGGCGCATCCTAAGCAGCTTCTGTCCCCAGGCATTTTTATTCCGTACAGAATCAATTTAGGGTGAAAATAGTCCTCCCTGGGCGGTGCCCCTGGAGCTGATTGTGCTGTGACTTAAAGTGCAACTCAAGAACATAATGAGTTTATCTTGAAGTAAATCCTTTTAGATGCCTATTACAACCAAGAGTTAAAGGTCTGATTTTCACATTCCCCATCCATTCTATTTTTCCTACACCCACTCCATCCCATCCTTCAAGTTTAGAACCATCAAATAAGCTAATATTCTCAATTCATTATCTTTTCATTTCTAGTTCTCTTTTTTGCTGCTGAAAGCAATTAAACCCGGAATTGGACCTTGCTGAATCTTGAGCTGGTGTTCAGGGAGCCTCAGGTGGAGGAACACGCAGCCCCACCACTTGACCGCAGCTCCCTTTGTTTGCTCCAGCACATTCCGTTCAAGTGTTGAGTCAGATGGCCTCCCTCCTGATGGGCAGGGAGGGGGAGGAAGAGCTAGGTGGATTGCTTCACACATGTCACTTGCAAACTTATCTTGAAGTTGGGAAAAAAAATCAGTCTTGATCCTTGATCAAGAGCTGATTTGGCATCTTGATGCTGAAATTAATAAGCTCTCTAAGTGGGAGAAGAAGCCTGAGACAATAGGAAACCTGGTCTCTCTGTGAGCCTCATTACCGCATGGAGAGAGGGGTGGGTGGGTGGGCCACTTAGTATGGAAAAGTCATACCTGGCAGCTGGGTGCGGTGGGTGGCTTACGCCTGTTATCCCAGCGCTTTGGGAGTCTGAGGCAGGCAGATCACGAGGTCAGGAGTTCAAGACCAGCCTGGCCAACATGATGAAACCCTGTCTCTACTAAAAATACAAAAAGTTAGCTGGGCATGGTGGCAGGAACCTGTAATTCCAGCTAATTGGGAAGCTGAGGCAGGAGCATCACTTGAACCTGGGAGGCGGATGTTGCAGTGAGCCAAGACCGCACCACTGTACTCCAGCCTAGGTGACAGAGTGCAGTCTGTCATACCTACTAGTACTGAGGAACCAAGTCCCCTGCATGAGATGGAGTCCCATCTCAGCACATGGCCCTGCCATCCATCCTGTTGTTTGTTCTTAATTCTTCTCTTTCCTTCACACCCTACATCCATGACCAAAAGTAAAGCCCGCCTACCTCACTTGGAAAATTGCTCTCAAAACGACACCTCCAAACCACTAGGCCAGGCCAGGCCACCATCATCTCCCACCAGAACAACAGACCTCACCACTGGTCCCACTTCCAGTCCTGCCCCTCTAGGTATTCTCCATACTGCAGTCAGAGTGACACACTTACACACACTTACCCTCATGGGAGAAGAGAAAGCTGTGTTCGTTGCAAGGGCCCAAGTGGGAACCTTGGCTTAGTATTCAGAAAAGCCAGAGGTAGTGAGTTTCCGACCCTAGGCAGATGACCAGCTTGCTTTGGAAGTGGCTCTCCTGTCTGCCAGAGGGCTGGTGAGGGAAGCTCTCAGGGCAGGAGGCTGCTCCCAGGCCTCCTGTCTTCTGGAAGGAGAGGGATGTGCACCAGCCCTGTAGAACAGCCATGTCTGTGGGCCCCTCTGGCAGGTGGGCTTAGGACCTCCAAGGGGCGCCTTCATCGAGTTGGGGTGGAGGCAGACTTAGCAGCCCCATGAGAGTTCATCTTTATGTGCATCATGCTTGGGTTTTTCCTTGCTCCCATTTGCTTTTCCTGGCTCCAAAGAATGACCAAACCAGTGTTTGCTTTTTTAATTTGCCATATTAAATATAGCCTTTGTGGCAGGCTTTTACATCCAGGCAGTAAACTCTAGAAATGGACATTGATCAGGGGGTGGTTGATGTAACCGAGGTTGTAAATGCTAAGAACGGAGATGCCATTCCAGTTTAATGCTTTTATCTAGCAAATGTGCCTTGTATGGAGGGGGCATAAATCTTCCAACTGGGGGAGGCATGGGGGAGGGGCAGGGGATGGTGGGGGCAGGATGTGACCTTGCTGTGTGTTACCACCAGGTGTCACTGTTAACTGGCAATGCAAAAAAAAAAAAAAAAAGCCAGCTCCCCCAAAGTCCCTCTAGTTAAGTAACTTCAATGGATAACAAATGTGCAAATCATATTTGTGGTGTGGGAGGAGGGCTTAGCATACCAGGAGCTAAAAATAAGACAGTGTCCCTGAGGGTAGGCGTTGGATTACAGACAACAGGTCAGATCAGCCACACCCCCATCTCAGCCAACTGCAGTGGCAAACTTTGCTGATTGAAATTCTCAGTCTCCAGGATGTCTCCCGGCATGCCCTGGGCCTTCACAGTTCTGTGCCTTTCTGTCCAGGTAGCTTTTGCCTCCTGTACGTGAAAGGAATTTGAAAAGAGAGCATACACCCCAAATTTCTGTTTGTCCTTCAAGTCCATACATGTACTTAGCCTAGTTGAACTCCATTAAAACCATACTCCTTGGGCCAATCTCTTAGCAGACTCTGAGACTCCCTGGCTTTTGCAGTGAGGTTTTATATCATCCAATGAGCCTTTTACCCTGGGCTAAAAGGAAACAAAACTAGACAATACTTTTCAAATTTTTGAAAAGATGAAGTCAGGCCGTGTGCTGTGGCTCACGCTTGTAATCCCAGCACTTTGGGAAGCTGAGGTGGGAGAATCACCTGGGCTCAGGAGCTCCAGGCCAGCCTGGGCAACATAGCGAAACCCTGTCTCTACTGAACATATAAAAATTAGCCAGGCGTGGTGGTGTGCACCTGTTGTCCCAGCTACTTGGGAAGCTGAGGCAGGAGGATCACCTGAGCCTTGGAAGGTTAAGGCCATAGTGAGCCGTGATCACACCACTGCACTCCAGCCTGGGCAACAGAGTGAGACCCTGTTTCAAAAAAAAAAGAAGAAGATGAAGTCAGTGCCCAACAAGTCTCATAATAGAAAAATAAAGCTTTTAGGATGCTTGGCCTCCACCCCCAGTCCTACTCCCACCTGCTAACCCCAGAGCCCAGATAGGGATGCAGGGTGCCAGCAGGTGGTGACCAGCTGGTGTACCTTCTGGCCACGCAAGTCCTGGATGCTGTTATTGCTGTAGCCCCTGATGGGGCGCTGGGGAGGTTGCCATTCCAGCTCCCTCTGCCTCGCCATTGTGTGTGAGAGAAAAAGTAGCAGTCTTGCTTTGGACAAACCGAGGTTCAGATCTTACTGGCCATGTGACCTTGAGCAAATGATTTAGCTTCATTTCATTTTCTTCCTCTGTAAACTGGGGGTGATGAAAACTCCATTCTCATAGGGTGCTTGTGGATGAATCACGTTAGTATGTCCAAGGAGTCTCCAGGTACTGTTCTAGGGACTGGAATTAGAGGGAACAAGATAGGGGCCTCTACCCTCTGCTTATGTTCTGAAGGTATATTTACATCTGTGTACACACCTATGTGGGGTACATGTATGTAAATTTCCCAAATATGTTATACATGATGTGTATGTTACTCATACACATAGACACTGGCCACAGAATTTCTAGTTGTAAGCCTGCTTCATCCTTACTAAAATCTGAACTGGGGATTTCACCTCAAAAGGATCTTTTTCATGTTAATTGTGCCACCACTGTTTGCAGAAGTCAGGACCGGGTTTGAAGGTTCATTTACAGACTGACTTCCCTGCTCTCTTTCTAGCAGTAGGATCCCATCCCATCAAAGAACCAGCTGGTGCCTTCAAACCCTGGACGAACACAGACCGGCACAGGCTCATTCATTTCATCCCTGTCAGAGCCCCAACTCCTCTCTTTACCCACACATGAGCCTATTATATTTGAACGGATGAGGAGCCACAGAGGTGATCCATTAGTTCAGCTGAGCTTGAAATTAGTAGCTCATCCCCTTAAATGGTGTGGGCAGTTTGGCTGAGCTTGGACTGCAAAGCTGTTCCCCCTTGGATTGCACCCAGCATGGAAATGAGGACACACCTAATATTTTTTCCTTTTGACACTTGATTAATAGTTGACAAATCCAAACCCAAGTAGTTAGCTTTCCTATTATCCATCTTTTGACAGGCATTGCTGGTTTTCTTTTTGAGTCCCATTGTTCTAAAAATACACTCAGATCTGGAGCTGTTCACTGTGCATATATAGGCCTGATTTCATGGTGTCAAAGATAAGAGACATCTGGCAGGCAGATTACAAACAAAGTGGGTTGCTGGGTTTCAGAACTGAAGGCAGGGACCTCTGGGCTACTTAAATCTACTTAAATTCAGTGCTGCCAATTCTGTCCCTTCTTCCTTGGTGTTGTCATGTCACTGATAACCTGCCAGGGTCAACCATCTTACCACCCGGTAGGAAAGCCAAGCGTGGGGTGTGTGTGCACAGTGCATGCCGTGCCAGGTTGGGAGCAGAATGTTCTCGATGACAGATCGAGCCTGGTCGCAGCACCGCCTGCACAAAGTGGGTTTTGGTCATCAGAGGCTGTGGTCGACCACAGGGTAGTCATTTCCTCATTCTGCAGGCTCTGTCATCCCTCTCGAACACCTCAGAGGCGTGGAAGTAAATGTTGTCTCAGTACTGAGTAAATAAAGTAGCCAGGGAGATGATCTCTATTTGTCTTATTGTATAGATGTATTTTAAAAGATTTTTATTGGGTCTCTTATGATGAGCCAAGTGCTGTGTTGAGAGTTGAAGATTTTCAGAGATAACTACCAAGGCCTCACATTGTTGTTCAATAACAAGATAACCTTGGCAAATTAATTCACTTCTCAAAGTCTCTGTTTTCTCATCTATAAGACCGAAAAAAGCATGTATGTTATTTTGCTTATTTCACCTACTACAATGACGACAAGGATTCAGTAAAGTCAGGTAGCACAAAATACCACCACAGAGTAAAAGTCACTAAATAGTAGTTGTGAATCATTATTTAAATTTCTTCTTATTCCGAAAATGACTTGGAACATCTTATAAATTGTTTGCAACAAAGAAAAAAGGAAGGAAGTGAAGAAATTTTTTAAATGGAAAAATAACAGCAAAAACAAGATGAGACCGAGTTGAGGTTAATATAGACAATACAGTTAGAGCCCTGCACCCTTGCTAGAGAGGAGCTTTCAGAGTGGCTCTGTGCTTCCTGACAGACAGCAAAGAGGAAAATGGTACAGGAAGTACCTGAATAAGAGTTTTTAAAAAGAAAAGGAAAGAAAGCTTTTCAGAAAGAAGCATGGCTTTCCTTATTACTGACGCTTGAGGAAAATTTCTCTGTGGGTCATCTTAAAAGAACACTGGGTACTGTTGTGACTAATATCCTCAACGTCCTTGCAGTAAATACAGAAGGACATTTCCTAGAGCTGTTTCTGAAGGCATCCGTGAGTGGAGGCTGCTGGCTTAGTGCCAGAGCACAGGTTACAGGAAAACAGTTCAGGCAGGAGGTGGGCAAGCCTACCTAGGCTGCTATGAAGATGTCTTTATCTTCAAGGGTACATACCTTCCAGGGAGGGGCAGGAAACAATGTGGCCCGAGAGTGCAGCCAGCTGGGGGAAAGGTCCGAGTCAGCCCTCATAGTGCTCAGCACAGAATGCCACTTTGAAATCTGTGCCCAATACACTGTCGTGGGATCTAGGCTTGCAGGGTTCCTGGAGGCAGGAGAACTGGCCAGATGGAAAGGGCTGCTTTTAAATCTCGCCCCAGTGGGATGTAAACCCTCCTAGATTCTGGCTTATTTTTGAATTGTCTATAACAGATTGGACCTCTCAGCGCCATATCCTTTTAAATATGCACAAAGCAATGGAATCATTCCTCTGCATTTATGATACTTTATCTTGTGGCACTTCAGAGGTATGGTTAGCATCATTTGCTTCTACTGGTGTTTACGGTTTTAAGTCCTGCCCATGTTGCATTTAAATATTTTTGATATGGGTCTCTGTGTGAGTATGCATGTTGGCGTTAGATCGATAGATGAATGGTTTTGAACAGGTAAACATAGTTAAGTCAAACGAGCATGTATAGCTGCAAAGGTAATTGGTAGTATTTATTTGGAGAGTAAATCGTTGCTTCAAGTCATAATCCTCCATTTCCAACATTTAGAAATAAAAAACGACCTCCGTGCAGGGGAAGATAGCTAAATTGAATAGCAAGAAAGGACAGGCTTGAAATACTGGTTAACCAATGAACTGAGACCCATTAGAGTAAATTACCAAGTATAGAAACATAGCCCCACTGCTTGCTGGCTAGGACGCATCAACACCCTGAGCATCCATTTGTTTAAAAGGAAACACACAGCCTCCTTTGCAGCATCAGCATGCACAGAGTGATGGGAGAAGAGATGGCCAGAGAGGAGGAGAGTGTGGAGGCTGTGCTGCCAGAGAGGGAACAACGGGAACACCAAAATAACTTAGTGAGTATGCCTGCTTTCCCACAAGTGAGCTTACTTTCCCACTGCATTTAACCATGCCCACATAGAGAGAGCCTGTATCGTGTTCCTAAGGAGACATTTCTGAGTAACTTCTTTAGAAGCCCCAAATAAGTAAGCAAACAAACAGATCACAAAGCCACATGTTCTTTACCACTGGCATTTACCCTGATGGCTCATGAGAGCATTTTATAAATCCAGAAAGAGACGGAGAACAGCAGATCCCTCAAGCAAGTAATTGACACAGGAAGAATAGCCTGTCACCCAGGAGAGCTGGAAGCCCTGCATTTCAGTTACAGTTTATTTAGCTTCACTGGGCCCTCATTGGCTGGCGGTTTTCTAGATCTCTCTTTGAGCAGATGTTGTCTAGACAGAGATGGTGAGAACATATTCTGTAATATTCGCTCCTGCAGCAGAGCAGAGGGGGTTCTTTTTGGTTTTGCCATATTGTGGGGTGGGGTGAGTAATGATCCAGTGCCCATGATTGAAAACTCTCGTGGTCTGTTGGAGCTACCAGGGATCTTAGAACTGATCTGGTCCACTCGCTCTTTACAGAGAAGCAACTTGCCGTGCCTCTCCTCAGGAAGCCATGCCTGGTGCCACCCGCACATCACTTCTAGGCTGGCCCTTGCAACAGTGTGCCATGGGCCTCTGTGATCCCTTAGTCTACCCCAGCAGACAGGGAGCCCTGAGGGCAGAGGCTTTTTTGTCCCTCTCTCTTTGTGCCTCAAGCACCTCAGTTAGGGCCTGGGCTGGACCAGGCTTTAGTAAACGTTTGATAAACCATGAAGAGATAAAACTTAAACCCAGCTGACCAGATTCCAGGAGCACGTTTCCTCCCTCCCCATTCCCACCTCCTCGCCCCCAGCTTGCTCACTAGGGGCACCCCCATACTGATCACGAAGGAAGGAGCCACTTCTGGTTTGGCATCTGGAGTTTATTAGGTACTTACTGATAGCCGTCAGTTGTAGATAGGGCTGAAGTGCAGGCAAATGGCTGCCTGCATGGAGTGAAATTCAATAAAACTGCATTTTAAGTGAAAAATCAGTATAAACACCAGGCTTCTTTGCCATGGAAACAGTTGCTTAGAAACTGCCTAACAGCGAGTTCTAAATTTTTTAAAGTCAAGTTATCATTTAAGCTACACGGCCTTACAGGTTATTGAGAGATAATCACTCGCCTCAGGACACTCGGAGGCATGTGGCACAGCTGAGTGCCTCCCGATACTCTGGGGACCAGATAATCTCTTGATAACTGTGCTCTCTGGAGCCACTGATTTGGGCCTGGGGGGAGGAGAAAGAAATTTTTGTTCAGGAGTTAAATGGTGTACATATATTTTTTAAAAAGTGTTTCTCTTTGGGTTTGAAAAAAGATGGAACTGGCCATTTGGTATGTTCAACAGCCATCCCTGCGCATCGCAAAATGTATTGGGAACATTTTCCAGGCAGTTACCCCAGTCACTTCAAAGCAGAGGTCCTGTCTTTGTCTTCTGGCTTTGGCTTATGCAAAAGGAGTTTTCAACAACTTTGGCTTTCAGCTGTTCACTCTCTGGTTTCAGCTAAGGCTGGGCAGGAACTGGCCCCAGGACAAAGTGACACCAGAGTTTGGAACAAAGCCTGGCGCTAAGGACTCAGATCAGACCTCCTGGGCCTCAGGCTCAGCTCCCAGGGGCTTAAAGCCAACAAGGGTGCGGTTTGGAATTTGTCGTGTTTAGAGTTCAGCAGGCCGCCTGCCTCTCGGAGTGAGAGCACAGCTACACTTGCCAGCCATCTGGTTGCATGGCATGGCATTTGCTCCCCACCTCAGGCATGCAGAGGACAAAGTATATTGCATTTGTTTCTTCCTGAAAATAATGGGCGAAATTAGAACATCATTGGCTGAGAACTGGGATACCCCCACCAAGTCAGTATGGAGAAAATTATGAGTGAAACAAAAGACAAATGTTTTGCCCTTTTCAGGGTATCTGAAAATTATCCATGGCATGGTAGTGCTGCTAAGATTGGTGGTGTTAATTATGCCTCAGACTCTGTGTCCCTCTCTCTCTCTTTCTGGAAGAAAAGAAGGAATACTGTTTTCATCATATACTTCAAAGTGTTGTCCTGCACCTCCTCTCCTCAGAGCCTCAGAAGGACCTGTGAGGAGAGTGGGCCAGGTGTGATCATCTTTGGAGAAAGAGGAAACAGGTTCATGAGGCAAAATCACTTGCTCTAAGCCACAGAGGTGGGAGAAGGAACGTGCATTCCTGCCATTCTGGGGCATCTGCCCCTTTAAAAGCAAAGAAATGAGACCCAAAACAGTCCTTCCAAGAGTTTGGCTCTTGCTTAATAAAAGAAGGTGAACTTTGCACAAGTTTTTCCTTTGCTTTTCTGTTAATATTTTATGTGGATATCTTGCAGGGCAAAAAGAGTGGCTTATTTTCTTTTCCTTTCCTGCCAACAAATACGACATTCATATTTAGCATGTTAAAAAGAGCTCAGAAAATGAACATTGCAGCATTTTCATGCTGTGTAAGTCAGAGCGCAGCTATGACTGAACTGGGTCGTGGCACCGCTTTGCTGGGTGTTGCCCAGATAAAAATATTCCTTGAAGCTGGGAGAGCACCACGCTGTAGCTTGAGAAATTGTTCCAGCTCTTGAAAGGGGAAAAAATCAAATGAAACCATTTGCATTCTAACAGTCTTTGGCACCAGGGAAAACTGTCAACTGTGTCACGTGTAAATAGAAATCTGCTCCCCGCTTTTGGTGCGTTTTTTCATAATTTCCCTTGCCACTCTAATTATCAAAGATATTTTTATTTTTAAACAAAAATTGTCTCCCACGCAGGCCTCATCTTTCTGCGGTGAAGTGGAAACGATGAATTAGAATATTCTAATCACTTCTCCAACAACCACTATGGAGGTTATAAACACAAGATTATCCTAGCAAAGAAAAGTAAATTGTTTGGGCACAGAACAGGCCAGGAAAAAATTCAGTAGGCCGGGCCCGGTGCTCACACATGTAATCCTACACTTTGGGAGGCTGAGGAGGGTTGATCACCTGAGGTCAGGAGTTCAAGACCAGCCTGGCCAACATGGTGAAACCCCGTCTCTACTAAAAATACAAAAATTAGCCGGGCATGGTGATGGATGCCTGTAATCCCAGCTACTCAGGAGGCTGAGGCAGGAGGATCGCTTGAACCCAGAAGGTGAAGGTTGCAGTGAGCTGAGATCGCGCCATTGCACTCCAGCCTGGGCAACAGAGTGAGACTCTGTCTCAAAAAAAAAAAAAAAATTCAGTGCCCTTGTCCACCCTCCCCACTCCCCCACTGCCTCCCTGACCTCCTTAGTGTATGTCCACTACACCTAAGGATGATATCAAGACTGGCTTCACGGTAAGACCCAAATCCCCTGAGGGTGCAGGTCTTTCATATTAGTGAAATTAAAATCCAGAATTTACTCCGACTTAGCAGGCGTTGAAGTTCCTATTTAATGCCCAGCAGTATGCAAGAGGCTCCTTAGAATAATTGCCAATAATAAAATGTGATTTATCAAATAGATACTATGTACTGTTAATTGGTAAATAGGGATCACGTGCTAGACTGTGTAGGGCTTGATCTGTGCTTTAAACCTCAGCAAAACCCTGAGTGAAGTACATCCCCCATTTTTGGAATGGGGAAACTGAAACAGGGCAAGCTGAATAATTTCCCAAAGCCACATAGCTAGTGATGCCTCTGATAATTTGAATCCTGTTAATAATCTTCCTTGTTCCTTCCTTGGTGGTGAGAGTTTAACCCCTCCTTCAGATCCTTTCGTAGAACTTAAATATTCTAGAGAGGGTTGTCGTCTAAAGTCATTCATGTGCAATGTAGTAACTCACCACGTCCTCATTAAAATGAGAACTCATTGTTACATGGACACATTGCAGGGGAAAAAAGAGAAATGAGAACCTGTTCAGTCAATATTAACTGGATGCTGACCACATGCCATTCCAGGTGCCCGAGATACAGCAACCTACAGAACAGATGTGGTCCCTGGTCCCTGCCCTTGGGGAGCTTATGTTGTGAGGGAGACAATCAATGGTCAATATGTGCTAGGAAAGGTGTCCTGAAAGAGAAAAGTAAGGGGCAGCCTTACTTGGGCACAGTGGTGTGGGCAAAATGGCATGGGGAGCCCAGCCTCCGAGCAGGCGATGGTGAGCTGAGATGGGCAGACTGGCTGGGAGGCCCTGCTCACTGCAGGAGGGCCCCATTCTTCCAGGGATTGCCAAGTCGGACTGAATTGCCACCATGTATGAAGTTTACGCTTAGACTGCCCAACACAGTGGCCCTGGGCACGTGACTGATCTTTCAGAAATAGTATTTGAGCAGCTAAGAGGCAAGAGTTGTGACCCCAAAGTTCAGACGAAGATAAAAACCACCCTCGGTGGCTGTGGGGTGTCCAGTAGCCCAGGGCCCTTGAGCTCTGTCCCTGTCATGCGTCAGAGGACATCAGTGCTCTATCTCTGCCAAAGGTTACAGAGCAGAGCTCAGCCAGTCCTGCCCCAGGAGAATAAAGGAACCCTTTGACAGCCTGCCAAAGGCGGCATATTCTGTGGATCTGATCCCTGTGGGGAAACGGGCTCCTCACACGGGAGCCATGAGTGTCTGTTCACACCACCAAGTATCCATGGCTCTCAGCCAGGAAGGGTCCAACTGCCGACTTCAGCAGCGTGCTGGAGGACCATAATATTAAGGCTTGCTCAGGGCCCCCGAGCAGGACAGGGAGCCCTGCCCTGGGCCTGCCTCAACCCTGGGCTGGGCCTGTGAGCTGAGCAAAGCCTTTAAGAAAGGGTACACTCTGTCGTTTTTCTTCTTTGTGAAAACTCCTGCTTTCTACTCTGGAACTCAACCTCTTTCTTTGCCAAGAGCTTGTTTGCTGTCAATATTGTTCTGCTCAGACTAATTACTGGTTTCTGTATGTCGATGGATATGAAACTGTTACCTGTATTTCGGTTGGGCTTTGGGACCATCCTACTGGTCCTGTCTTAGGAACTCAAGTGGGTTTTTTCTACTATTTGAAGTGACTTGATATTGTTATCAGTTTCTTCTCAAATAGCCTGGTAAACAGCCTCCTGGTTGGGGCTGTAGCATTCCCCGCCTTCCCTCTCTGTACCCTCTACTCACTCCTTTCCATCTCTCCACAGCGTCTTCCTCCACTTGATGAAGGTGGACCCAGACTCCACCTGGTTCCTCCTGAACGAGCTTTACTGCCCCGTGCAGTTCACACCTCCCCACCCCAGCCTCCACCCTGTGCAGCTGCACGGGGCCAGCGGGCAGCAGAACCCCTACACGACCAACGTGCTCCAGCTGCTCAAGGAGCTGCAGTGACCCTGCTCCCCCACCACAGAGGCCACCGATCCCTCCCCTACTGCCAGCCAGAAGCTGGGCTGACCCCACCCCGGCCATAGGCGGTGGCAGCGGCAGCAGAGAAGGTGAATTAGTTAGCCAATCGATTTATAAATTGATCGATCACACAACTGCTTAGAAATGGATTGAAGGAAAGTAGCTGACTATTATTTATGTTTCATACCTTGTGTTGTCAAGTGACATTGTCTGGTGGCTCTAAGGGTTTAACCCCTTAGCCTACCATCTCTATAGCCCCAGCTCCCTCACAGGCCACACACACACACACACAAGAGGTCAGTTCCCCTCCATCTGCATACACCTCCCTGTCTTCAAATAATGAGATGGAACTAATTTGTTTTACCTAACCTGATCTTTGGGAAACAAACGGAAATAAAGACACTTCTTGGATGAAAAGTATGATCAAAAGCTCACTTTGAAGTTTTTTATTTAAACTGGGTGGTTTTTTTAAAATGAGTTTATATTCTTGAATGGTTAATATAGAACCATGGTATAAAATCCAAATCCAAGCAGTACAAAACAGAAAACAATGAAGAGTAAATCTCCCCCTCCCCATTTCCCAGCCGTCAGGTTTCTCTCTCCAAAGGCAACCACTCGTAACAATGTTTTGGTTACTTTTCAAGCAGGAGGTTAATTTTTTTTAACATTTTACTATGGGTAATAGTGTAAATTCCCATGTCCCCATGAACCTGGCTTCCCTGGCAGTCAGCATGTGGCCAGGCTTGCTTCCTCTGTGCCCCACCCATGTACCTCTCTCTCCACACCCCGGATTTTTTTGAAGCAAATCCCAGATGTTACATTGAAACTTTTTTTAAACGTACAACCACAATACCATTATCACACCTAACCAAATTAACAATGATCCTTTAATATTGTCAGATATTTTCAGTGTCTAAATTTCCCCAGTGTGTTTGGATCAGGATCCAAATAAGTGATATACATTGCTGGTATCAGTATATTCCCTAATAAATCTCTTTTAGGCCGGGTGCAGTGGCTCATGCCTGTAATCCCAGCACTTTGGGAGGCCGAGGTGGGCGGATTACCTGAGGTCAGGAGTTCGAGACCAGCCTGACCAACATGGAAAAACCCCGTCTCTACTAAAAATACAAAATTAGCTGGGCGTGGTGGTGTATGCCTGTAATCCCAGCTACTCAGGAGGCTGAGGCAGGAGAATCACTTGAACCCAGGAGATGGAGGTTGTGGTGAGCCAGGATTGCGCCATTGCACTCCAACCTGGACAACAAGAGCGAAACTCCATCTCTAAAATAAAAAATAAATCTCTTTTAATGTGTAGATTTCCCCCTCCACCTCTCTCTCATTTTCCTTGTAAGTTTTTTGGTGGAGAAACACGGTCATTTTTCCTACAGCATTTCCCACCGTCTGGATTTATTGATTGCATCCCTATGGAGGTCATTTCTTGGGCCCCTCCTCTCACCTGTGTTTCCTGGCCATTGGGAGGCAGAGTAAGAGTCGTGATCAGGATTGAGTCTCTTAGCTTTGTTTTTGGCACTTCTCCTCCATAGGTGGTGTTACGTACTTCCATCAGGAGGTATGTAAGTCTGATCTTACTGTGTTATTAGCAACCATGGTGATCTCACTGGAATCCACACACTCATTAGGGATTGCAGAGTAATGCTGTTCTAATTCTGCCATGCTGGCTTGCTGTTAACCAGAGTCCTTGTGTAAGGGGAACCTTCCCTTCATCAACCATCTGGTAACCTACCGGTACAGTTTGTATGGAAAAGGCAAGATGGCACCTGCCTGTAATCCCGGCTACTCGGGAGGCTGAGGAGGAGAATGGCATGAACCAGGGAAGGCGGAGGTTGCAGTGAGCAGAGATCGCGCCATTGCACTCCAGCCTGGACGACAGAGCAATACTTCGTCTCAAAAAGAAAAAAAAAAAGAAAAGAAAAGGCAAGATAAATACTCGATTTTTTTCTAGCTGAGAAATTTAAAACACACAGATTATGTAAATTGAGGTGCACATCCCACCCCAGGGCTCCCATGTATGCTGAAGGATCCCAGGGATGATGAATGCTTCCTCACAGGTGCATGGTGAGGCACCGGCTAGATCACAATTCCGGTGACATAGATAATCCCCAAACTCTTAAAAAGCCCAGAGGGTGCCTGGCATGGGGACATATTGGTGTGAGGGTCCCCAGCCAGCTCTGGAGAGGCCCCACTCAATTCCTTCTCCACTCCGCCCTGCAAGGGCCGAGTTATGTCCAGCTCCAGTCTCGGTGGCGGCAGCCTGGCTCTGTCTGGCTCCTGAGCCCTCAGGGAATCCTTCTCTTGGGGCTTTTTTCAGTTCTGCAGCCTGTAAAGTGGAGGGATTGGACCAGAGGGGGAGCTCTTCATCTGTTGGGATTGTGGGGACCCACTCCCCAGAAACTTGCTCCCGCTCCTCCCTTGTTACCCCCAGGAGGGCACTGCATCCTCCAAGACTGCAGTGGGCACTATCTCATCTGCTGAGGATGCTTCACTGACCTCACAAGATTCCATGTACAATTCCAGAGGCTTCACCTGTGACCCCGCAAGGACCCCAAGTTAAGAACCCCCTCAAAGAGCAAGATAATCACTTAACTCTCTTTGAGCTTTAAAATTCTGGGATGATTTCCTTTGGAAAAAGGGAGGGAAATGCCTCTAATTACGGAGATGGTAAAAGCATTCACAGCATTGTTCCTAATTCCACTGGGGACCCAAAGTGATAGGCTAATTCAGTCTCCAGATTCTGACAAATGAGAAAACAGGTCAGGGAGGTGGCATGACTTGCTGAGCATTACTTAGCTCTCCCGGTGAGATTAAAGTAGCCTGCCTTCGCAGAGCATCTGGGTGTGGCAAGCCGCGATGCTGTCCTGAGAGGCCAGGAAGATGTGCACACGCATCCTGATAAAAACTTGGACTCTGCGAAAGCTCTCCAGGAGATAATCAGCATAAGAGGATACACCATGGCTCTCCGAAAACCCACTTCTTCCTCAAAGAGTTAAGCTATCTTGAGTTGCTTTCAGATTCTTGCAGGCAGATTGTTGCACTTGATTTAAAAAAAAAAAAAATCTCATTAGAGTGCATCTCCAGTTATGATTATATTCAGGCAACTTTAATTTTGAACCTGTCCAGCTGACTCAGTCTAGTCCTTGTTAACATAAGCTTTGCAAAATACTCCATTCCCCCTGTTAAAACTTGTGGAGTAATAGGGGTTTCTTATTTCACTCAGGGCGCACCAGCACTTCAAGTATTGTTTGGGCTGGGGTTAGGGGTTGGTATAGAATGAATAAGTAGATACTGCAAGGCCTTGAATTTCAGCTTGAGATGTTTGAGCCGTGATCTGCAGGCTGTAGAAGGCTCCTGGAGGATGCAGGAAAGTATAGACCTGGACCCAGGGGATCCTTGGAGATGGCTGGAGGGGGGTGGCTGTGGTCTTCAGAAGGCACTGTGTTGTGGAAGGAGCATGGATGATTTGGAGTTCCTCAGCGCTGGGCTTCATTTCTGACTCCGCCTCTCTGTAACCGTGTGACCTTGGGCAAGTCATTTTACTTCCGAGCTGCATTTTCCCATCTCTGAATTAGAGCTGTTGCCACTGCCTCTTCAGGCAGCTGCATCAGAGGGGATGGATGCGGTAGTGTTTCTAAAGCATCTGACACTGTGCCTGGGGCTCCAGCAACATCTTTCCCCCGCTGCCCATGGCTTTGTTATGGCTGCAATACACACTCCTCTTGACGGTTACAGCCGAGGAAGTAGATGGTTAGGTCTCAGCATGTACCACCCAGAAACTAAAATAGAACCACGGTAGGGTGAGAGAATCAAAGAAGGCTTCTAGGAGGAGGTGACGTCCTAGTGGACAAGTAGATTTCAGCAGACAGAATAATGGGCATTCCAGACAGGAAAAATCACATGCCCAAAGAGCTGTGGGCATACCTGCCAGTATCTGTACACATCATAACTCGGTTGGGAGTGACAGGAGACCCAATTCAAAATTGGCTTGAGCAAAAAAAAAAATACCTTGGCACACAGAACGAAGAGGCCCCGCAGGCACAGCTCCCCCAGCCTGTCTGTCTTCTGATGCTGCTTTCCCCAGTGGTGGCTTCACTCTGACTCCAGGCTCCTGTTCCTTCAGCATCACACACCCAAGTGAATGTGCACCTCCTAACAGCTCTAGCCAAAGGCCTAGGATTGGGTTGGATTTTTAGAGATGGGGTCTTGCACTGTTGCCCAAGCTGACCTGGAACTCCCGAGCTCAAGAGATCCTCCCACCTCAGCCTAAATCCTAGGATTTGCTCTCATTGGCTCAGCCGGTGCTTTGCCCAGCCCCAAACCAAACTTGGTCCATCTACAACGGGTGTCAGCAACTTTCTCTGTAAAGGGCCAGAGTGAATCTATTAGGGTTTACAGGCCATACATAAAGGTCTCTGTGGCATCTTCTTTGACTTTTTTTTTCTTACAATCTTGTTGTTGTTGTTGTTGTTGTTGTTGTTGTTGCTGTTGTTGTTGAAACAGGGTCTTACTCTGGTAGCACAGGCTGGAGTACAGTGGTATGATCTCAGCTCCCTGCAGCCTCAATCTCTCTGGCTCAGATGATTCTCCCACCTCAGCCTCCCAAGTAATCTGGGTTTACAGGCGCACACCCCCATGCCTGGCTAATTTTTTGTATTTTTAGTAAAGATAGGATTTTGCTGTATTGCGAACCAGGCTGGTTTCAAACTCCTGGACTCAAGCAATCAGCCCACTTCAGCCTCCCAGAGTGCTGAGATTACAGGTGTGAACCACCGTGCTGGGCCGCAATCTTTTAAAAAACGGAAAAATTCTTTTTTTTTTTGAGACGGGAGTCTCGCTGTGTCGCCCAGGCTGGAGTGCAGTAGTGCAGTCTCGGCTCACTGCAAGCTCCACCTCCCGGGTTCATACCACTCTCCTGCCTCAGCCTCCCGAGTAGCAGGGACAACAGGCACCCGCCACCATGCCCGGCTAATTTTTTTGTATTTCTAATAGAGATGGGGTTTCACCGTGTTAGCCAGGATGGTCTCGATCTCCTGACCTCGTGATCCGCCTGCCTCGGCCTCCCAAAGTGCTGGGATTACAGGCTTGAGCCACTGCGCCTGGCCAAAAAAAAAAAAAAACGGAAAAGTTATTAGCTCAAGGGCCTCACAAAAAATAAGCCAGGGGCCTTTGTTTTTTTGTTCATTGGTGGTTTGTTGTTTTTGCTTTGCCCTCGGACCTTAGTTTGCCAACCCCTGAACTGCAGCAATCTCGGGGACAAGTCTGGAGACACCCACACCATATGGAGAAAGAGTTGAGGTGGAGTGGTTTCCCTAAAAGAAAGCACTGTGTTTGGTTACCAGGAAGAGAGATGCTGGGATCGGGGAGGGCATATATGACAGGCACTCACCACCCTGTATTTGTGGCCTGTGACACGTGTGGTGTGGCAGTCTGGGAGAGTGAATGTGAGGAGGTTGTGGGCGCTGAGGCCACATTTATGGAAGGCCTTGAATGCCAATCTGAGTATCCCAGCCTTAAGGGATCAAGAAGTGGCCTTGGAAGGTCCTTGAACAGGTGAATAATGTATTGAAAGCAGGATGTTAGGAATATTCATCTCGTGGCAGCATACGGGAGAAATTGGAAGGGAGAGAGACTGGCAATGAAATTGTATTTCTGAAAGTCCCAGGACGAGAAAATGTACCTCTTCCATCAACCCCGAACTGTTTGACATGCTGTGGTTCATGGGCAACTTGAGGCACATAAATATGTGATTTAAAGTTTAAAAGTAAGAAGTCAGATGAATGGAACCTCTGATGAGGCTTCCTCTGGCTTGTTCCGGAGAGTTGAGGAGCCCTAGAAATGATTTTCCGCAGCTCCAGCTGTGATGAGCAATGCAGGGTCCCTCTCCTTTTGTGTGGCTTACCCAGTCCTGTGCGTCGGGCTTGATTGGAAGCCAGGTGCCCGTACTGCCTTTCCTCCAGAGTAAGGAATAGAGGCCAAATTTCAGAAAATAATTCTGAGTGATGGTGGACTCTGTGGAAGCGTTGATTGCTTTATAAATGGCATGCTCCTCTCTGCGCCGCCCCCCCCCGCCCCCCCGCCCCCGTCTCCCCCCCCCCCCGCCCCCGTCTCCCCCACTCCACAACTGAAGTTTGGAGGCAGCGGCTTTTCAAATTACGCTTGAAAAGCAGCCTGATTTCCCACAGGAATCATCTCCTAGATTAGGAGCTGTTCTACCTTTTCTGACAGTTTTACCCAGAGTACAAAGCCAGTCTGCAAAGGACAAGGAGGGAGCAGTGCCCTCCTCGCTTCAAAGCTTTCAGCACCAACCGTTTATGAAAATGTCTCTCTCACTGCGGCCGTATCCCGGCATCTGGGGCTGCCTGTTTTTGCAGCAGGAAAGGGTTAAAAAACACTGATGAATGGCTGCCTCCACCACCCGCTTCCGTTTCCCCTCCTTATATAATTTGCCATTCTTTTTGCACAGCAGCTCCTGGGTCTCAACCTGCTCTCTCAATCAGTACCCTCACGTCCTCAGCTTCCTCCCACACAGGCGGACTCAGAAGTAAGGAAAGCACCTTTCAGAATCTCTGAGGCTGTTTCCAAGGAAAAAGATGGGTGGGGGGAGGCGGGGAGAAGAAGTAGTGGAGAAGAGTCAGAAGTTCCTTCATGAAATAAAACATGTTGCGTTACCTGGGCGTAGGTGTGGGGGAGGGATAGGCCTCAGCGCACCCCACCTCTTGTTAGCCTTCCTTCTCATTGTCTCATGGACCCCACCGGGTGCACTCAAGTGTTTCACCCCAAACCCTGCCCCAGTTCCCTGGAGGGAATCGAACTGTGCCACAGCTCACAGGTGACCTTGGGCGCTCTCTTCCCCTGCCTGTGCCTCAGCCTCCCCATCTACTAGGTAAAGGGTTTGAACCAATCAATCCCCAAGCATCGTTCCACCTCCTCAACATCTATAATTTGATAATATAATGTTGGAAAGTATATGGGGAGACAGGCATGTACATTGGCACAAGGTCTTTGGAGGTCAGTTGGGCAGTTATCGACCAAATTTGAATGCACACACTTTTGATCAGTAATTCTGCCTCTTAAGTATTTCATACTCACACATGGGCACAAAGATGTACACGCCTAGGCAGTTCACTGCAACATTGTTCCGAATTTTTAAAAATATTTTCACAAATATTGAATGCCTAGTATGTGCCAGGCTTTATGCTTGATACTCTTCCTTAATATCCAACGAATGGAAGCAAAAGATAGGAAATAACCTAATCATGGTGCTGAGCTCTTCATCCAGAAGAGACTGAAATGCCCCCCACAACACAGAAATTCTACTGAGCTATACTGAAGAGTGATACCTCAAATGTCATGAGGCCAGGCATGGTGGCTCATGCCTGTAATCTCGACATGTTGGGAGGCTGAGGCAGGAGGATTACTGGAGCACAGCAGATTGAGGCTGCGGTGAGCTATGATTGTGCCACTGCACTCCAAAGTCATGAAATATTACTGTTAACTATTCCTTAAAGTAAGTAGAAAATTAGAGGCCAGGTGCAGTGGCTCACATCTGTAATCCCAGCACTTTGGGAGGCCGAGGCAGGCGGTTCACCTGAGGTCGGGAGTTCTAGACTAGCCTGACTAGCATGGAGAAACCCTGTCTCTACTAAAAATACAAAATTAGCTGGGCGTGGTGGCACATGTCTGTAATCCCAGCTACTTGGGAGCCTGAGGCAGGAGAATCACTTGAACCCAGGAGGTGGAGGTTGTGGTGAGCCAAGATCACGCCATTGCACTCCCGCCTGGGAAACAAGAGTGAAACTCAGTCTCAAAAAAAAAAAAAAAAAAAAGAAAGGAAGAAAAGAAAATTACAAAGAACAGGGGAGGGAGGGAGGGATGGACTAGTTAAATGATCTCCAGTACATTTATATAACAAAATACTGTGCAACATTTTAAAAGAATAAAACAGGATGTAAGGGCGATCTGGCTGCAATATCCATCACCCCATTGATTGCCAGGGTTCATTCGGCTGATCTGGCTGGCTGGGCAGTTGTCCCCTTCCTCCCTCTCCACTCCATGTGTGTCCCTCCTGAAGCTGCACACTCTGTCGAAGAGGACGACCATCCCCAATAGAGGAAGACTGGTCTTCAGTCAAGGGTATATAAGTAGCTGAGCCCCCCTGCTAGAACCTCCAAACAAGCTCTCAAGGTCCATTTGTAGGAGAACGTAGGGCTCCAAGCTTCCAAGGCTCCAGACACATTCAAATGAGGCACTACCTGTGGTAGTCTGCCTTTGAAAGAATAAAAAATAAAATAGCAATAGCTATCAGAATTTTAAATGCACATACCCTTTGACTCAGCAATCCTGCTTTTAGGAATTTACTTGCCATGATCAAAGATGATGAATAAAGTGTTTGTTGATGCATTGTTTGCATTAATGAAAGAATGGAAACAACCTAAAAGTCCATCAAGAGAGTACTGGCTAAATAAGTGCCTCATAAACATGGGTAGTGTACCACATAGCCTTTCAAAATAATGAGGTAGTTCTTTGTATAGCTCCAAGATACATTATTAAAGAAAAAGACAAGCAGCGGCCGGGCTCTGTGGCTCATACCTGTAATCCCAGCACTTTGGGAGGCCGAGGTGGGTGGATCACCCAAGGTCAGGAGTTTGAGACCAGCCTGACCAACATGGCAAAACCCCATCTCTACTAAAAATACAAAAATTATCTGAGCATGGTGGCAGGTGCCTGTAATCCCAGCTACTTGGGAGGCTGAGGCAGGAGAATTGCTAGAACCCAGGAGGCGGAGGTTGCAGTGAGCCAAGATAGCGCCATCGCACTCCAGCATAGGCAACAGAGCAACACTCCATCTCAAAAGAAAAAAAGAAAAAGACAACCAGAACAATGCTGCTGCGTATGGGGAAGGGGGACACTTGATGTGTGGATTCTCTCTTAAAGGACACCCAAGTGGCAGCCTTCAGCTTCTAGGAAGGGTGACAGGATCAGTGATGAGAAGTCTTCTCACAAGTACCCCATACACCCTTGACATTTTTTTAAACCCTATTCATGTGTAGCTTATCCACTCACACAAAAAAAGTCATCAAAATAGAAGGCGTTTATGTGTCTATAATCCTATGGCAAACTCACATTTGGTATTAGGGGCCTAACATCATCTTGGGTCCCTCGCTTGTGCTTTGTGTTTCTCGAGGGGAACCAGGGCTGGGAGAAGGGGAAGCAATGCTTAATCCAAATAAGTAGCTGGGCACAGTGGCTCACGCCTGTAATCCCAGCACTTTGGGAGGCCGAGGTGGGTGGATCACAAGGTCAGGAGTTCAAGACCAGCCTGGCCAAGATGGTGAAACCCCGTCTCTACTAAACATACAAAAAAAAAAAATCAGCTGGGCGTGGTGGTGGGCGCCTGTAATCCCAGCTATTCAGGAGGCTAAGGCAGAGAATTGCTTCAGATCATACCACTGCACTCCAGCCTGGGCGACAGAGTGAGACTCCGTCTAAAAAATAATAATAATAATAATAATAATAAGCAAAAAATAAGCAAAGGAATCTTGGAGAGGATGCCTCTCAGGGAATGGGTTGTATCCCCGTGGGCATGTAGGAAGATGATCTCCCGCCCATGCCCTAGCTCATCTGAGCCCCCTCAGAACCCCAAGAGAGGCAGGTCAGGCCTCGGAGCTTTTCCTGACTACCCATGTTGAAATCAGGGCACTGCAATGCCGCCCTCCTCGCCACAGCTCTGCGTGGGGCTTGCAGCCTTTTTCTCATGTAGGAGTCATATTCCTTTCTGCATCTTCAGCACCTGACAGAGACACACGACAGGGTCATGACTTGCCGCTTCATCTCATGGTCATGATGACTGACATATCCAGTAACTCCTCCAGAGACATTAAGAGCAAAGACAGGATTCTAACAGGAGGCTACTGATCAGTTGCATGATCAGTTACAACAGGGTTTATGGAACAGGATCTGAAATCTGCTGGTTGGAAATTTCAACAAGTATTTTTCAAGGCTTTCTATGTGCCAGCCCCAGAGACAAAAAGACATGTATACTGCCTCTTAGGAGCTAGGCTTACAGGAGAGCTAAACAGGGCAAGTTCGTGTGAGAAGACAGCAATAAGTCTGCATTGGGAGGAGGTAGGGAGCGGCAGTTAAGCTCATGGGCTCTGGAGATAAGAAGGCCTGCCATGTGGCCTTGGGAAAGTCTCTTCAGGACTCTTAGCCTTGACGAAATGAAAATAAGAACAGTACCTCCCTGGGAGCATGGGACACCAGAGTGGTAGAGTGATAGACTCAGGGACCGGCTGGCCCCTGGGAGGTGCTCTATCAGAGTTGGTCACCACCATGAAGATGATGATATTCAAAAATATAAATGGCAGCCCAGAGGTTGAACCAAAAGGCAATTGGGAGGCTTCATGGAGGAGACACCACCAAGCTGGCATTGCAGTATTTGCCCATGAAGTACACACAGGGAAGGCCCGCTCTGGACAGAGGGAACAGCAGGTACAAAGGCTCAAACAACACATTTAAGGTGTTGCTCGTGTTGATGTAAGGTGGGGGCAGTGGGCAATGAAGATAAAGAAAAAGGTGAAACTTCAGGAAAGCAGGCCAGTCTGTTCAATACCCGAGAGGTGGGCCTGGGCTGTACATCTGGCGGGCACCCAATAGGTGCGTGAGTAATGGGTGGGTAGCATTGCCATAGGGAAGTTGTTCTCTGGGGCTTTTCTGCAGGGTGGAATAGGGTGGATGAGGAATGATGGGCAGAGCTCACCCTTGCCAGGCCACTCCCAGCCAGAGCTGAAGGGCCTGGTTCCTAAGGTCCCACTGGCAGCAAACACTAGGGTCCTAACCCAGGGTATTTCCAGCTTGTGAGCACCTGCTTTGCTGATTTCTGGAAAGTCTACACAAAAGAGGGGGTGCAGTCCTTGAGTTTACACTCCAGTGTGGGAGGCCAGACTTCCATGAGAAACATTTTCATTTAGTAATGGCTTTAATGAGTGCAGAACTTCCTGTTTTAAACAAACAAGTGATTAGCATTGACTATAGATGTGAAAATGGATCCTAATGAATTGCTAATTAGCCGCCTTCTCTTCCTGGGATCTTTAGCTGGTAAATTCCCTCTCTAGCTATAGGGAGCCTTAGTCGATCAGACTGGCATTGATTCATTCATTCATTCAACATACATTTTTTGAGTCCCTACTGTGTGTCACTGTAAACAAGAAAGGGAGGATCCCTTCCTCACAGTCTGATGGAGGAGACAGCATTAATCACCTAAACTTAAAGACCTATAATGACACACTTACAGGCCAGGGAGCTGGGACAATGTGCAACAGGAGGACCTGATCTTGCCCTGGGGTGGGAGGGGGCAAGAGGAAGGGGCATTTGAGCCAAGATCTGAAGAATAAGTAGAACTTAACTCATGGAAGGGGGAACAGAAAGAGTAGAAGAGTGGCTCAGACATCCAGAATGGCATATGCAAAGGTGTTGTGTTGAGAGGGAGCAGTGTGAGTCAGGAAAAATGAAGCCAGTGTAAGAGGTGTGCAAGAGGCGTGTGTGTGTGTCACAGAACGAGAGCATGTGTAATTGATGTTGGCTTCATCCTTTGTAGCAGACAGTAAGTACCCAGTGCCCACTCCACATCCGTCAGGGCTTACCACCTCGGTGTGCTCCAGCCAACTTCCAGCTGCCCTGCATTTGATTTCTTTGACTAAGGATTTTCTGCAGGTAAGGAAGGCCTTCTGTCTCCACGCTTGGCAGGCCAGAAGTCCTGGTGAATTAAGCAGGTCTTGGGAGCAACCCTCAGCCAATAACTGATGTGTAAAAATCACAGCTCCCCAGTGTAAGAGTTAAAGAAAGAGGAAAGAAACAGGAAATGAGGCTCAACAGTCAAAGACAGGTTTATCTTAGAGAAATAAACCTGAGAGGGGCTTCTGGCCGATTTAATGTTGAGCTGCATTTCATCTTTCTTTCCTCTTTCTTAAACTCTTAAACCCAACCCCTTGGGCAGGGTAACTTCAAGGTGTGTATTCTACACTGGCTCCCACAGTTCCCTAGTAGGACTGAGCCCCACTTGGGCACAGTGGTATAACTTCCTTGACCCTGCACTCTTTCCCTGTCTCACTTCCCCATGTCCCTACTGGTGCTTCCTGGGATTAGGTCCAAATGAACTACCTGCCCTCAATTCTTTGTCTCAGTACCTGCTTCTGGAAGAACTCATGATAAGATATCCTGGAAACAAAACACAGATACATTTCAAGTCCCTTCCACATCCTAGTTACCCTTGCCTGGATCCCCTCCTCTCTCTCACTTGCTTCCCTTACTGAGTGTATCTGTAGACCATGGTGGCCCAGCTGGGGTCTGCTTAGCACACCAGAGCTTCTTAAGGTAGGTCACTCAGAGGGAGCCATTTGGTTCCCAGAGAGGCCAGTGGTATATGTCCATGTCCCCATCCCATCATTAGCTCCCCCTTCTTTGAATGCACCATCCTTCAAATGCTCCCTGCCCCTTGTAGCTGAAGCAGACCACCTTGAGGAGGAATCCAAGTGGCTGGCCTGTGTGGCCAGGGGCAGGGACAAGAAGTGCTGAGTGAGACACCTTCCGTACTCACCAGCCTTGCTTTCTTTTGTGTATGAATTGAAAGGATTCTCCCTGGAGTTGAAAAATAAACATGTTTTCTGAATAATATGGCATATTGACCTCGAAGTCCCTACAGCAGTTCTGGACAAAGCCAGGCTCAGGTTAGGGCCTGCCATTATTATCATTCATTCAATAGAAGTGATTCATTGTCTGTCCTCCCCTTCTTAGCAACAGGGTCCTGGTATTTAGGCATACAGCTGATCCAAATAAAGGCCATGGTTTCCAGTTCTCCCTGCAGCTGGATGTGGCCATATGACCAAGTTCTGGCCCATGACAGATAAGCAGAAATGATCTGCAACTACAGCCAAGTCTCCATAAATACAGGGTGTGTTCTCTTCCCATGTCCTCCTTTCTGCTGGCTGAAGTGCATACTCAGTGATGGGAGGCAGAGTGGCCGTCTCGGGCTGTGAAGGGAAGCCAGACTAGAGTCAGCAGATATTGTAGTAACCAGGTAGAAATGCCAACTAGTTGAAAATTAAGTGTCTAATGAAACTTGGGGAAGGAGAAACCAGGGCTCCTAAAACTTCTTTTGATTAAATAAGATGCAGTAGGTCCAAACTTTGACCCAACACTTATAAGCTGTTAATGTCTGTCAGAGGCAAATCTTTTATTCACTGATTCATTTATTGAGCGGGTGCCAGGAGCCAAGCCCTGTGCTAGTCATTGGGGATGCAGCAGGAAACAGGACACTTGGAGTCTGTGCCCTCCTGGAGCCTTCATTACCATTTCTAGCATTTTATTCTAAAGTGTTTCTGCCATCACCTCCAGTCAAGACGGCATTGGGTTCATGCTTTAAAAATAACCTCTGCTCCCCAGCTGGAACTCGTACATTGTGGATGGGAATGCAAAATGGTATAGCTGCTTAGGAAAACAGTTTGGGAGTTTCGTATAAAGTTAAAGCAACCCCACTCTTAGGTGTTTGCCCAGGACAAATGAAAACATGTCCACACAAAGACTTGTATATGAATGTTCATAGCAGATTTATACGTAACAGCCCAAACTGGAAACAATTCAAATGTCTATCAATAGAAGAATGGTTAAAAATGGTTAAAAAATTGTGACATAACCATACAACAGAATACTACCCAAAAAGGAATACACATATTAAAAGGAATATCCATATTACTGGATATACACAGTAATATGGATTAATCTAAAAATCACTACATGTGATGAGATTAAATGGCAGATAGGAGGCCAGACTAGCTTGCAGCTCCCGCTCGGATGGACAGAGCAGCCAGTGGAGACTCACATCGTGAACTTTTGCTCCAAGAACTACTACAGGTACATACTAGGAAAGCCGAGAGAATCCACAGACCCTTTAAAGGAACTGGATCACTGCTGCAGGCTCCCTGAGATGCCAAAAACCTGTGAGTCTGCTTGCTTTCTCAACAGGGAGGCTCGTGGTCTGGGGCAAGTTCTCGGCCCTGGTCACCGGCTGCCTGGAAATAGACTCAGTGCTGTTGGAGGGGCATGGTAGGAGTGAGACCAGCCTTTAGGACTGCAGGCTGCATAGGAGTGGGTGAGGCCCATGACTGCCAGCTTTCCCTCATTTCCCTGGTGACCTGTATGACTCAGCAGAGGCAGCCATAATCCCCCTGGGAATATAACTCCACTGGACTGGGAAACAGTCCCCTATTCCCCACAGCAGCTGCAGTAAGCCCTGCCCAAGGAGAAGCTAAACTCAGACATGCCTTTCCCTGCCCCCTCCTGGTGGTCTTTCTCTACCTGCCCTGGTAACTGAAGACAAAAGTCGTAATCTCTTGGGAGCTCTGCAGCCCTGCCCACTGCCTGAGAATCCTGAATACTTAACCAGTTGTCTCTAGGGCAAGTTTGCTTCCTCCGTGTGGGACCGCAGCTGATGCACTCTTGAAAGCACCACCTCCTGGCTGGAGGCCAACCAACTCAAAACCAGCACTCTAAACAAAAACACAACCAAAGACCCTCACAGAGCCCACTTCACTCCCCTGCTAGCTCCACAGGAGCAGGTGCTGGTATCCATGGCTGCAACACCTGAAGATGGATCACATTACAGATTACAGGACTCTGCAGATGCTTCCCAATACCAGCCTAGAGCCCAGTAGCTCCACTGGGTGGCTAGACCCAAAAAAGCAAAAGCAATCACTACAGTTTGGCTCTCAGGAAGCCCCATCCCTAGGGGAAGGGGAAGAGCACCACATCAAGGGAGCACCCCATGGGGCCAAAGAGTCTGAACAGCAGCCCCTGAATCCCTAATCGTCCCTCTGACATAGTCTACCCAAATGAGAAGGAACCAGAAAAACAATTCTGGTAATGTGACAAAACAAGGTTCTTTCACACCCCCAAAAGATTATACCAGCTCACCAGCAATGGATCCAAACCAAGATGAAATCTCTGAATTCCCCCCAAAAAATTCAGAAGGTCAATTATTGAGCTAATCAAGGAGACACCAGAGAAATGTGAAGTCCAACTTAAAGAAATCAAAAACATGATACAGGAAATGAAAGAAAAATTCTTCAGTGAAATAGCACAAATAAAAAACAATCACAACTTCTGGAAATCAAAGACACACCTAGAGAAATGCAAAATGCACTGGAAAGTCTTAGCAATAGGATTGAACAATCAGAAGAAAAAACTACAGAACTCAAAGACCAGGCTTTCAAATTAACCCAATCTGTCAAAAACAAAGAAAAGAATTTTAAAAAATAAAGCCTCCAAGAAGTTTGGGACTATGTTAAACATCCAAACCTAAGAATAATTAGTGTTCCCGAGGAAGAAGAGAAATCTAAAGGTTTGGAAAACATATTTTAGGGAATAATTGAGGAAAACTTCCCCAGCCTTGCTAGAGATCTAGACATCCAAATACAAGAAGCTCAAAGAACACCTGGGAAATTTATCGCAAAAAGATCATCATCTAGGTACATAGTCACTGGGTTATCTAAAGTCAAGATGAAGAAAAGGATCTTAAGAGCTGTGAGACAAAAGCATCAGGTAACCTATAAAGGAAAACCTGTCAGATTAAAAGCAGATTTCTCAGCAGAAACCCTACAAGCTAAAAGGGATTGGGGTCCTATTTTTAGCCAGCTTAAACAAAACAATTATCAGCCAAGAATTTTGTATCCAGCAAAACTAAACTTCATAAATGAAGGAAAGATACAGTCTTTTTCAGACAAACAAATGCTGACAGAATTCACCACTACCAACCCAGCACTACAAGAACTGTTAAAGGAGCTCTAAATCTTGAAACAAATCCTCAAAATACACTAAAATAGAACCTCCTTAAAGCATAAATCTCACAGGACCTATATTACAATAACACAATGAAGAAAAAGGTATTTAGGCAACAAATAACAGGATGAATAGAATAGTACCTCACATCTCAATACTAACATTGAATGTAAATGGCCTAAATGCTCCACTTCCAAGATACAGAATGGCATAATGGGTAAGAATTCACCAACCAAGTTTCTGCTGTCTTCAAGACACTCATCTGACACATAAGGTCTCACATAAACTTAAGGTAAAGGGATGGGAAAAGATATTCCATGCAAATGGACACGAAAAGCAAGCAGGAGTAGCTATTCTTATATCAGACAAAACAAACTCTAAAGCAACGGCAGTTTAAAAAGACAAAGAGAGACGTTACGTAGATAAAAGGACTAGTCCAACAGGAAAATATCACAGTTCTAAATACATATGTACCTAACACTGGAACTCCCAAATTTATAAAACAATTACTACTAGACCTAAGAAATGAGATAGATGGCAATACAATAATAGTGGGGGTCTTTAATATTCCACTGACAGCACTAGACAGGTCATCAAGACAGAAAGCCAACAAAGAAACAATGGACTTAAATTACACCCTACAATAAATGGACTTAACAGATATTGATATTTACAGAACATTCTACCCAACAACTACAGAATATACATTCTATTCTTCAGCATATGGAACATTCTCCAAGATAGATCATATGATAGACCACAAAACAAGTCTCAGTAAATTTAAGAAAATCGAAGTTACATCAAGTGCTCTCTCAGACCACAGTGTAATAAAATTGGAAGTCAACTCCAAAAGGAACCCTCAAAACCATGCAAATACATGGAAATTAAACAACCTGCTCCTGAATGATCACTGGGTCAACAATGAAATCAAGATGGAAATTTGAAAAAATTCTTTGAACTGAAGGATAATAGTGACACAACCTATCAAAACCTCTGGGATACAGTGAAAGCAGTGCTAAAAGGAAAGTTGATAGCATTAAATGCCTACCTCAAAAAGTCTGAAAAAGCACACATAGATAATCTAAGGTCACAACTTAGATTATAAGATCTCCTAGATAATCTAAGGACAAACAAGAACAATCCAAACCCAAACTCAGCAGAAGAAAAGAAATAATGAAGATCAGAGCAGAACTAAATGAAATTCAAACAAACAAAAAAATACAAAAGATAAACAAAAAACTGGTTCTTTGAAATGATAAATAAAATTGATAGCCCATTAGCGAGATTAACCAAGAAAAGAAGAGAGAAGATCCAAATAAACTTAATTAGAAATGAAATGGAAGATATTACAACTGATACTACAGAAATACAAAAGATTATTCAAAGCTACTATAAACACCTTTATGCACATAAACTAGAAAACCTAGAGGAGCCGGGCGCGGTGGCTCACGCCTGTAATCCCAGCACTTTGGGAGGCCAAGGTGGGCGGATCATGAGGTCAGGAGATTGAGACCATCCTGGCTAACATGGTGAAACCCTGTCTCTACTAAAAATACAAAAAAAATTAGCCGGGCATGGTGGCGGGTGCCTGTAGTCCCAGCTACTCGGGAGGCTGAGGCAGAAGAATGGCGTGAACCCGGGAGGCGGAGCTTGAAGTGAGCCAAGATCGCACCACTGCACTCCAGCCTGGGTGACAGAGCTAGACTCCATCTCAAAAAAAAAAAAAAAAAAAAAAACCTAGAGGAGGCCAGACAGAGTGGCTTACACCTATAATCCCAGCCGACGCCAAGATTTGGGAGGCTGAAATGGACGGATCACCTGATGTCAGGAGTTCGAGACCAGCCTGGCCAACATGGTGAAACCCTGTCTCTACTAAAAATACAAAAATTGGCCAGGTGTAGTGGTGGGGGCCTGTAATCCCAGCTACTTGGGAGACTGAGGCAGAAGAATCGCTTGAACCTGGGAGGCGGAGGTTGCAGTGAGCTGACTGTGCCATTACACCCTAGCCTGGGCAACAAGAGCTAAACTCCGTCTCCAAAAAAAAAAAAAAAAAAAAAAAGAAAAAGAAAAAGAAAGAAAACCTAGAGGAGATGGACAAATTCCTCAAATTCCTGGAAATATGCAATCCTCCCTGATTAAACTAGGAAGATATAGAATCTCTAAACAGATCAATAACAAGCAGGGAGATTGAGATGGTAATTTAAAAACTGCCAACAAAAGAAGTTCAGGACCAAATGTATTCATGGTGAATTATATCAGACACTCAAAGAAGAATTGATACCAATTGTATTGACACTATTCCAAAAGATAGAGAAAGAGGGAATCCTCCATAAATCATTCTATGAAGCCAGTATCACCCTGATACCAAAACTAGGGAAGGACAAAAGAAGAAAAGAAAACTACAGACCAATAACCCTGATGAACATAGATGCAAAAACCTCAACGAAATACTAGCGAACTGAATCCAACAGCATATCAAAAAGATAATCCACCATTATCAAGTGGGCTTCTTACCAGGAATACAGGGATGGTTTAGCATACATAAGTCAATAAATGTGATAAACCACATAAACAGAGAAACAAAAATCACATGATCATCTCAATAGACACATAAAAAGCATTTGACAAAATCCAGCATCCCTTTATAATTAAAACCCTCAGCAAAATTGGCATAGAAGGGACATAAGGTAATACAAGTCATCTACAACCAACCTATAGCCAACATTATACTGAATGGGGAAAAGTTGAAAGCATTTCCCTTGAGAACTGGAACAAGGCAAGTATGCCCATTTTCACCACTTTTATTCAACACAGTACTGGAAGTCCTAGCCAGAGAAGTTAGACAAGAGAAAGAAATCAAAGGCATCCAAATTGGTAAAGAGGAAATCAAGCTGTCACTATTTGCTGGTATGATTTGTATACCTAGAGAACCCTAAGAACTAATCCGAAAAGCTCTTAGAACCGGTAAATGAATTCATCAAAGTTTCAGGATACAAAATTAATGTACACTACATCAGTAGCTCTGCAATATACCAACAGTGACCAAGCTGAGAATCAAATCAAGAACTCAACCCATTTCACAATAGCTGCAAAATAAAATAAAATACTTAGGAATATATTAATACCTAACCAAAGACGTGAAAGACCTCTACAAGGAAAACTACAAAATACTGCTGAAAGAAATCACAGAGAACACAAACAGTGGAAACACATTGCATGCTCATGGATAGATAGAATCAATATTGTGAAAATGACCATACTTCCAAAAGCAGTCTACAAATTTAATGCAATTCCCATCAAAATACTACCATCATTCTTCACAGAACTAGAAAAAACAATCCTAAAATTCATATGGAACCAAAAAAGAGCCTGCATAGTCAAAGCAAAACTAAACAAAAAGAACAAATCTGGAGGCATCACATTACCCGTCTTCAAACTATACTACAAGGCAAAAGAAATAATCAGCAGAGTTCACAGACAACCCACAGAGTGGGAGAAAATCTTCACAATCTATACATCTGATGAAGGACTAATATGCCGAATGTACAAAGAACTCAAACAAATCAGCAAGAAAAAAACAACCAATCCCATGAAAAGGTGGGCTAAGGACATGAATAGACAATTCTCAAAAGAAGATATACAAATGGCCAACAAGCATATGGAAAAATGATCAACATCACTAATGATCAGGGAAATGCAGATTGAAACCACAATGCGATACCACCTCACTCCTGCAAGAATGGCCGTAATAAAAAATAAAATAAAATAAAATAGATGTTGGCATGGATGTGGTGAAAAGGGAACATTTGCACTGTTGGTGGGAATGTAAACTAGACAGTGTGGAGATTCCTTAAAGAACTAAAAATAGATCTACCATTTGATCCAGCAATCCCACTACTTAAGTATCTACCCAGAGGAAAAGAATTTATCATGCAAAAAAGATACACACACATGCTTATAGCAACATAATTTGCAATTGCAAAAATATGGAGCCAGCCCAAATGCCCATCAATCAATGAGTGGATAAAGAAAATGTGGTATATATATATATCATGGAATACCATAAAAAGAAATGAAATAATGGCATTCACAGCAACATGGATGGAATTGGAGAGTATTATTCTAAGTGAAGCAACTCAAGAATGGAAAACCAAGCATCATAGATTCTCACTTATACGTGAGAGTTAAGCTATGAGGCTACATAAAGGTGTAAGAATGATACACTGGACTCTGGAGACTCCAGGGAAAGGGTTGGGGGTGGTGAGGGATAAAAGACTACACATTCAGTACAGTGTACACTGCTCGGGTGATGGGTGTACCACAATCTCAGAAATCACCACTAAAGAACTTATTCATGTAACCAAACACCACCTGTTCCCCAATAACCTATTGAAATAAAAAATATAAATAAAAATATAAAAAATAAAAATCACTACATTTAGAAAAAGAAGCCAGACACAAAAGAATACATACTGTATGATTTCATTTATATGAAATTCTAGGAAAGGCAAACTAATGTATAGAAAGCAGATCGATGGTTACTTGGGGCTGGAGAAGGGGATTATTAACTGCAAAGGGCACAAGGGAAGTTTTTGGGTGATGAAAATATTCTTTTTCTGATTTTAGTGGTGGTTACATGATTGTATGTATTAACCAAAACTCATTGAATAATACACTTAAATTGGTGATTATGTTGCATGTAAATTATACTTTAACAAAACTGATGTTAAAGAAAATAAGTGTCCTGCTGGGCACTTCCTTGTTTTTATCTAGAATTCTGGTTCCACTATTTATCACAAAATTGAATATGCATCTAATCAGAAATTAGATTTACCAATATTTGAACACTTTCTGTACTTAATGTTTTTCTTCTTTCACTTTTCCTTCTGCCAAAGTATATGCTTTAGTAAACTTTTCATGATGGTATGGGTAACTTGATTTATGAAACTTTGAAAATGTCTTTAATTTTTCTTCTTCAATGTTTATTTAGCTTTGTATTGAAGTAGGTTGATAGTATCTTTCCCAGAGCGAGACTCTATCTCAAAAAAAAAAAAAAAAAAAAAAAAAAACCACCAAAAGAAAACAGTTAATTTTGTCTGTTTTTGTTTCATAACTTTTCTCTTTTTACAAGTCATTCCTTCGTTTACCTTTGCTAGGATCTTAAATGTATTTTAAAGTCAGTTCCACATTATTTATCTGGAGCAATCTGGAACTGAATTTATGAAATCACTTATCACTAATGAATCCATCTGTTCAGAGTTGAATTTGTTGGCTTTCTTTTTTTTTTTTTTTTTTTTGAGACGGAGTCTCGCTCTGTCGCCCAGGCCGGACTGCGGACTGCAGTGGCACAATCTCGGCTCACTGCAAGCTCCGTTTCCCGGGTTCACGCCATTCTCCTGCCTCAGCCTCCCCAGTAGCTGGGACTACAGGCGCCCGCCACCGCGCCCGGCTAATTTTTTGTATTTTTAGTAGAGACGGGGTTTCACCTTGTTAGCCAGGATGGTCTCGATCTGCTGACCTCATGATCCACCTGCCTCGGCCTCCCAAAGTGCTGGGATTACAGGCGTGAGCCACCACACCCAGCAAAATTAACTGTTGATGTGAAAAAGAAACTATTTGAAATCCTAAAAGTGGGCTGGGTACAGTGGCTCAGACTGCACCAAGATCATGCCACTGCACTCCAGCCTGGGCGACAGAGCAAGGCTTCGTCTCAAAAAACAAAAAGAAATCCTATGGCTGGACATGGTGGCTCACACCTGTAATCCCAGCACTTTGGGAGGCTGAGGAGGGCAGATCACGAGGTCATGAGATCGAGACCATCCTGGCTAACACAGTGAAACCCCGTCTCTAATAAAAATACAAAATATTAGCCAGGCGTGGTGGCAGGCGCCTGTAGTCCCAGCTAATTGGGAGGCTGAGGCAGGAGAATCGCTTGAACCCGGGAGGCGGAGGTTGCAGTGAGCCAAGATCGCGCCACTGCACTCTAGCCTGGGCAACAAGAGCGAAACTCTGTCTCAGAAAAAAAAAAAAAGAAAGAAAGAAAAGAAAAAAAAGGAAAAAGAAATCCTAAAAATAAAAAAAAAGATTATAATTGAAGTATCAAATGGGATAAGACACAGTTAAGGGAACAATTAGTGAATTAAAAGATATTTCTGAGAAATTCACCCAAAGCAACACAGAGAGAAAAAGAAATGAAAAACATGAAAGTGCAGCTAAGACATAGTCAACAGATTAAAATGTTTCATCATATACATAACAGAAATACTGGAAAGATAGAATAAAGAATGAAATGGAGATGTAATATGTATGAGATAATGGCTGAGACTATTTCAAAATAAAAAAGTCCTAAGACGGAAAACACATACCATGTGCTAACATTGCAATGATGAAATCAAAGATAAAGAGATAAATCTCAAGAGTTACAAGAGATTAAAGACCAATTGCCTACAAAGGAATGCCAGTTGAACTGAACAGATTTTTCATTAGCAATAAGGGATGGCATACACAGAGAAGTAATATCATGAACATGCAGAGGGAAAAATACTATCAACCTACTTCAATACAAAGCTAAATGAACACTGAGGAAGAAAAATTACAGACATTTTCAAACTTTCATAAACCAAGTTACCCATACCATCATGAAAGGATTACTAAAGCATATACTTTGGCAGAAGGAAAAGTGAAAGAAGGAAAATGTTAAGTACAGAAAGTGTTCAAATATTGGTAAATCTAATTTCTGATTACATACATATTCAATTTTGTGATAAATAGTGGAACCAGAATTCTAGACAATAACAAGGAAGACAGCTGGGCATGGTGGCTCACACCTGTAATCCCAGCACTTTGGGATGCCAAGGTGAGTGGATTACCTGAGGTCAGGAGTTCGAGACCAGCCTGACCAACATGGTGAAACCCCATCTCTAATAAATACAAAAAATTAGCTGGGCATGGTGGCACATGGCTGTAATCCCAGCTACTTGGGAGGATGAGGCAGAAGAATTGCTTGAACCTGGGAGGCGGAGGTTGCAGTGAGCCAAGATTGTGCCATTGCACTCCAACCTGGGCAACATGAACAAAACTCTGTCTCAAATAAATAAATAAATAACGAGGAAGACAGAGTGAGGGGAATTCAATTGGTAGTGACATTATGTTCAAGGGATTGTCTTGTCAGGAGGAAAATAGAGATACTGAATAATTTTACACTGTTGGGAAAATGTATAGCCAAGTAACTATGTTAAAAATTAAAACAAAACCACTAAAAGAAATGTGATATATAACAGCAGTCCCCAGTTTTTTTTGGCCCCAGGGACTGGATTCATGGAAGACAATTTTTCTGTGGACTGGTGGGGGTGGGTGTGTGTGTGTTGGGGGATGGTTTTGGGATGACTCAGGTGCATTATATTTATCATTAGATTCTCATAAGAAACACGCAACCTAGATCCCTCATGTGCACAGTTTACAATAGGGTTTGTGCTCCTATGAGAATCTAATGCCACTGCTGATCTGACAGGAGGCAGAGCTCAGGCAGTGATGCTCCCTTGCCTGCCACTCACTTCCTGCTGTCTGGCTCATTTCCTAACAGGCCATGGACCAGTACCAGGGGTTGGAGACCCCTGATATATAGCATTCAAATCAGTAGGGAGGAAAAGGGATGGGGTGATAAGGAGCTCTATCCATCAAAAGTAAAGAAGGAAGAAAAAAATTAAAGTAGCCACATATGCCCTCCACCCTCCACCCCCCAAAATATCACTGTAATAGAAAACATACACACACAGAAAGATGTTAGAAAATTAGTTCAAACAAATCAGTAATCACGATAAATGTAAATGGATTAAACTTGCCTCTTAGAGACTATCCATGAGATTTTTAAAAATCAAAATCCAGCTGTAAGTGGTGTGTAAGAGATATACTTAAGATGATCATACAGAAATACTGAAAATAGACAGAAAAAGATATCCCAGGAAAATACTAACCAAAGAAGACTAGACTAACAATATTAATGTCAGGCAAAATAGAACATAATGCAAAAAGCACTAGGAGGGATAAAGTGGGTCATTATATTTATGATAAAAGCAAGAATTCCACAAAGAAGGTAAAAAACCATAAACTTACAGGATTCCCTAGCATTTGGATGGAGTTCTTTTGTAGCTACCACTTATTCAAGGATTGATTGTTCATTAAACTGAATTTTAATGCAAGCCTAAGTCCCTTAATGTGGAAAAGGATGAGGTATGAGGACAAAGGGAGATTAAAAAATAAGGTTGCTTACTAAATTATTAACCATAGAGCTATGGGCTAAATCAACATAACTGCAACTAGAACAATAAAGACCCAGCACACGCTAAATCACTTATGGTACATTTGCATATTAAATTGGAACATTTATATAGATGTAGCCTAGAAAATGGCCTTTATTAAAATGTGCCCACAGTTAACACTTTCAGAAACCAAACTCATGTGGCTCCAAAGGCAACTCAGCAAGCCTCACCTTCTGCTTGGGAGCAGGGGTGGGGGCAGTGAAAGGGATGACTTGCAGATGAAGGAGATAATGGAGGCTCAAGAAACCTGGGGCATTTGACAAAAATCACAAGCAATGACCCTGTGAACAAGAAAGAGAAAGGAGCTGGATGAGGCACAATTAGGTAAATTTGTCTTGAGCCCCGCAGGGCAGCTGATTAATAGATGCTGTTAAGCAGGAGGAATGTTCTCAATTGTAGAGTTCTATAACCCAGACTCAAATCCTGCTCCCGTCACATATTTACCAGCTGGATGACTTTGGTAAGATTTTTTTCTTTATTTTTATAGTTACCAGTCTCTCCAGAAAGGGATCATCGCCTGTGTCAAAGGTTATTGTGAGAATCAAATGATATAACTCATAAAACACTTAGCACACCATAAGCACTGACAAGTGATAGTCCCCTATTTAAAGAACAGAGAGAGGGTTTAGAAGCCACATGTATGAAACAGGTTTCAGAGTTTTGGTTGGCATAGATTTCAGCAGCATAAGAAAGTAGCTTATAACTTGGCCTGCAATAATAGGAGCATGCTATCAGTATTGAAGGAGGTGATAGCTCTGCTCTGCTGAACTTGATTAGTGGTTTTATCTTGAGGAACTATGTTTTCATAGGGACCTAGACCAGTGGTTTTCTTTCTTTCTTTTTTTTTTTTTTTAGACAGAGTCTCGCTCTGTCGCCCAGGATGGAGTGCAGTGACGTGATCTCGGCTCACTGCAAGCTCCGCCTCCCGGGTTCACACCATTCTCCTGCCTCAGCCTCCTGAGTAGCTGGGACTACAGGCACCCGCCATGACACCCGGCTAATTTTTTGTATTTTTTAGTTGAGACGGAGTTTCACCATGTTAGCCAGGATGGTCTTGATCTCCTGACCTTGTGATCCGCCTGCCTCGGCCTCCCAAAGTGCTGGGATTACAGGCGTGAGCCACCATACCCGGCTGACCAGTGGTTTTCAAACTGTTGTCTCCAACACCAGCAGCATCAGCATTATATGGGAATTTGTTAGAAATGCAAATTATTGGACACCACTCCAGTTCTACTGAATCAGAAACTCTGCAGTGGGGCCCAGAAGTTTGCATTTTAACAAGCTAATTTTAACAAACAGCATGATTCTGATGCATGCTAAAGTTTGAAAACCACTGACCTGGATAGACACACGTAGTAGGGATGGATAAAGGTCTCAAAACCATGCCTCTTGAGTCTAGTTGAAGGACCTGAAGATGTTCAACCTCAAGCAAAAAAGATCTGACCAATCTGAGTAAGGATCAGATAAAAGAAGATGCCAGCTTTGTTCTCTGTCAACCCAGAGATAGGACCAAGAGTGGAAAACACTGGGCAACAAAAATAGCATGATGGATTAGAGAAGGTGCTCTAGGCTGCAAGTAACAGACAACTGACCCAAACTGTACTTCATTGTAAGAGATGTATCCATTGACAACAGGAGTCCAAAGGTAGAGTAGTTCTGTGTCTGGCTAAGCCACCAACTCAACTGTGTCCTCAAAGACCCAGGCTTTTATCATCAATCATCTCTGCCGTCTTCAGTAGGTCAGCAGCTCTCCTCATGGGTGCCTATCAGTGGAAGAAACCCCCAGCCTAACATGGTCAGACACCAAGAAGCAGAGGAGGAAAGCATGTCTTCCTTGTGTCTCCTTTTAAAAGTTAAGAAACTTTTTCCACGAGGGACTCCCCCTTCCCTTCAGCAGATGTCCCCTCAGATCACAAGAAACCTTTTCCAAGAGGGACTCCCTTTTCCTTCCAGCACATGTGCCCTCAAATTTCACCTCAGGTCATATAACACTTGTAAGCCAGTCCTTAGAAAAATGAAAGAAAGATGAAAAAAGCAAGAAAAATGAAATTGTAGGATTGGCTTAGACCAAGGCTTATCAACCTCTTCTGTTTAGTGGACCCGTTGGCAGTCTGGTGAAGCCTATGGATGGATGCCTTCTCATAATACTGTTTTAACTACATAAAATAAAATGAAAAATAAATAAACAAAATGATAGAATTGCAAAGAAAACTAATTATATTGAATACAGTTTTCAAAATATATTTTTAAAAGTATGTTACAGGAACAAATATGCTTCTTTATTAGCATGTTAAATAAAATCTAGCAGCTGATCTAATAACTATAATTTTGAAGCAGCAATGAGTGTAAACAATACTGTGAGATACCTGCAACAAATGTTTTGTGATATGAAAAAATATTTCACTTCTTTTGGTGACAAAATCACAAGTACTGCTAATGCAACTATGATTTGTTCCTTACATTCATAAGAGAAGCAAATGCTAAATTTCAGTTAAATGTTAGTGAAAATAAAGGTGTAGCTTCTTTTCCTTCTCCCCCATCCAAGTTTGTGAATCCTATGCATTCCATCCACAGACTCCTTGGTTGAGGTAGTCTGTGGACTGCATGTTAAGAGCCCCTGGCTTAGACCAATCAAGATACACACGCTGAGAGACTAGGCAAGTCTTTTCTGAGACAAGTGGTCTGAAAAGAGTGAAAAAAACCTAAACTAATGGGACTAAATCAAGAAGAAAAAAAAAAAAGAGGAGGAGAGGAGGAGAGGAGGAGAAGGAAAAAAAAAGAATTAGGATTGGGGAGAGGGTGGGAGAGGCTGGAGGCAAAGTAGGACATAGCTCCAGGGTCTGCTCTAGGTCGGGTCAGCAAGGGCTGTTTTCAGAAGGAAAATGCATCTCATCCCTGAAGGGAGAGACATTGTCAAAGGGACTCAGACACCAGATGGTGCACATACTAGGATTCCTGCCAACCCTGGCATTCTTTCATTTCCCCCATTTTATTTACTTTTGTTTCCCGATTGGTTCTCTTTAAATATTTATAGATGTTTCAAGTTACAGATGTAATCCTTGCCCTTTACAAATAGCCTCCTAGGATGTATGTATTTCTTCTATCCCACTTCTCAGAAATGACCACAGTGCTCAGCGTGGAGTCTGTCTTTTCCAGTCACTTGTTATGCACAAGTGATTTCCAATACCTCACAAACTTTAGCATGAAGGAAACTTATCATTAATGGCCAGGCACAGTGGCTCACGCCTGTAATCCCAGCACTTTGGGAGGCTGAGGCGGGAGGATCACATGAGGTCAGGAGTTTGAGACCAGCCTGGCCAACATGGTGAAACCCCCTCTCTACTACAAATACAATAATTAGCCAGGCGTGGTGTTGTGAACCTATAATCCCAGCTACTTGGGAGGCTGCGGCAGGAGAATCACTTGAAACCGGGAAGCAGAGGTTGCAGTGAGCTGAGATTGCACCATTGCACTCCAGCCTGGGCAACAAGAGTGGGACTCCATCTCAAAATAAATAAATTAATTAATTTTAAAAAAGAAACTTATCATTAATGCAGATCCCCCAGGCCCTGCTCGTCCCACTCCCCATGCTGGTAAATGAGAGCAGCCTCACTGTGCTAGATGCTGAGCTCCGTGTCCCCTCAAATTCTCCAGGGAAACCGAAGTTCAAATGGGAGGAAGTGGATCAAATGCCATATACCTCAAAGGTGGCAGAGCTGGGATTCGAACCCATGTCTATCAGACCCCAAAGCCCCTGCTCTAAATGTTATACCTGTTGGCTTCCAGGGCTACACCTGAAGGTGACTAAGGCAAAGTACTGAGTTTCATTCCAAAAATGTTTTCCTTTTGTCTGGAAGGTGGTGGTGGGGTGGGGTTGAGGTGGGGAGTACAGACATAGTCCTAGAACCTGGCTTAAATGGTGCCAGCTTGAAATGAACATTCATACTGAAGTGTTTGTGTGCCTCATCAATCGGGTTTGAGTCTCCTAAAACATTCACAAGAGACTCCAGAAGTATATTCAAAGTCAGCATTACAAACAAAAGAAGCATTCTCATTAAAGTTAAAAGCAAGACAAAGATGTTCTAAAGCAGTTCTATCATTTAACATTGTCTTGGAGATACTGGCCAATTCAATTAGTCCAAAGAAAGAAATAAAAAGTATATAGATTTGGAAAGAAATGAGGGAGATCATCTTGCTTGCAGATATCAGGTACCTGGTGGGGGAGGGAGGAATCAAGTGAAAACCAGTGCAAGCAATACTGAGTCAATAAAGTGGCCGATACGTAAGCTAAAATACAGAAGCCAATAGCCTTCACAGTTATACAAAGAACAATTAGTTAGACCACGGACCGGTACCAGTTTGTGACCTGTTAGGAACCGGGCCATATAGCAGGAGGTGAGCAGCAGGCAAGTGAGCATTATCGCCTGAGCTCCGCCTCCTGTCAGATCAGCAGGGGCATTAGAGTCTCATAGGAGCGTGAACCCTATTGTGAACTGCGCATGTAAGAGATCTGGGTTGCGTGCTCCTTATGAGAACTGAATGCCTGATGATCTGAGCTGGAAGAGTTTTATCCCCAAACCATACCCCACCCCGTGCCCCACCACCCGGTCCACGGAAAAATTATTTTCCAAGAAACCGGTCACTGGTGCCAAAATGGTTGGGGACTGCTGAGTTAGAAGACATAATAGAAGAAAACAGTTAATTATAATAGTAACAACAAAAAGTATTTAGGAATTAATTCAACAAAAATATGCAGGGTGTCACCCACAAGACCACCAGGATGGCTAAATAGGAAGGAAAGCTTTATTGGTGATATCAGTTTGCATACCAGGAAGAGAAAGTCTCTAGCACAGGCCAAAGGTGCCCTCTCTTCAAAGAGGAGAAGTACGGGTTGGGTTTTACGACTCACAGTGCTGGTATTGTACATATTCAGCAGGTTTAGGGGAAAAGCTGTACGTATTTATGAGGGGAGCCGAGTGCATGCATAATGGGTAAGCATACATATAACATACATCCCATGTTCACTTTAGGGTGGGTTGTTTGTTTGTTTGAGATGGAGTCTCGCTCTGTCACCCAGACTGGAGTGTAGTGGCGTGCTCACTGCAACCTCCGCCTCCCAGGTTCAGGCAATTCTCCTGCCTCAGCCTCCCGAGTAGCTGGGATTTCAGGGGCCCGCCACCACGCTGGCTAATTTTTGTATTTTTGGTAGGACAGGGTTTCACCATGTTGGCCAGGCTGGTCTTGAACTCCTGATCTCAAGTGATCTGACCACCTTAGCCTCTCAAAGTGCTGGGATTACAGGTGTGAGCCATCGCACCCGGCTAGGGTGGGTTTTAGCATGAAAAGGAAGTGGAATGTGGCTCTGTTTATCAAAAGATGAAGTATAGGACACAAAGACAGTATGTTTCTGTGTTTGTTTGTTTGTTTTTTGACATAGCATCTTTCTCTGTCGCCAGGCCGTAGTGCAGCGGCGCGATCTCAGCTCACTGCTACCTCCGCCTCCCGGGTTCAAGCAATTCTCCTGCCTCAGCCTCCCGAGTAGCTGGGACTACAGGCGCCCGCCACCATGCTCCGCTAATTTTTGTATTTTTAGTAGAGATGTGGTTTTACCATGTTGGCCAGGATGGTCCCGATCTCCTGACCTTGTGATTCACCCGCTTCGGCCTCCCAAAGTGCTGGGATTACAGGCGTGAGCCACCGCGCCCTGCCTGTTTCTGTATTTTAACTTATGTGTCCAGCCACTGTATTGAATTTGTATTGCTTGTACTGGTTTTTCACCTGATTCCTCCTTCCCCCACCAGGTACATGGTATCTGCAGCCTCTATAAACTGCTGAAACTGGCTTAAGGTCTGCAGTTGCTTATCAGAAGATAATGATTGTAAGCTGGGTGCTATGGCTTACGCCTGTAATCCCAGCACTATGGGAGGCCAAGACGGGCGGATCACTTGAGCTCAGGAGTTTGAGACCAGTCTGGCCAACATGGCGAAACCCCATCTCTACGAAAATCACAAAAATTAGCCAGGCTTGGTGGCACAGGCCTGTAATCCCAGCTAACTTGGGAGGCTGAGGCAGGAGAATCTCTTGAACCTGGGAGGTGGAAGTTGCAGTAAGCCGAGATTGTGCCACTGCACTCCAGCCTGGGTGACAGAGCAAAACCCTGTCTCAAAAAACAAAAAACAAAAAACAAAAAATGAATGATTGTAAAGCAGATCCTCTGTCCAGTCAGAGTTGCAGTGGTCTGGGTTGTAAATCAGAACTGATAGCTCCGTTAGTTAGGCAGTTTAGCCATAGGAATTTAAAATTTTGCCAGGCCAGCCAGCCCCTGAACCCTCAACCCCTAAGTAACTGTTTCCTTAACCTTTGGGTGCGTCTTAGTTGATGAAGGGGCGCATCACAAAGGGCGATAGGAAGAAAACTTCTAAATGCTCTCTCCTCTGCATCATCTTATAAAAAATTTTAAACATGCATAAAAGTTGAAATAATTTGGTAGAGAGAACATTCTTATACTCACCATTTTGATTCTAAAATTAACATTTTCTATATTCCACACATACTGTCTATTATCAATCCATACCTCTATCACATATCTATGCGTATCTACTGCCCTCTAGTCATGCAAAAATTTATCTTATTTTTAAAATACTCTTTGGAGAAGCACAAAAATGAAGTCTTGTTTTTTTTTTTTTTGAGAGGGAGTCTTGCTCTGTCACCCAGAAAGCAATGGCATGATCTCGGCTCACTGCAACCTCCGCCTCCCGGGTTCAAGCGATTCTTTCACCTCAGCCTCCCAAGTAGCTGGGATTACAGGTACCTGCCATCGTGCCTGGCTAATTTTTGTATTTTTACAGAGACTGGTTTTCACTATGTTGGCCAGGCTGGTCTTGAACTCCTGACCTCAGGTGATCCACCTGCCTTGGCCTCCCAAAGTTCTGGAATTACAGGCATGAGCCACCGCGCCCAGCCAAGAAGTCTTAAAATAAGAGGGAGTACCAAGGAGGAGAATGTTGAGACAACATAGAAAGACATTGTTATAGGCCAGGCATGGTGGTTCACACTTATAATCCCAGTACTTTGGGAAGCTGAGGCAGGCAGATCACTTGAGCTCAGCAGTTTGAGACCAACCTGGCCAACAGGTGAAATGCCAGGTGTGGTGGCAGGTGCCTGTAATCCCAGCTACTCAGGCGGCTGAGGCAGGAAAATGGCTTGAATCTGGGAGGTGGAAGTTGCAGTGAGCCAAGATCACGCCACTGCACTTCAGCCTAAGTGACAGGGTGAGACTCCATCTCAAAAGAAAAAAAAAAAAGACATTGTCATAAATATATAAGTTTTTCCTGTGTTAATTTATGAATTAACATGATCCCAACTGAAATGACAATTTTTTAAGTGGATAAGATTATTCTAGTTCACATGGAAAAGCAAAGATGAATCCAGGCAAGTTGTGGAAATAAAAATTAAACAGAAAGTGGAGTCAAAAACAGCCTTAAAATGTATTAAAATAAGTTATAAAACTATAATAATTTAAACAGTGTGGTACTGACCTATGAATGAGATCAAAGGAGTAGGAAAGAAAGTTGAGAAGTAGTCCATTTATGTGGGAGCTTGGAATATAATAATGGTAGCATTTCAAATCAGTGGGGAAAAAATAAATCATGCCAAGATGAGATAGAAAAAGTTTAAAATCTAGAAAACAATAAAATTGGGTCCCCCCTCATACCTTAAAACAATTTCAATTCCTGAAGGATCAAATTTACATTTATATAAATGAAAGGAAACACAGAAATGATAAAATGGAAGATTAATATGTACAAACTACTTAACAATTAAAAACATTTACTTGACAAATACAAAAAGACACTGTAAACAAAGCCAAAAGACCAAAAAAAAAAAAAAAGTTTTCAATTCATCTCAGTAGGAACTCCTACAAATCAATAAGATGGCAATCAACAAGCCAGTAAAAAGATTATGAGGTGTCAGTTCACAGAAAATGGAGCACATGTGGTTTGGTTCTTAAACAAGCAAAAAGATGGCCAATCTCACTCCCAGGAGAAATGTAAATTGAAACCACTGTAAGATTCCATTTTAGGCCTGGCGCAGTGGCTCACGCCTGTAATCCCAGCACTTTGGGAGGCGGAGGTGGGCGGATCACCTGAGGTCGGGAGTTCGAGACCAGACTGACCAACATGGAGAAACCCCATTTCTACTAAAAATACAAAATTAGCCAGGCGTGGTGGCACATGCCTGTAGTCCTAGCTACTTGAGAGGTTGAGGCAGGAGAATCGCTTGAACCAGGGAGGTGGAGGTTGAGGTGAGCTGAGATCACGCCACTGCACTCCAGCCTGGACAACAAGAGTGAAACTCCGTCTCAAAAAAAAAAAAAGATTCCATTTTAACCAACAGAGAGCTGCACCAACATGTTTGATTCTGGGGTTGAAGAGACTGGGGGAGTCAGGGATTAGGTGCACATTCTCACATATATCTTGTAGGAGTATAAATTGGCCCTGCATCTGTAGAGAGTAATTTGGCAATATTGACCAAGATTTAAAATGCACAAGTTGGCCGGGTGCCGTGGTTCAAGCTCATAACAAGTTATTCTCATAACAAGAGTAATATTGTCCAGTTACTCTTGGTTGATATTGCCAAATTGCCAAAGACCAGCCTGGGCAACATAGTAAGACCCCTTCTCTACAAAAAATCAAAAAATTAGCTGGGGATGGTGACACATGCCTGTGGTCCCAGCTACTCAGGAGGCTGAGGTGGGAGGACTGCTTGAGCTCAGGAGGTTGAGGTTGCAGTGAGCTGTGATTACACCACTGCACTCTAGTCTGGGTGACGGAGCAAGACCCTGTCCCCTCAAAAACTTAAACGTTAAAAATGAAATGCATGACTCTTTGACTCAGCAATGTAACTTCTAGATATTTATCCTACAAACATATTTGCATATGTATGAACAGATTTATCATCTACGAAATTCACTGCAACATTGTTTATAATAGGGCAAGATTGGAAACAAGCTGAATGTTCATTATTTGGGGACTGGCTAAATGGATCATCATTCATCTATGTAATGGGTGATATTAGTTTGGACATTTGGCCCTTCCAAATCTCATGTTGAAATATCATCCCCAGTGTGGGAGGTGGGGCCAGGTGGGAGGTGTTTGGGTCATTGGGGCACATCCCTTATGAATGGCTTGGTGCTGTCCTTGCAAGGGTGAGTTCCTGTGAAATCTGGGTGTTTAAAAATGTGGGCACCTCCCCACTCGCTCTCTTGCTCCTGCTGTTGCCACATGACGTGCCTGCTTCTGCTTCACCTTCCGCCATGATTGGAAGCTTCCTGAGCCCCTCACCAGAAACCAAGATGATGTTGGTGCTATGCTTATAAGCCCTGCAAAACTGTGAGCCAGTTAAACCTCTTTTCTTTTTATAAATCATCCAGTCTCGAGTATTTCTTTATGGCAATGCAAGAACAGCCTAATAAAATGGAATATTCTATAGCAATTAAAAATTCCACGTGGAACCATCACCAAGATGTATTGTCATCTTGAGGGCCACTAGTTAACTATAGGTGCTGGCAGGTGGGAGTCTGAAGGCCAAGATGGGGTCTGGACATCTGAACTTAAAACAAGCACCCCCCGGCCCATGCTATTCTTATGCTGGGCACAAAGGGGAAAGCGGCCCACAGCTACTCTGGAGGTGCACTGAGGTTTTTCTGAGCCTTCTGAATAGGGCCTGGGGACTCCCTTTAAGAAATTCCTTCCCCCAGCCGGGTGCGGTGGCTTACACCTGTAATCCCAGCACTTGGGAAGCCAAAGTGGGTGGATTACTTGAGGTCAGGAGTTCGAGACCACCCTGGCCAATAGAGTGAAACCCTGTCTCTACTAAAAATACAAAAATTAGCCAGTTGTGCCTGTAATCCCAGCTACTCAGGAGGCTGAGGCAGGAGAATCGCTTGAACCCGGGAAGTGGAGGTTGCTGTGAGCCAAGATCACACCATCCCAGTCCAGCCTGGGTGTTTCAGCAAGACTCCATCTCAAAAACCAAACAAAAAAGGAATTCCCTCCCCCAGCTCATGTTTCTCTACCGCTCCCATCTCCACTCCCACCAGCTGCGCCTTGAGGACAGGCAGACTTCGCTCTGGCTTCACGTAAAGATCACGGCAAGGTTAATAGAAGCCAGAATTCCCTAAGCGTCTCCCCATGTCCGATGTGGGCACTGTGGTCAGGAGCATCTTGTTTCATTTAGAATCTTTATTTGGATATCATTCACGTCCCACACAGTTCACCCACTTAGAGTGTGCGTTCAATGGCTTTTTCTATATTCACACAGTTGTGCAACCATCACCACAATCAATTTTAGAACATTTCCATCACCCCCAAAAGAAACTCACACCCATTAGCAGTCACTTCCCACTCTCCTCTCCCTTAGTCCCAGGCAATTACCAATGTGATTTCCATCTCTGTGGATTTGCCTATTCTGGGCATTTCATATAAATGGAATCACACAATATGTGGCCTTTTGTGTCTGGTTGCTTTCGCTTAGCACCGTGTTTTCAAGGCTCAGCCACAGTGTAGCATGTAGTGTCAGAATGTCACTCCTTTTTATTGCCAGATAATATTCCATCGTCTGGATATACCACTTTTTTTTTTTTTTTTTTTTGAGACGGAGTCTCACTCTGTCTCCAGGCTGGAGTGCAGTGGGGTGATCTTGGCTCACTGCAGCCTCCAACTCCCTGGTTTAAGCGATTCTCCTGCCTCAGCCTCCCTCTCCTGCCTCAGCCTCAGCAATTCTTCTCCTTCTGAGTAGCTGGGGTTACAGGTGTGCACCACCACATCTGGCTAATTTTTGTATTTTTAGTGGCAACAGAGTTTCACCATGTTGGCCAGGATAGTCTTGATCTCCTGACCTCGTGATCCGCCCACCTCGGCCTCCCAAAGTGCTGGGATTACAGGCGTGAGCTACTACACCCAGGCTGATATACCACATTTTATTTAGCCATCCATTATTTGATGGACATGGGGGTTGTTTCCATTTCTTGGCTATTATGGATAATGCTGCTATAAACATTCAGGCACAGGTTTTTATGTGGTCACGTGTCTTCAGTCCTCTTGGGCTGATACCTAGGAGCGGAATTGCTCAGTCACTTGGTAACTCTATGATTAACCTTGAGAGGAGCGCCAGACTGTTTTCCAAAGCAGCTACATCCTTTTATATTCCCACCAGCAGTGCATGAGGGTTCCAATGTCTCCACATCCTCGCCAGTACTTGTTAGTGTTTGTCTTTTTTATTCCAGCCGTCCTCATGTGTGTGAAGTGGTAACACATTGTGGTTTTGATTTGCACTTCCCCAGGAGCATCCCCATGGTACAGAACAGGGAACTGAGGCTCAGAGAGGTGAAGAGCCCTGCCTGCAGCCATGGGGCAAAGATGGGCAGAAGCAGGATTCTAACCCAGGCACCTTCTTCTTCTTTTGTCTGTCTTCCCAGTGGAACAAGAAAAATCCCTCTAAGGAGGTTGGGGGGACCCCTCTATGGGAGTAAAATGGCCAGGGATGGGACAAAGACCCTTGGGAGGGTTGGATGAGACCCTGTGGAATATCAGAACTTCCTGTGGAAAGCCCTTCACTAGTGCCTGGTGCATAGGAGGTGCTCAGGGCTGGTGAGTATTGTTATCACTCTAGCATGACATAGATCCTCCCACACCCTCCTAGAGGGACCTGGGCCTTCCAGAACCAGCCTTGTATGTGGAGATTTCTGGAAGAGACCATATTCATTGAGTTCAGGCTAGCCAGTGGCCTGAGAGGACCACAGGTCATAAGACCATCTATCCCTGGCATACCTGGATTCTGCTGCAGGAGCAGAGTCCTGACTACTTCATAGCCTGGTTATTATTCATGTCCTCATCCATCCATCATCTATCTATCCATCTATTCTCCAGCCCACCCTTCTCTGAACCTCATTGTCCTCATCTGAAGACAGAGGATGCAAGGCCTGCTTCAGGGCTACTGTGGTGATCAGCACAGGGCCGGGACACGGGGCCCAGGGCCAAGGTCAATCATCATTTCAACAGTTCCCAATCTCCAAGGGGTGCCTGTGGTTTCTGCATGTTGCAGAGCAAGGACCAGATGGCTACTCTGGCTATGAGGGCTTGACCTGAGAGCCCCAGGTGGACACATCCTCAGGCAGATTCTCAGCAGGACCATAGTGGGTGGGACACTCGGCTAGAATAAGCCAAAGGGAGTCAAGAGCCCAGGGTGTAGTATGGGATGGCAGGGACCGGGGAGGTGGTCCAGACCTGGCAGAAACAAGACAAACAGACTTTACGGCTAAGGGAGGTCTGAGTTCAACAACTCTGTGACTTTGGGCAAGCTACTTAACCTCTCTGAGCCTGTTTCCTCAACTGGAATAAGGGGTTGTTGATACTTCATAAGAGAAAATGAGATGCCAAAGTAAAGTGCCTAAGCCTCTGACCTGATAAATCCACTAGGAGAATCTCAGGCTCATGTGCACCAGGAGATCCTGACCAGTGTGCTCACAGCAGTGTTGTTGGTAAGTCATAGTACCCAGTCGGGAACACACTCCAATTCTTGTCAGCAATACAATGGATAAGTAAGTTGATAGATGGTGAGATAGTCATACAGTGAAATATTATACAGCAATAAAGGTGAACAAATTACAGACACATGCAGCAACACAGATGAATCTCACAAATATAAGACATGAGAAATACAGTATGATTCTGTGCATATGCAGGTCAGACAATGGAGGAAACTCACATACATTGTTTAAAATGACATACACAGGGGAGGGCAGGGGAGGGGGAGAACAGTGGGAAAATAGCTCATGCATGCCAAGCTTAATACCTAGGTGATGGGTTGATAGGTGCAGTAAGCCACCATGGCACACATTCACCTATATAACACACCTGCACATCCTGCACATGCACCCCGGAACTTAAAATAAAAAATAAATACAAGGACATACACATAGGTAGTAAGACTACAAAAAGAACATTAAGAATGGGATTATCAGCTGGGCACAGTGGCTCACACCTGTAATCCCAGCACTTTGGGAGGCTGAGGCAGGTGAATCATTTGAGGTCAGGAATTTGAGACCAGCCTGACCAACATGGCGAAACCCCAGTTCTACTAAAAATACAAAAAAACAAAAAAACAAAAAAAACTGCTGGGCACAGTGGCTCACGCCTGTAATCCCAGCACTTTGGGAGGCTGAGGCGGGCAGATCACGACGTCAGGAGATTGAGACCATCCTGGCTAATGTGGCGAAACCCTGGCTCTAATAAAAATACAAAAAAATTAGCCAGGTGTGGTGGCACATGCCTATAGTTCCAGCTACTCGGGAGGCTGAGGCAGGAGAATCACTTGAACCCAGGAGATGGAGGTTGCAGTGAACCGAGACTGCACCACTGCACTCCAGCTTGGGTTGCAGAGCGAAACTCCGTCTCAAAAACAAAAAAAAAAAAGAATGAGATTACCTTAACTGTGGGGACAGTGGCTGCCTCTAAGAGGGAGGAGAAGGGATAGATGGAAATGACACATCAGGCTTGGGGAGGTTCTCTTTTGGGGTGCTATGTTTGGTAGGTAGTGGCTACACAAGTATTTGCTTTACATTATTTACAAAACTGTGTAAACATGTTTTATGCAGTCTTCTCTGTAGGTGATTATCTCAGAAGCAAAGAATAATTTGAGTGCCTGGTAACAGGATTGGAGCTGAACAAAAGCTGGTTGTCTCCCACCCTCTCCCTCTGCCCCCACCGGTCCTGTGCTCTGCACTGCAAAGCCAGGCGCTGCTTGGGGTGCAAAGCAGGAGAGAGATGCTGAGTGAGGCGTGGGTGTGAGCTAGCCACCTGCTCTCCTGCCTCCACCCCACACACCCCCCAGGCACAAATGCCCCAGAAAGACACTGCCCAGAGGTTTTTTTAAAACCGCTTTATTCAGGTTGGCTGGTAGTCACAGACTGGATCATGTATACAGGGCAACCCACCCCTAGGCAAAGCCCTCGGCCTCTCCCACCTCCCCCACGTCATCACTGAGCTGCGGCAGCCAGAGGTGCCAGCCAATTCCGAGGAGAATTGGGTCCAATAGAAATATTTACAAATAACCAGGGGGCAGGTGTGCCCGTGATCGGGAATCGTGAGGGAACTGAGTACCAGGGGGCCCTTGGCTCCCAACAGCCCCAGGCCCTGGGGCGGACTTGGCACAGGACCCAAGAGGGAGCTGGGGCATTGGGGGGCCGGCAGAGGGGGACTCCTGGGAGAGCCTTGAAGGCCCTCAAAGGGGTCCTGCTGGTGCAAAACTCTGCCTGGGGCCATGGGTCCGAGGGAAAGGCCCCTCCCTTCTGACTCGCCGTGTGACAGGGCAGAGAATCCTGGATCCCCTGCATCCCTGGAGGGTCGCACAGGGAGCTGAACAGGAAGGACTCGCCAGGAGGTGGTGGGGCATCTCGCTGTTCCCCTAGGCCTCCATGAGTGACCCTGCAGAGCCACTGCCCCAGAAGGGCCCTCCTGGGTTCCCTGGGTCTTCACCAGGGGAGAGGCCCTAGTTCTGCTCAGAAGATTCAAGTCCATATTCAGGGAGGGGTCACTGTCCACACCCCCAGGTCCAAGTGAGGGATGGTAGGAGGAGGGAGGCGAGGCTGGGGGGCCCCGGCTCAGGACAGGATGGGGGACAAGCAAGCAAAGCAAAACACTGGACTCCACAGAAGCTGGTGACAGGAAGGGGGTGGCCCCGGGCCCCAGCATGGTCCCTGCCCCAGTGTTCAGGGCGGTTGGCCCCTTGGTGCCCAGGGCCACCTTCTCCGAGCCAGGTCACCGCAGGGGTCTGAAAGGGCAGGGGTGGGTGGGGCTTACATGCTGAGCAAGGGGTGGTGGAAAGAGGGCCGACATGGTGGCCACAGGCGGCCTCGGGGATGGGGCGCGGCTGGACGCAGGCAGTCGGTCCCCGGTGGTCCGGCGGCTCCTCATGCACTCTGTACAGCGTGGGGGCGGATGGGCGGGGGCAGGGGCATCAGTCTAGAGGCTGCAGGCCTCCTGGTCCACCGAGCGCTTCCTCAGCTCCTTGCCTGGCTTGGGGGGCGGCGGGGCGGGCGCGGCGGGAGGGGCTTCGGGCAGATGCAGGACGGAGTTCTCCCCTGGCTGCACCCGCAGGTAGGCCTTGACCTTGTGGTGCCGGGCCTTGCCGTCGCTGAAGTCGATGACGCGGCACTCGTAGGTGCCTTCGTCCGTGGGCTTCACCCGGGACAGGCGCAGCTTGTGGGAGATGTTGCTGCCCACCACCTTGACCACCTGGGGGTGACAGAGAGACCGTGACCTGTCCATCCAGTGACAGTGGGGGAGAAGAAGAGTCGGGGGGGGGGGTCCCAAGATCGCATGCTAGGACGGGAGCCCCAGAAACACTCCCACAAGGGCCCACCGAGGTTTGCACAAGAGTGAGTTAAATAGCAAAAAAGTAAAAGCAACTGCCATGTCCACCAACAGACCACATAACTAAGCAGTGGCCGGTTCCCTGCATGAAGCACTGCAGAGTGGTCCGAAAGACGGAGCTAGAACTAGGCACGTGAGCTCAGTGGCAAACAGCAGAGGGAAAGCTCTCACTGCTGCCCACCCCCAGGGGATGCCATTTATGTAAACAAACACAGACACCTACTCTATACTGGTTTTGGGGTCTTCCGGGTGTGGAAGTTTAAAATAGACAGGAGGGAACAACGGGGCCTCCTCACAGCAGTGGTAGACCCTAGGGCAGAACACAGGGGAGGAAGTGGACCTGGTGTAGGCTACAAAGCAAAGTCTTCGTTTAGTCTGAAAGTTTACATTTCCTAAAAAAAAAAAAAAAAAAAAATAGAGGCGCCTGCAGTCCCAGCTACTCAGGAGACTGAGGTGCGAGGACTGTTTGAGCCCAGGAGTTTGAGGCTTGCAGTGAGCCGTGATTGCACCACTGCACTCCAGCCTAGGTGACAGAGTGAGACCGGTCTTTTAAAAACCAAACCAGGCCAAGTGCGGTGGCTCATGCCTGGAATCCCAGCACTTTGGGAGGCCGAGGGAGGCGGATCACTTGAAGTCAGGAGTTTGAGACCTGGGCATGTTGCCTGGGCAACATGGGGAAACCCCATCTCTACTAAAAATACAAAAACTAGCCGGGGGTGTGGTGGTGCATGCCGGTAATCCCAGCTACTCGTGAGACTGAGGCACGAAAATCACTTGAACAACCCAGGAGGCGGAGGTTGCAGTGAGCTGAGATCGCACCACTGCACTCCAGCCTGGGCGACAGCGCGAGACTCCGTCTCAAAAAAATAAATAAATAAAATAAAATAACATAATAAAAAACAAAACAAAACAATATAAAGGCTGACGACAAATATATCAGGATGCTAATAACTATTCACTCCACTTGGGGGGAGCAAGGATGTTTGTTATATTCGTCTTTGTACTTTGACTTTTTGTTTTATTTGGTTGGGTTTTTACATTTCTATTTTAAAATGGGAGTATTACTTATGTAGAGTAAAGTGCACACAGCCTGAGGAAATGTTTCCTGTGTGTACACCTGTGTAACCACCATCCAGAGCAAAGCATGGAACACTCGTGACCCCCTAGAGCACACCCTTCACTGAGCAATACTCCCCCTCTGGGGTCCCCCGCTTTCTGACTGACTTCTATCACCATAGATTCGTTTTTTTCTGTTTTGGAACTCTTGTATGGGTGGCTTCTTTCCTGTGCCTGGCTTTTTCGACACAACCTGTTATCGGTGAGATTTCTCCATGTTGCTGCCTGCATCTATTTGTTTGTTTGTTTGAGACAGAGTCTCTGTTACCCAGGCTGGAGTGCAGTGGCACGATCTTAGCTCACTGCAACCTCCACCTCCTGGGTTCAAGCAGTTCTCATGCCTCAGCCTCCCCAGTAGCTGGGATTACAGGCACCCGCCACCATGCTCAGCTAATTTTTGTATTTTTAGTTGAAATGGGGTTTCACCATGTTGGCCAGGCTGGTCCCGAACTCCTGGCCTCAAGTGATCAACCCACCTCAGCCTCCCGAAGTGCCAGGATTATAGGTGTAAGCCACCATGCCCAGCCATCCATTTGTTCTTTTTCATTGCTGTATAGTATTCCATCACATGCATACTGCACGATTTGTTTATGTGATCACCGTCGATGGACATTTATGTGATTTCCAGATTAAAGCTCTTATGAATAAATCTGCCCTGAATATAAAGTTGCTGTGGGTGTTTTTTCAATTAAAAAAGAAAAAGCAGATGGACAGTTACATAAGATACACCACTGGGGAAGCTGGCTGATGGGTACAGGAGACTTAATGACCTATTTTTGAAACTTTTCCTGAGACTATAACTCAAAATAAAAGATTAAAAAAAAAAAAAAAGGAGTTGGGCCTATGGAGAGGGGTGGTGGTGGTGGGAGGGGGCTTCTTTCCTTTCCTGGCCCCTTCTTCTTAGAAAAAAAAAAAAACCTTCCTGCAGCCCCTGTCCTGCCTGGACAGAACAGTGGAGATCAGTTCTCAGCTGCCAGCCACTGACCCCCTTCCCAGACAGCTTTGTAGGCTCAGGTGAGTGGGCCTCAGACCTGTGGACTACTGGTCTGTCTCTTCTGGAGGGACAACGAGCTGGCCTGTTCCTGCCAAGCCCCAGCTCCTAGAGAAGGAAGCCCAACTTCTGGCTCCAGGTGGGATGCCCCTGCTGGTCACCCCTGCAGTGAGGGGGCCAGGATGAGAAAGTGCGCCCTCTGCATGCAGCCTGCAGATGTTTCTGAGCCTGTGCTGGGCACTCACACGTGTGACTTCTAATCGTCTTACCAATCTGCCCTGGGGAGGGCTCTTTCGTCAACACCCCAATGGGAAACTCTTGCTGACCTCACGGCCTTTGCGCGTGCTGGGCCCTCTGCCTGGGTGGGGTTCCCTGTTCATCTTCACCTGCCTGGTTCCCATTCATCCTAAATGTCACCTCCTCCAAGAAATTGACCCCCTGTCCCCACTCCCTCCTATTTCCTGCATAGCAGTCTTCTCATTTTGAACCGTGTATTTGTCTGTTGACTTGATTTTGGGTTCTCTCCCTGGCTAAACCGTACCCTCCATGAGAGCAGGGACAATATTTATTTTGTCCATGTGAGTGGTTATCACAGAGCCCAGCACTCCGTAAATAATCATCAACATTTGTTGAATGCAGGGACCCACCCCATGACCTTCTTTCTCCAACTGAAGTCATACTCAGATGTCTTGCTTTCTAATTGTAAGTCACATGCGCATGATGATATGGTTTGGCTCTGTGTCCCCACCCAAATCTCATCTCAAAGTGTAATCCCCACATGTTGAGGGCGGGGCCTGGTGGGAGGTGAGTGGATCATGGGGACAGTTTTCTCCATGCTGTTCTCGTGATAGTGAGTGAGTTCTCACAAGATGTGATGGTTTAAAAGTAGCAGTTTCCCCTTCGTTCACTCTTCTCCTGCCAACACGTAAGACATGCCTTGCTTCCCTTTAGCCTTACACCATAATTCTAAGTTTTCTGAGGCCTCCCCAGCCATGCAGAACGTTGAGCCAATTTAACCTCTTTTCTTTGTGAATTACCTAGTCTCTGGTAGTTCTTTATAGCAGGGTGAATACACATAACGATATCCACTTTGCAGATGGTGAAACTGAAGCTCCAAAAGAAGTGACTTGCCCAGAGGCATGGAGTCAGTGAGTGGCGGAACTGGGAACAGGCTCCATGCGCTCTCACCCTTCCAGTGGTGTGACAGGCTCACCGAGGGCCACCAGTGCTGGCAGGGCCACAGGGAAGGGAAGAAGAGAGTGTCCAGCAGCAGGGAGCCTGATCTTCCTCCCTCATGCTGAGCCTTCCCTGCTGCCCATCGTCCCCTACGTGGAGGGAAAGCCTTCAGCAGAGGCACGGAGGTGGGACCCAGGCAGGACTTCCCCATGGCAAGCAGTGGGAAACCCTCCCAGCTGCCCCTCTGGCTGTGGGGGTGCCCCCTCCCTAGTGCCAGGCCCTGCTGGAGCCCACCCTGTCCCTCTGACTCCATCACCTCCACCCTGTGGTCCTGTGTGCTCTCTCTGGCGAGTTAGGAGATGCTGTTGCAAATGCGCAGCGGGAGCGAATTACCTCAACATCTGCTTCCCTCACGGATATTAATTATCCTTCATTTGTCAACCCTACAAGGCGCTAATGGAGTAATAATCCAAAGTGCTGGGAGCACTCGCTCCTAGGGAGGGAGCACCAAGCGAGGCCCAGCCCTCGGCCCACCCACTCCCATCCCCTAGATGGGGCCACGAAGGCCTGGACGGCTCCCCAGGCAGCCAGCTCCCTCCTCCCTGTCACCCCCTCTGCCAAGAGACAGATGTGGCCTTCAGGAACACGAGCTCTTCCTCTCTCAGAGAGGAGGAGGGCAGGGAGCACCGCAGGGAGGGATGGGAGGCCAGGCGCTGACCGTGACAAGTCACCAGCACTCTGGCCTCGGTTTTCTTGGGCTAAATTTGTCCGTTCATTCAACAAGCACTTAGCGAGTGCCTACCACAATGGGCCAGCCAGATCCTGGTAATGCTGGCACGAGCTGACAGTCTAACGGAGAACCTAGACCCCTAACCCATAATCAAGCAACTCAGCGAGTGAACTTCCAACAGGATGAAGGGCAAGGACACATGTCAGACACGACTCCCTCCCAGTCCCTGTGGTCCATGCCTCTAAGCACAATCTGGAGAAGGCAAATACGATATTTTTAATAAAAATAATAACAGCAACAGTAGTGCCAGTGGCTAATGTTTATGAAGTGCCTGATCACTGTGAGATGATGTGATAAGTTTCATCAATCTTTCTTTCTTTCTTTCGTTCTTTCTTTCTTTTTCTTTTTTTTGAGACAGGGTCTCGTTCTGTCACCTTAGGCTGGAGTGCCCTGGCGTGATCATGGCTCACTGCAGCCTCAGCCTCCTGGGCTCAAGCAATCCTCCCGCTTCAGCACCCCCTCCGACCTCCTGAGTAGCTGTGGCCACAGGTGCGCACCACCACTCCTGGCCAATTTTTGTATCTTTCTGTGGAGATGGGGTCTTACTATGTTGCCAAAGCTGGTCTTGAACTCCTGGGCTCAAGCAATCCTCCTGCCTCGGCCTCCCAAAGTGCTGGGATTCTAAGCGTGAGCCACCGCGCCCAGCCAAGCTTCATCACTCTTATTTAAACCTCACAATAACCCTATGATGCAGGTGAAGAAACTGAGACTCAGAGAGGTGAAGCGATTTTCTCAAGGTCACCCAGCTGGTGACAGAGGCCACACCTTACCCACCCCTCTGGGAGCCTTCTGAACAATAAACTACAGATCGGTCTTCTCATGTCTTTCCGAGGCCCCCAATCCTCCATGTCTTGGGAAAACCCAGCCCCAAACCTCATCAGAGGCCTCTCCCACGGGAGGGGGCCCAATATCCCACTCCAGGAGCAGCCCGTTGGATTTCATCCACCACACATTATGCAGAAAGCCCTTCAGCCCAGCCCTCCAGGGCGACTGGAGAGCCCACGAAGAAAGGGACCCCCGCATGGCGACCCAGCTGTAAATCATAATCACCTCCGCACAGGCATCGACAGGCCTTAGCAGTGCAATTAAGCACCTAGTTACGCTGAAAGAGACAAGGCCGAACCCTGGCCAGGGCCAAGTTCAGCCTCCTCCCTGCTTGCCCCACAGCTCAGGCTTTTCCGGGCACTGCAGGGATACTCCGAGGCCAGCTCACATTGGGCAGGCTGGGATCGTCTTCCAGCCACGCCAGAAGAATGGATTTGTACTCGTGATGCCAACCCTTGCCTTCACGTGGCCTCCTGGCAGAGGTGGAGGCCCCAGGGAAGGTGCTGGGGTGAGGAATAGGGGTCAGATGCCTCCTGCCCCAGGCTGGGCCCTGCAATCAGCCTCTATCAGCTCCACCCAGCACTTCGCTGGCCCCTCAGCATGTTCAGAACCCAACTCAGGTTCTCCCCAGACCTGGGCCCCAGAAGGCCTTACTGCTGTAGCCAAACTCTGCAATCACCATTTCTGTTTTCTTTCTGCACTCTGCACACTCCACCCCTGAACCCACTGACCTCCTCTAAACACCACTGGACCCCTTCCCCTTCTCTCCAGAATCCACATCCCTCAGCACTGGCAAAAGCAAGGTCCAGGGCTTCTCCCACCCAGGCCATCACCCCAGCCTCCTCCCAGATCTACACAACCTTCCAGCCTCTTCTTCCACAACAGCCAGACCAATTTTTTCAAAATGTCCCTAACTTAAACTCTTTGATGGTCCCCACGGTGGCTGACAAGGCCCTTTGAGGTCTCATCCCGGCCTGCCCCTCAGCCTCATCGGCCACTAGCAATTCCTCCAGTGCACACACCCAGCCAAGTTCCCCACCCTTTGTCAAATCCTCCACACCTCAGTGCTCACTTCAAATAGCACCTCCTCCAGGAAGCCCTCCTGGCCCCCCAGGCTAGATCAGATACCCCATTATGGCAGCTCTCCTCATTTTGGTCACAGTTGTAATTGTATTTTTTATCATGCATGATTATTGGATTAACACCCGTCTCTCACAGTGGACTGAGAGCACCCAGAGGGCAGGAGTGTGTATGTGTGAGACCATGGTCTTTCCAGAGTCATCTTGGTTTAACTCAGCTTCCAACCACGAGCGATTTACAGTGATGAAGTCCCCCAGGAAGGAGGGTATTTGTGGAGAATTTCACCTTGTCTTAAAATTAGGAAGTTGTGGACTATCTTGGTTTGCAAAACTGGTTAAGGGGAAAATTAACCTCAATTTTAGCACAAATGACTTTAGTTAGATCGAAAGAAAAACTTCCAGAACTTGAAAATGGCCAATAAGCAGAAATGTTTGCCTGAGCCATGGAAATGATTCCACCTAATGGTGGAATCCTTAGCAGATGCAAGCTACCAAGGGAGATATTTTTAGGCCAGGGTCCTTCCCTGGGCCCAAGTTAAACGAGATAATTCATATAAAGTGCTCGTCATGGCTCCTAACATATGGTAAGCACTCAATAAATGTTAGCTGCTATATTATTATTATCATTATTATTTTATTACAGATGCCTGTCCTCCCACGTAAATGATCTCCTTATGAGAGCAGTGGTGCGATCTCGGCTCACTGCAGCCTCTGCCTCCTGGGTTCAAGCGATTTTCCCATCTCAGCCTCCCAAGTATCTGGGACTGCAGGCGTGCACCACCACACCTGGCTAATTTTTGTATTTTTAGTAGAGACGGGGTGTCACTGTGTTGGCCAGGCTTGTCACGAACTCCTGACCTCGGATGATCCGCCCACCTTGGCTTCCCAAAGCGCTGGGATTACAGGTGTGCACTGCGCCCAGCATCTGATTTTTTTTTTTTATTCCCTTGCCCACATCCTGCTCGCTTGCTAGGAATAGGAGTTTTACGAGTCACAAATTCACGTTAACAAGTTTCCACCCTAGGAACCACTGTCACTCACATAGCCTAATCCATGGCACTTTACAGTTTCCAAAGCGTTTTCATATATGCCTTCAACAACAGCTAACTGAGGAAAAGGGAGAGTCGAGGAGGTGGCAGAGCTGGAACCAGGACTCAGCTCCTGGGACACTAAATGCTGGCCCCACTGTGTCCTCACGGTCCCCGCCTGGCAGTCAGCACAGCCGACTCTTAGAGTCTGAATCTTCACAAGGCTAACATGGCCACCCAGGCAGGTTCACGAAGCCCTCCCCGCACCAAGCCCCTGGAAGCTGACAGCACTTTCTTACCCTCAACCTTGGACCATTATTATTTGATCACATATGCCTGTCCTCTGACGTAAATGATCTCCCTATGAGATTCTGGGATTCCACCAGCCTGTAGACTGCACTATTTGGCTTAGACAGTGTTTTTCAAAAGATCTAATTAGGTCCCAACAGTTAAGACTCAGGAGACATTCCACTAAAATCGGGATTTTTAGAAGTCATGGGAATATGGGGCCTAGGTCCCTGCCTGGCTCAGCTGTTCCCTGTAGACACAGGGTCTGGGTTTCCCGGGCCCCCGCAGGAGCTCTTTCACTCGTTCACGTCATGTCACCGGTACGCATATGTGAACAGACATGGGATCCACACCAACCAGGCGCGGTGCCTCATGCCTGTAATCCCAACACTTTGGGATGCTGAGGCAGGAGGATCACCTGAGGTCAGTAGTTCGAGACCAGCCTGGTCAACATGGTGAAACCCTGTCTCTACTAAAAATACAAAAAAAAAAAAAAAATTAGCTAGGTATGGTGGCCTGTTCCTATATTCCCAGCTACTGGGGAAGCTGAAGCAGGAGAATTTCTCGAACTCAGGAGGCGGAGGTTGCAATGAGCCAAGATCTCGCCACTGCACTCCAGCCTGGGTGACAACAGTGAAACTCCATCTCAAAAAAAAAAAAAAAAATCTGTGTATGGGTTCACACACACATTGGCCTGGGCGTATGTCTGTGTGTGTGATAATTATTCAACAAATATTTATTGGGTACCTACTACACCATGCCAGGCTCTGTGCTAGACTCTGGAAATGCAACAGTGAGTCAGGCAGGCTCAGTCCCAGCACCCCTCATCTCTAGGGGAGACAGTCATGAAGCAAAAACTCACACAAGCGGATAACGACAACCAGAAATACAGCCAGCAGGGAAATGGGAGGGGCGCCAGCTGGGTCACAAGTTCAAGGGACGCTTCCCCAAGCTGAGCTCCGTGGGAAGAGAGAGAGGAACAGCTTTGCAGGCAGGCGGACCAGCCTGTGCAAAGGCCTGGAGGTGGGAAGGAATGGGAAGGTGGAAAGGCTGCCAGGGTCGGGAGGGGAAGGGGGGTGAGGTCAGGCAAGAGGTGAGGCTGGAGGGTGGGCAGAGCAATTGTGCAGAGTTCTGAAGGCCATGGAGAAAAGTTTGGGCCACCTCCTCAGACTGCAGGAATCCAGGGAGTACCTGTGTATTAGGAATGGTTTTTCTTGTGGCGCTGTCTGCACGAGGAGCTTGGCCCATGCCTGTCTGTGCATTTCCTAACCAGACCCTCGGAGCCCCAGCTGCTGCAGGAATTGCAGGGGCTGGGGGTGGGGGGCTGGGGGTAATTGCACATTCATGCTGAGCACATTTATTTTATTTAACTAATTAGCATTGTCGCATTTCCCTCATGTGGGACCCAGCAGCCTGGAATTCTAATCCTCTAAATCAATTAGATTATTCTCTCCTTTGCCAGAGCCGCTCCTTAAACCCCAGGCAAAATTATAGGAGAAAGGGTTGTGATGAACGGGGTATTAATATGCACACAGATCTACCTGCCTGGGCTTAACGGATGGGTATTTGGGCCAGAAACGGGGTGTTCGATATGGATGCGCCCTTGGCAGAGGGTCGGGGGTGGACCCACAGCCACCCTGAGCTGGATAAAAATGGCTTGAATTTTCAGACCCCAACTGTGCCCTGGGCCAGACAGCACAAATGATGCTTTGAAGATCCTTGCTCTCTTGCCCACCCCCTCCCGCCTGAAGGGGCTGCAGAAGCCTCCTCCCTGGCCTCTCTGCCTCCATGATGCCACCTCTGATGCCCGACATGGCACCCCAATGACTCCCTGTGCCCATTCTCCACATGGTGACCTCGGTTTGGGGGTGCAGCTCCTCTGCTCATCCCTGTCAAATTGGCCTTGGGGTCCTGAGCTCCCCTACAAGTCCTTGAAAAGTTGTGGAAGAATCAAGCAAAAAAGGGTGAATTTAGAAAGGTTTCCCCGCCATGCGCATGCGAGGACACACAAACACACAAGCATGCACGCACACACGCACATTCATACCCCCACGGGCACCTGCCTTTTCTGAGTGTGTTGCTGGTAGATGTCTAGCCTCCTGCCAGGCTTGCCTCACGCCCCTGCCAAGCTGACCTCACGCCCCATGCACAAACCTTGCCTCGTTGCATGGCCACATGTGTCCCTGGGCAGGTCCCCTCCACTCCATGTTCTCTCCCCAGTTCACCTCCTGTCTCCTGTCTGCCTCTCCCAGGACTGGCTTTGGGTGCCCCCTCCTTCACAAAAGCCGTCACTCCCTGAACTCCCCTGGGCCCCAGCTGCACTGGCCTGCAGCACAGCCTGGTGACAAAGAGCTTCAGCCCTGAAGCCAGGTAGCTCAGCAACACCAGTCACCCTTGGCGTGACCTCTGGCAAGTCCCTGACCTCCTGAGCCTCAGCTGCCCCACCTGCAAAATGGGTGAATGCTTGGCCCTTCTTACAGAGTGTGGCTATTGACAAATGAGTCAATAAATAAGAAGGCCTGGCCAGTCCTGAAATCCTTTGGCTAGGGTGCCCCCACCCCGTCCCCGGGGCCAGATCACCAAGTGACCCTGAGATGGCGTAACACTCAGTCAGTCATGATAGGCCAAAAAAAGCTGGCTCAGGCTCATCAGACCTCATTGGTTCCCCAAATAAAAAATGCTGCTGAGACAAGCACGAAGGCACCAGGATGCACACAGCCTTGGCCCTGACAGGAGAAAATGCATCTTCTCTCCCCTGTCATTTTTTGTGCCCATCATTGAATGAACTTGAAAAATCTCCGGCTTTTAAAAAACAGAGCAAGGCCATTTTTTTCCCTTCTCTTTTTCTTCTCTTCCATCTTCTTGCCCAAGCTCCCTGCTGAACTGGACCCCAATTTTTTTTTAAGTCACAGCTGTGCCCTCCATTAGAGCCCTTTCGAGAAGTCATTATCAAAACTCACACTTATTTTGGTTGCCTCCTTCCCTGCGTCTTCCTGCTGAGATGCTTTTAGCTGTTGGGATCGGGGAGGGGCGGAGAGAGCAGAGACAAGGTGTTAGCACAGGGTGGGGGTGGGGTGGCAGTGTGGGGAGACACATTATAGGGATACGGACAACCGCTAAGATTCTCACGACAGCAGATGAGGCTCGGGGGCCATGGAGTCTGGAGTTGGGGTCCCTTTCTGTATCCACTCAGGGGAGGAGGTGAGGTCAGAGCAAAAGAAGATAATGGAGGTATGTAGAAAACTGACCACATTTGTGCATTTAGATACACAAGGGTGCTTTGGTATATATTGGAGGGAGTGTGAACAGGCAGAAATCTAAGCATTGGCTTGGTATGTTGCTAGGAGCATGTTTGTACCCTTGAGTCACTCTGAGAGTGTGTTTGTACCTTCAGGTGTGTCACCCATGTGAACGTCTGTGCAGACGCTGTGGGAACCCTGCCCACATTCCCCACCTTTGCAAACTGACCCTGGAAGCTTCCAACCGCAGATACCTGCAACGATTTGCCTAAGGGCTTTCTCTGGCCACTGAAGTCCTCTAAGCCTGCATGTGGCAGGGCTGGAAGTGTCAGGGAGCTGACACCCCCAGGAGCAAGACAAAGTTTGATATGCCCTTGGGCACATGTGAGACACTCTTTCATGAACATGGGGAGTGTATGAGTGTGCCAATGCGTGTTTGTGAATGTGTGCAGATATATGTGTTCATATACGAATGGGTGGGCAGATCTCTATGTTTGCGTGTTCATTAGTGTATACATATGTGTAAGGATGCAAATGATTCAGATGGAGTTCCTCCAAGAGCTGACCTTGAGACAAAGGTCAAGTAGTTTATTTGGGAGGTGATCCCAGGAAACACAAGTAGGGGAGAAGGTGAGTGAAACGAAAAAGGGAAGAAAGTTAATAATGGGGGGTATGTTGTTGGTTAGTTACCACAGTAGGCAATTGGAGCTTCGTCCCACTGGGCACTTGGTGAAACAGTGAAGAATATGCTTCGGTTGTCCCAGCTAAGGGCGAGGGAGCTGAGGCATTCATCCTCCAACTTTGCGGGTCATTGGTGGGGGCTGCTCCTGCCTATTGAGTCCCCTGCTCCTCCTGCTTGCCTTGATGGCCAGCAGGCTCTTGTGTCCAGAGAAAACCCTCAAGCAGAGCCAGAGGAGCTGGCAGTTGGCTGGTCCCAGAGCACGCTGCACACCAGGCATGGGGCAGAGCCCCCACAGCATCTGCTCTACAGGTGTGTACATACGAGCATGCACGTGTAGAGGGGTGAGCACATGTGCAGCCAAGGGTGTGCTGGGAGCCTGGTGCACGTATGCGTGTGTGCCTGTGAGTGAACTCAGCATTTGCAGAGCTCTTTATAAAAAGGCTGCCCGTGTGGCCCGGAGAAGTGGTGGGAAGTGAGTCACAAGACCCACCTTGCTCCATAACCTGAAGCCAGCTTGTCCCTCTGGCCTCAGTTTCCTCACCTGTACCCCGAAGGGAGGCCCTCTGTGCCCTGGAAGGCCCTCCTTGCTGTGGCCATTTCACGTGCTCAGCCTAGCTCTGCCTCCTGCCCGTTCCCCCAAATAAGCCTCCATGATCACCTAAAACCCCCACCCCAGGAGGAAGAAGGGAGGGAGACAGCTGTGTGGTGTGGAGAACAGCGTTGGAGCCCATATCCCTCAGAGGAGAAGAGGGGCAGAGAAATACCCCTACCCCAGGGACCAGGACTTCCCCAGCCCAGCTTGGGCATCTCCCCAGGGGCATTACCTGGTTCGAGGCCCACGCCTGCTTGTCGGTCCAGTCCCGGTGGCTCCGTACATACCACCACTGGATCTCCAGCGAGTAGGAGGGGGAGCCGCTGCCGCGGAAGGAGCAGGCCATCTCCACGTCCTCGCCCGTCCGTGCTGTCATGTCATGGGGTGTCTCTGTGAACAGGGCTGTGCAAGAAACAGGGGGAAGAATGGCGGGGCTCAGGAAACCACGGGGCTAGTGGGTGAAGGAGGTGGAGAACGTAGGAACAGCTGGCCCTGCACGGCGGGGGATGGGTGGAGGGGGTGGGGTGACCTGCAAGCCCGCTGGTGGGAGTGGTCTGGCTTCAGCTGGGCACCCAAGAAGCTCAGCAAGGCAGGCCAAGGGTGTGTGCAGCAGCCAACATGAGATGGCGATGAGGGAGTAGGTGTCGGCCCTGGAGCCACACCAGCAGCCGGGCGCTGTGGGAGAACATGCCAGGGATCAGAGAAGGCCTGGGCTGGATGTGGACAGCAAGAAGGCCAGGGAGGAGCTGCCGCTTCCATCAGCTCTTCCAGGTTCTTCCAGTAACCCAGCTCAGTTCCCCTCCTGAGTTACTCCAGCATCCATGTACAGCGGCCAGCGCCATCTTTGCAAAACCAAATCAGATGTGGCCTCTCCCCTGCTTAGAACCCTCCCCTGGGACCCCAGGTATGGGGATCAGCACCCATTCCCCTGGCTTCCTCCCTGTCCTGTGGACACGCCTCCCTTTCTGGCCTCACTCTTGCTCTGGCTGTTCTCCTTCTGGAATGCCCTTCCCTCCACCCCTCTTTGCCCGGCTGGCTCCTTCAGATCTGGCAAAGATCAGCTCAAATGTCACCCCCCGAAAGGTCCTCCTTGAGGATCCCGAGAAGGTCCCCCACCTCCTGCCCTGCCCTGTTGCCTGCGGCAGCTCCAGGAGGACAGGGACACAGAGCTCCTGCCGCTGGCAGTTGCGGGCGCAGAGCAGCTGCTCGGCGGATGGAATGGGTACGGAATTCTCCACCATCTCAGGGCACCCAGGGTGAGGTGGGAGCCACTCCTGCCTCCTGCCCCATGCAGAGCCCAGCTCTCCACCACAGCCCAGGGCATACGGTTCCCCTGGCCCAGCAGGAGCCCTGCCCCATCCGTCATCCTCCATCCCACCAGGTAAATGAGAAAACATCCCCACTTCATGTGGCCCAGCGCCCCTCCCCACCATATGTTCTGTCTCCCGTCTCCCCAAACAAATATTGTCCTGAGATGTAATTAGAATTCTTTCCTCTTCTCAGGAGAGATTATCGCCCTGGAAAGACGCCTGGCAACGTGCAGGTCACCCAGGAACATTGTGGCTGTCAATCCCCTGGCCCCCACCCTGTCCCTCCTGGCTGCTGCAACCTAACAGGGTCCCCTGGCCCAGAGGGGCAGATTCCCAGCCCCGGGAGTCCTCACCACCCCAGCTCAGCTTAGGGAAGGAGGAAGAGGGAGTCCTGGGCTAGGAGGTGAAATCCTAGATTCAGGCCCCTGCTCTGGGGCCACCTCTCTCATCCCCCTGTCCCCAGGATACCGAAGGTGATGCGAATTGACAAACGACTCCATCTGGAAACTTCTGCCGTTTCTCCTCTGCTCATGGGGTTTCCATGTGCAGCCCTACTTGAACAGTGGGTTTCTGGGCTGAGAGCAAGTTTGAGATGTCCCTAATCCTCAAGGTCAAGGGTTTAGAAAGCAGCTCATGGAGGCTCCCCGCTTGCTGAGGCTTGGAAGTCCCAGCCGCTGTTCTGTAAACAAGGCCTGGTTAGTTAATAGGAATAAATGTCTGAGTTCCTGAACATTTGCGAGGGATGGTGTGGGGCGCCATCACACATAGCCCACTTCAAAGCTGTGACCCTTCTTATCCCCACTAAGTAAGAGGCAATGCAGGCACCTGGAAGGAAGATCCCTCCCCCACATCACCGTGAGGGCCACCCCCTCCTTCCAGGGGATCAACCCAGAAACTAGTCACCCTGGGCTCCCTCCCTCCACTCTCCCTTCCCACATTCAGTCTTCAAGGAACCCTGTGGGTCCTGCCTCCCGACACCTCCAGAATCTGGCCCCTTCTCCCCACCTCCACTGCCTTCCTGGGGCCAAGCTGCCATCCTCTCTCACCTGCAACAGTGGGGAACCCTCACTGGCCTCCCGCTTCCACTCTTCCTCCCCAACAAGCTATTTTCACACAGCAGCCAGACGTACCTTGACAAAACATAAATCATCCCTGTCCCTGCTCTACTCACCACTCTCCCAGGGCGTTCTCCTACCCACAGTAACAGCCACAGTCCTCACTGCCTCTGCTTCCCAAAGTGCTGGGATTATAGGTATGAGCCACCATGCCCAGCTAAAAGGATTGCTCGTGCCCAGGAGGTCAAGGCTGCAGCAAGCCTTGAACGCACCACTGCACTCCAGATGGCTGACAGGGCCTTCCATGGGAGGCCATTCCCTCCAGTGTTGGCCTCTGCCTGACTCCCTGCTCCTACTCCTGCCACAGTGGCCTCCTTTCAGCTCCTTCCCCAGGCATCCCAGTTGAGATTCCACCTCAAGACCTTTGCACCTGCTGATTCCTCTGCCTGGAACACCCTTTCCTCAGACTCCCCTGGAACTGCCTTCCCTCACATGGCTCCCTCCCTCTCCTGCCACAGGACCCTGCTCAAAGTCCGCTTCCTTAGGGAGGCCTGCCCTGACCACCTCATTTAAACCCGGCACTTCAAACCACCCTTCCCTCCAACGCCATCATCAGCACTGGCCAACAGGACTTTCTGCCATGAGGAGGGTGTCCTGTAACTGAGCTAGTACAGTAGCTAGCAGTCACCTGTGTCTGCTGAGCACTTGAAATGTGACTGAGGACCTGAATTTTAAATTTTATTTAATTTTAATTCATGTAAACATAAATGTTAATAGCCACTTGCAGGTAATGGCTATTGTATTGGACAGCACAGCTAATATGCCTATTTTATGTATGTTTATTGTCAGCCTTCCCTCCCAGCTCCTGCAGCAGTACCTGGCACATAGCAGGTGCTCAATAAATACATTTTATTTTTGAGACAGGGTCTCGCTCTGTTGTCTAGGCTGGAGTGCAGTGGTGCATTCAAGGCTTGCGGCAGCCTTGACCTCCGGGGCACAAGCAATCCTCTCACCTCAGCCCCCCGAGTAGCTGGAACTACAGGCACGAGCCACCATGCCCAACTAGTTTTTCAAATTTTTTGTAGAGACACGGTCTTGCTTTTTGCCCAGGCTGGACTTGAACTCCTGGGCTTAAGCAATCTCCCCGCCTTGGCCTCCCAAAGTGCTGAGATTACAGGTAAGGTATAAGCCACCACGCCCAGCCAATAAGTGCTTTTTGAATGATGAATAAACACCTTGGCTGGGCAGTGGTGGAGCAGGGTCCAGAGCTAGGGGGACCCTGCCTGAGAGTCCTGGGCAGGTCTCGCCCTTGGAGTCTTCCCTGACACCCACTTGCCACCTTGAGCGGAACACAAGGAGATAGTGAGGAGCCTGCACGGGAAGAGCCGAAGAGGTGATTCTAGTGGGTTGCTTGTCCCTCCCCCAGGATGGCGGATTCTGCCTTGATTCACATCCCTCCTGCCCAGCAGCAGGGCACCAGGGCACCAGGGGCATTTGCAAACATGAGGAGAGGGGTGAGGACCCTGGTTGGATCTGGTATGACCACCAGTGTGACCCTGGCTGGTCAAAAGACAGTGGAGGGACACGGCTGTGGCCTCTCCAGGTGCCATTGCCTGAGCCACGGAAATCAGAGAGTGCCTCCACTTCCCCTCTTCCAGTGGGGAAATGGCTGCAGAACTATCAGGGAACTTGCTCAATGCAGAACACAGAGCAAGAAAGGCTGAAGCCAGCCCTCGGACCCAGCCAGTGTGACTCAGCCACTGCATGCCTCCTTCTCCCAGACACGGGTGAGGTGGGAACCATGTGTGGTGGGCGGGGGCACGGGAGACAATGTGTGTGCGTCTCATGAGTGGGAGGAGAACAGAGAGGGCCGCCCTTGGGTGGAGGCTCCGCTGGGGTCTCCTCGGAAAGGGCCAGGCCTCCAATTCATCCCCACTCAGTCTCCTCCTGCCCACGGCCCCCCCGCCCCTGCCAACCGACAGAAAACCCTGACTCTGGCCCACCAGCTCTTCCTACTCATGCAGAAGGCAAGGCTCAGAGAGGGCAGGGGCTAGTATAGGGTAACTCAGCAGCCCGGGTTCAGCCAGGAGAGACCCTCTTATCCCCAGACACCTTCTGGGCCCTGGCATGGCATGGCAGCCTGGGGTGGGCAGGAGCACAGGGGAGGACCCCGCCACACGGCCACTTCTCCACCGGGACACCAGAAGTGGCCATCTAGGGCCTCGCTGTCCAACAGAAACAGAATGCAAGCCACACTGCAAGGCGCGCATGGAATATTCCATCTCCTGGGAGCCACATGAAAGGAAAGTAAAAAAAAACACGTGAAATTAATTAATTTTAATAATGTATTTTATTTAAGCCAAGATATCAAAAAATTATTTGAACATGTAATGAAAATTATTAATGAGGCCGGGCACGGTGGCTCATGCCTGTAATCCCAGCATTTTGGGGGACCGAGGCAGGCAGATCACCTAAGGTCAGGAGTTCAAGACCAGCCTGGCCAACATGGCAAAACCTCATCTCTACTAAAAATACAAAAATTAGCTGGGTGTGGTGGCATGTGCCTGTAGTCCCAGCTACTTGGGAGGCTAAGGCAGGAGAGCCACTTGAACCCGGGAGGAGGAGGCGCAGTGAGCCGAGATTGTGTCACTGCACTCCAGCCTGGGCAACAGCAAGACTCCGTCTTGGAAAAAAGAAATTACTAATGAGACATGTTCCACTCTTTTTTGTGTTAAGTCATGGAAAACTGGAGTGCATTTTACATGTTCATGGCACCTTTCAGTCCTGCCATTCCCAGGGCTCAGTGGCCACATGTGTTTGACATCTTAGCAGGTGGTGAGTGAGCTCTGCCAGCTTCAGGTCCCCCCATCACATGTCCGCATGGCTCAGACCAGGCAGCCAAGGCCCAGTGCCAGGGAGTAACCCTTCCACGGCCACATAGTAGAGTCTGGATTTGAAACCAGCCCTCTGTGACGCCCAAGTCCATGCTCTTCCCAGAGTGTCCAAATGCCTTGTGCTGGTAGAGCTATAGGTTAGTGCAAAAGTAATTGCAGGTTTGCCATGAAAAGTAATGGTCAAAACCGCAATTACTTTTGCGCCAACCTAAATATTTCTCTTTTTTCTTTCTTTTTTTAGATGGAGTCTTGCTCTTTCGCCAGGCTAGAGTGCTGGCATGATCTCGGCTCACTGCAACCTCTGCCTCCCGGGTTCAAGCCTCAGCCTCCCAAGTAGCTGGGATTACAGTGCTGGGATTACAGGTGTGAGCCACCGCGCCTGGCCCTAAATATTTCTTAAAAAGGCTCAGTCCCGCGGCAGGGCACAGTGACAGATGTCTGCAATCCCAGCACTTTGGGAGGCAGAGGCAGGAGGATCACTTGAGGTCAGGAGTTCAAGACCAGCCTGACCAACATGGTGAAACCTCGTCTCTACCAAAAATACAAAAATTAGCCAGGTGTGGTGGCAGGTACCTGTAATCTCAGCTACTTGTTAGGCTGAGGCAGGAGAATTGCTTGAATCTGGGAGGCGGAGGTTGCAGTGAGCTGAGATTGCGCCACTGCACTCCAGCCTGGGCAACAAGAGCGAAACTCCATCTCAAAAAACAAACAAAAAAAGGGCTCAATCTCAAATGGCCAACCTTGCAGAGTCCTGTGGGGCAGGGTAGGGAGTCTGTTTCATTCTGAGTGCAAAGGCCTGGGCAGGCACAGCAGAGGCATTTCACCCAGCTGGAGGCAATCGGGAAAGGCTTCCTGGAGGAGGTGTTGCCCTCGCCTTAGCCCCAGTAGGCTAGGTAGTAGAGCCGGGAGCAGGGAGGGGCTTCAGGTAGGAGGACAGGGAGAGAAGCAGGTTCAAGGCCTCATGGGAGCCAAGCGAGTTAGCTGTGGGTGTGGCCACCAGCTCTCCCACTCCATAGAGGGGCTGTGGTCCCAGGGCTTCTCTGATCCCCAGAGCTGGCCAGGAGCTGCCTACGGGCGGTGGGTTAGGGGAGGCACCCTCAGGGACCTTTTGACTCTGACCTCGGTAGTGAAGGAGGCAGTGTGTCCACAGGACAAGTGGGAAACTCAAGGCTCTGGGCATCTGACGACAAATCTGGGCCTCCCTGTTCACAGTCAGCAGCACCAAGGCCTGTCCCGACCTCCACCCCAAGCTGCCCCGGAGGGAGAAGCCCGCTGTGGACGTAGGTAAGTGCCGGGAGCATTGGACTGGGAGCCAAGGATGGAGGACGGAGCCTGTTTCTGCCGACAGACTTGCTGTGTGACTTCCAGAGACTCTCTCCCCTCTCTGAGCCTCTGCTCCTCTGTACAGTTCGGGTTAGTCCTGATGGTCCTGAGAGCCCCACCAGCTCAGATCATCAGAAGGAGAAAGTGATAGATGTCCTAAGGGCAGAGCCTTGGGCATTGGGAAGGGAAAGGGTCACTTCCACATGGGAGAGGAGGGGCCTTGAAGGATGGGTGGATATTGACAAGCAGAGGCAGGCCTGAAAATGTCAGGAAGCAGGAACCCTGTGAGCAAAGGTAGGGAGGCAGGAAAGAAAGCTTCGTTTAAAAAAAAAATCCATTTCCTTTCCTGAGCATCTATTGTGTGCCCAACACCATGCAGACATTGTCTCTAACACTCTCACCCACTCCCACTTGACAGATGAGGAAATTGAGGCTCGGAAAGTAAAATGACTTGCCCAAGATTCACACAGAGATGGATTTTAAACATTGGTCTGACTGGCAGTTGTGACCAAGATCCACGGGTCTGCCAGCCCCTACCAGGATTTGGTCTGAGTTATCAGGTAAAATTCAGCTGCTAGGCTCCACACTTCCGCATCCCACTTGCACACCTCCAGAGATGGGGAGCTCAGTTCCTCTCACCCCCACTGAAAGCAGGCAGCTCAATCAGCAACAGGGTCTTCCTCCCTCTCCTAACTCTGAGTGAGGATACTGCACCAGCACCAGAAACTGGAAAATACACAGATTGATGTGTATTTTGATGCTGCTGCTGCTGCTGCTGATTATGATGATGTACTGATAATCTCTAAGAAATAAAGACTATTTGTTTTGTGCCAGGCACCGTGCCTAGCTCTTTGTTTTGTTTATTTATTTATTATTTTGTTTTGTTTTTTTTTTTTTTTTGAGACAGAGTCTCACTCTTGTTACCCAGGCTGGAGTGCAGTGGTGCCATCTCGGCTCACTGCAACCTCTGCTTCCCAGGTTCAAGCGATTCTCCTGCCTCAGCCTCTCGAGTAGCTTGGGATTACAGGCACACGTCACCACGCCCAGCTAATTATTGTATTTTTAGTAGAGATGGAGTTTCACCATGTTGGCCAGGCTGGTCTCAAACTCCTGACCTCAGGTGATCCGCCCACCTCGGCCTCCCAAAGTGCTGGGATTTCAGGCATGAGCCATCGCGCCTGGCCATGTTTATTTATTTTTTGAGACAGGGTCTCACTCTGTCATCCAGGCTGGAGTGCAGTGGCACGAACATGGCAGTGAGCTGAACATAGCTCATCGCAGCCATGGACTCCTGGGCTCAAGTGATCCTCCTGCTTCTGCCTCCCAAGTAGCTGGGAGTACAGGTGCATGCCACTACAACAAGCTAATTTTTAAAATTTTTGTAGAGACAGGGTCTCGCTATCTTGCCCAGGCTTGTTTCAAACTCCTGGGCTCAAGCAATCCTTCTGCCTCAGCCTCCCAAAGCACTGGGATTACAGGCGTGAGCCACCACACCCAGGTGCAAGCTCTTTACATACATTTTCTCGTGTTCCCACCATGATGCTATGGAGTGGGTGTGATCATTATTATCCCCCTTTTCAGATAGGGAGGCTGAAGCTCAGAGAGGGTCAGTGACTTGCCCAAGGCCACAGACTGAGTAAATGGTGAAACTGAACCCAGTTCTAGAGGGCTCTAAGTGGAAGCCTGTAACCCGGCCCCCTACCCATACTCTTTCCCTCCAGCTACCCAGACCCTAATCCCCATGTGAGCATCACTGCTGAGTCTGGGACATAGAATCCATCTCTCCTCTTTGACTTACCCGGCCCCTGAGCCCCCCTCCCTGCTCAGGTAACTCCTTGCAGCCAGTCCCCAGGGAGGCTGGTATAGTTACAGATTTTTGAGAAGGATGCAATTGTCTTCTCCAGCCTCAGGGCCTGAGCTGGGCTGGGCTCGCTGGGAAGACAATTAAAACTGGTGTCCACAAATTAGGATTCTGCAGGAGAAGGAGAATGGGACTTGATTGAATGCAACATCTTCTTTCTTTCTGCTTTTAATTGGGGGTGCGATGTATTAATTAACCCCAGGCCTGATTATCGGTGCATCAGCTGCAGGAAATGGCTCTGTGGCTCTGGCCGGAGCCACTGGGTTTGGCTTCTGGGAAAGGCAGGAGATGACCTGGAGGACCTGGCCTGCCGTTTGAGACCAGGGACCTGACCTCCCTAACCTCCCAGACCCTGGTTCAGCATGAACCTCTTAGAGTTTTGCCTTCAGGCCTGGGTTCAAACTCTATTTCCCCTACTCCCTAGCTGTGTGACCTGGGCAAACCACTTTGCTTCTCAGAGCCTCGGTTCCTTTATCTGGAAAAAGGGGAGAATGAGAGGGCTGATGAGAGGATGACACAAGACAACATGTGCCTCACGCCTCACGGCACATAGTAGGTGCTCAATAAACAGCACTCCTTTCTCTCACCTCCTAGCTCAAACACCCTATCATCTCCAGAAAGATGGCTAAAGTTGCTTCCTTGTCGCCTCATCAGATTATGCATTGGGCGCATCTGTATTTTACTCACGCGTGGGCCCTGCAGCCCCTCACCCACCGGTCCTCTAGCTCTTCTCTGTGCTCATTTCCTCTGGTGCTCCCATGGCTCCTGGGAGCCAGTGGGACTCAGGCAAGCCACAGGGGCTCATCCAGCACAGGCAGCCCCCAGCTCCCTCCATCTCTGAGCCCAGATTCCCCATCCCAGACCCCCTGGTCCAGCCCTGAATCTCCTGTCTCCCTCTGCACAGCCCTCCCTGCCCTTCCAACCTTCAAATCTCTGGTGGGAGGCTGCCTCCTCCAGGATGCCTGCAGAGATTGGTCCTCAGCATACCCATCAGAGTGAAAGCAGGACTCCCCTTGGGGACTGGTGGCAGGGGCAGCTCTATTCAGGAAAACCAAGGCAGAGCTGAGGCTAGAGGGAGGCACAGTGAGAACCAACGTGGCCCCACTGAACCCTTGGTCACCCCTCAGCCCGGCCCCACCTCTCACTAGATCACACTGTGATGCTCCCTACTCAGAAACCTCCAGTGATGAATGGAGTAACAAAATCTAGTCCATCTGTGCAATGGAGTAGTATTCAGCCTTAAAAAGGAGGGAAATTCTGACACACGCCGCAAATAGATGAACCTTGAGGACATTATGCTGAATGAAACAGGCCAGTCACAGAAAGACAAATATGGTGTGATTCAAACTCACAGAGACAGAAAGCAGAATGGGGGTTGCCAGGGGCTGGGGGCAGGGGAAGGGAGTTGCTATTGAACAGGCACAGTTTCTGTTTCAGATGATGAACAATTTCTGGACTGGATGGTGGTGATGGCTGCACAGCAGCCTGAATGTTCTTGATGCGGCTGAACCATATACTTACAAATGGGGAAAATGGGAAACTTTCTGTTATGTATATTTTACCAGAATTTTATTAAAGCCTCTACTGGCTTCCCTGGGCTCACTGCAGCAGTGGATTTACAATAAAAATCTCCTAGAGTGGGAAGATCGCTGGGGCCCAGGAGTTCAAGGCTGCAGTGGGCTATGATCACGCCACTGCACTCCAGCCTGGGTGACAGAGCAAGACTCCATCTCAAAAAAAAAAAAAAAAAAAAAAGGAAAAGAAAGAAAGAAAGAGAGAAAGAAAACAAAAATCCCCTGAACTTGTTCCCAGAATATCCCTCCCCGCATCTTCAACTCCTTCAAACCTCGGCTCCAATGTCACCTCCTCAGTGAGGCCCTCCCTTCTCCCCCACCCTCTCTCAGTTCCCTTTTCTCTACCTCATATTTCTCCTTACCACTCATCACTCCCCTATTACATGTTTGCTCATTTTATTTCTGTGTATCATCTGTACTCCAACTAGAATTGAAGATGGAGATTCTAGTTAAAGGCAGGAGATTCTAGTCTGTTCACTGCCATGTCCCGGCAGCTAGAGCAACACCATGCACATAGTAGATGCTCAGGGAACACTCTGCTCTAGCAGCTCTGGTGGCAGGCAGGGGAAGGATCCCATTTTCCCTACTCCGGGCTGCCTGGGGCCTTCAGGAAGCTCCCGTACTTGGGCCTCATTGGGAAACTACCAGCCCTCAGGGTCAAAATCAGGCTCCCAGGCTCGGCATCCAAAGTCTGCAGGCTCTGGTTCTGCCCAGACCCCAACTGCAGCCCCTCCTGGCCACTTACATGTGTCCCCCTAAGGACACAGCCTGCACACTGTCCCTGGAATCCTGACTCACAGGTAGTCCTCTGCCTAAAGGTACTCTCCCTCCTCAGGCTAGGGTGGAAGCCCTGCTTGGTGCCCCCAGAGGTCTCCGAGGCTGCCTCTCCCTGCCCTGGAGTGTGTTACATGACAGATGCTGAGTGTGTTATATGACATCTGGAGTGTGTTATATGACAGATGTTATATGACAGGTGTCTGGGTCTCCTGCAAGCTGGGAACTCTCCCAGGTCAGGGACCCTGCATTGCCCAGCCCAGATCAGGCACACAGGAGGTGGCTAGGCATGTACTAAACACATGAGTGAATGAATGAATGAATGAATCAATCAATCAATCAATCAATCAAGGGAGAAAGGAAGGTCAGACAAAAGCCCAGAGGATTGAAGTTCTAAGGAAAAAACCAATAGGCATAGAAATCATTCATTCATTCATCCAGTTCATTCATTCACTCAACATTTATTGGATGCCTACTATGTGCCAGATTGGAGTTTCCTGGGGGGACTGTGCCCACAGGAGCAGGGATAGGGACAGACATGTGGACACTATGGACATGCATAAGCAGGGAGGTCCTAAGTGAGGCTTGGCAGGCCGGCCTCCTCCCCACTGTCCCTCTCCTCCTGGCCCTTGTGGCCACTGGCTGCCCAAGGCCAGCCTGGCCCACCTGGCCCAGCTGAGGGGCCACCCAGCCAGACTGACAGGCAGGCTGGAGGCTCCCCCTGAGATGGCCCATAAAGTCATCTTGTGAAACGCAACCAAGAATGAAACAGGGCAATAAATAAAGGCTGACAGTGCCAGGAGTGGGTGGCTGCTTCGCCAGTAGCTCCCCAACCCTTGTTGGCTACGGGCCAGCCCAGCAGCCCCGTGGCATCATCTTTCTGATTGGAGCCCACGATGCAACAGGAAGGTGATGTGCCTGATCCCATATGATGCTCACAGTGATCCTGCTGGGCAGGGATCATTGTCCCTTTATTCCAGGCAGGGAAACTGAGGCTCAGGGACATGTGTCACAAGGTCACACTGCAAGTCAGGAGCAGGAGCTGGGATTCAAACCCAGACCTTGGGACTCTAGAATTCAAACACTTCCCTGTTTCTGCTGGCTCCGTTGTTGCAGTGATGAAGACAGAGTAAGGGGGCATCGACAGCCTCTGCAGCCACTGCCCACTTCCATACCTGGCCCTTTTCCAGCAGCGTGAGAAAACCAAAGCTCAGAGAACCTGGGGGCCATTGGAGCCAGTCTCCTGCCCCGGGGTTGAAGGAAGGAAGCCCCTCCTCTATGCCAGACACTGTACACAGGACCCCTTTCATCCTCTCAGACTTGATGAGATGGTACTATTATCAGCCCCATTTCACAGAGGAAGTGCCAAGGCTCAGAGAGGGAGAGTCGGTGCCTGAGATCACACAGCATCAAGGGACAAGTTAGAGTTCAGCCTGACTTCAAGCTGGCTGCAAAATTTCCCCCACTGAAGCCTAAATCTTATCTAAGCCCCATCCTTTTCAGCTAGAAAAAGTGTGATTCTCTGGGGCCATTTCCAGGAAGCCTGCTCTATGCCCAGCTCAGCTGGGTGGCAAGGCCACAAGGGTGTGTGTGCTCCAGGTTCAGGAAGGCCTGTGGCCACCTTGCCTCCCAGCTGGGAAGCAGAGTAAGAGCTCTCCCGGGGAAAGGGCTGGAGAGGGAGGATTTAATGAGGTCCCAGCCCAACCGCCTGTAAATCTCAGCTGGCTTCTAAAATCAGGAGACATAAAATCCCCATAAGAAGAAAACCCAGATAATCAGGATGGAAAAGCCCTCCAGAAACAGAGAAGCCTGGCTGTGTCCAGGGCCCTCTCCTCCCCAGGGAGGCACCCGAGGGTTCTCTTTGTTTCTTTCTGGGTAGCCCTTGGCCCCTGACAGGTGCCTGCGGCAGGAGGAATGGAGGTGTGAGTTCATGAAGGTTGCTTCACCTTGGGACAGGCAAACAAACGCAGATGGGCTTTCTTCCTAAGAAGCCAAGAAGAAGGCATTTTGTAAGAAAGCTTAGGGAACTGCAGCATGCCTTGGTGGGAGGTGTCTGCCTCAGCGTGCAGTAGGAGCTTAAGTCCTCCCTCAAAAGGAATGGAAGAGATCAGCTCTGATGGACCCCCTACCCTAAGCCAGGCCCCGTGCCAGGCTTCCCAGGATGCCACAGATCAGGCCCCTGCCCTCAGGGAGCCTGCAGTCCCCAGGAGAGACACACATGCCAGAGACTGCTATAGGAACAATGGCTGGGATTGAACCTGGACTGCCATGTACAGTTGTTCAGAATGTGCACTGTTCATATGGCCATGAATCATAGTGCTGCCCAGGGTTATGCAGGGCAAACTGCATGTTGGAGCTATGGAAGGAGGTGCAGGTTCTAGAAGATCCTAGGAGAAAGATAGGCTCGTGTCTGCCTGGAGAGTCAGGGGAGGTTACCAGGAGAAGGGGACTTGCTTGGACCTGAAGGCTGACTGAGGTTTGCACAGTCAGAGGGGACTCAGAACAGAAAAGGGCATACCAGAGAGGGGTCTCCCAAGCCCAGCCTTTTAGCTGCCATCACCATTTCCACAGGGTCCCTGTACCACATGCACCATTATTTACTTAATATTTATTTTCAAAGCATCTTTCCCCTTTTACTTAAATAAATTCAGGTTAAAAGAAGACTTTTATTACCGCCATAAATGAAAAATCAGCATCACTTGCCATAAATAGAGGGTAACTGTAAAAATAAACGCTATGAAAACCAAACAGCATTCGTAAATTCTAGCCAAAGAAGCTTGCCTGCTGAAGGCTATGAGCCTCAATCTCCGTTTTTTTCTCATTAACAAGGGAGACTGGCGAAGGTTAGGTGTTAAAGTCAGAGAAGCACCAGCAGAGACTTTCTTCTTAATCACAAGGGGCTTGGGACGCAGGTCCTGCTCAAGTGTGGACACCAGCGGGCACCCAGCACCAGCCCTGGCTTCCGATGGCCATGGCCCAATCTCACAACCCATCACTAGTTCCCACCTCCAAGCCTTGCTCCTGCTGGGCCACATACCTGGAAAGCTTCCCTGCCACTTCCCTATCCCAATCTTGCCGATTCTTCCAGTGTGGCTCTTGGGACAGCATCCTTGCCCGTAGTGAGAACTAACACCCACTTAAGGAATGAAAATACCTGAATTGCATACTTGGAGAATGAATGAACAAAGAAATGAATGGATGACCCCTTTATGGTCTGTGCTGCTCAAACCAGGAAAGCAACTTCCTGAGGCATTGACTTCACTCCAGAAACATGGGACAAGAACGTTATTTTTGTATTAAAACAAACATGAATATATTATGGGATAGAATATAGAAGTCATAAATTTTGAATGAAATAGGAGACATCAAAGAAATGTTGCCCCTGGTGAGAGCTGTTTACTCTCCTGCGTGGGCCGCACGCCATCAACGGCCTCTTGTCCCATCCAGTCCAAAGCCTCCTTCTCCGCAACCCCAGGCTCCGCAGAGCTCAGACTGTGCTCTACCCACAGGAAGTGCTGGTGTGGTGGCTAACAGGGGAAGGGGCCAGGGGGACGGTCGGGCACTAGGGCGAGGGGGAGCCCAGGATTTACGGTGAGGATGCAAGCCACAGCTCTCCCTGGCGTGCTGGGTGGCATTGTGCAAGCTGCTTCACTACTCTGAGCTCTGGTTTCCCACTGTGTCATTGATTACAGGCTTATTTTGAGGATTAAATGGGCAAATGCAAGTGAAGAGCCTGTTTCAGTGTGTAGCACCCAGAAGGTCCACAACAACCGCTGTTCCCTGGTGGAACCCACTCCTTGCTGAGCCTTAGACACAAGCACATTCACCCAGGTGGGTCCTTGCCTGTCTCTGGCCGATGGAGGAGGGGCCGCCCTGCCTAGTAAAAATTTAAATAGCTAACATTTTTTTTTTCTTTTTTTCTTTCTTTTTTGAGACAGAGTCTCACACCGTCGCCCAGGTTGGAGTGCAGTGGCATGATCTTTGCTCACTGCAACCTCCGCCTCCCAGGTTCAAGCAATTCTCCTTGCCTCAGCCTCCCAAGAAGCTGGGATTACAGGCGGCCTCCACCACGCCTGACTAATTTTTTTGTATTTTTACTAGAGACAAGCTTTCACTACATTAGCCAGGCTGGTCTTGAACTCCTGACCTCGTGATCCGCCCGTCTTGGCCTCCAGAAGTGCTGGGATTACAGGTGTGAGCCACCGCACCTGGCCAAAATTAACCACTTTAAAGTGGACAATTGAGTCGCATCTAGTGCATTCACAATGTGATGCAACTAGTCCCAACATGCTGTCTTCCCCCCAGAAGGAAACTCCTCACTCCCCACTCTCCCCTAACCCCTGGCAACCTCAAATCTGCATTCTCACATTTGCCTACTCCGGATATTTCATATCATCTGCATCATATAATATGTGGTCTTTTGTGACTGGCTTCCTTCATCTAGCATAGAGTTTTTGAGGTTCATCTACCATTGTCGCACACATCAGTAATTCATTACTTTTCATAGAGGTGTTTCTTTAATACAATAAAATATCCTACCTAATCCCCAAAACAACCTGGGAAGTGGCCACTATCATTGTCCTCTTCTTACAGATGGGGAAACTGAGGCACGGAGTGGGTGGGGACTTGCCCAGGTTCCCTGCCAGACACCCCGACATAGCTGAGCAGGAAGTGCTGGAGCCGGCAAGCTGGAAGCAGGGCGCCTCCCAAGGCCACCAGCACATATTGAGGTAGACAGCAGTAGAATTACAAATCTAGGGAGATTTAAGGAGAACTAAAATATTCTGGCACTTGCAGGATTGTGGGAGTTGAGCAGGTTTCCCCAGTGGAATTCCCGCCTCCTCTTCCCACATGTCTGGGCCACAAGGAGTGAGAGCAGGTGGGAGGGAGGGAGGCAAGCGCGGGAGTGTTCAGGGAGCCAGAGATAGGGCAGGGGCGGGGGCAGGGAGCCAGGAGCCGGGAGCAGGCACACAGGCGTCCCGACGTCTCTACCGATACCATTTATTTTCATTCTCCCCAGTACATCCTGCAAAGCTAGTGGGGTGAGCCCATTGCACGGATGCATAACGAGGCTCAGAGAGGCTGGAGCGGGGCAGGATTTGAGCCTTAGTGTCAGATCCCAAAGCCGAGGCGCATAGCCATCCTCTGCTGCCGGGAGGGGCTAAGAGGGAAGAAGTGGGGGAAGCAAAGGAGGCTGCATCAATCACAGGGATGGATTTGCTCCAGCACGCCAGAAAGGAGCAGCCTCAGAGCCACTGAGGAGAAAGAACAGTGAGGGCTGTAAGGGGCGCTGAGGGTGGAGGCAGGAGGGCCAGGGACATGAAGGACGGGGCAAAAGGGGAGGCAGAGACCAACGGACAGGGACAGATGGAGGCAGGCACTTGGGATGTTCCAGAACAGAGGCTCTGAGGGTGCCCAGTGGGTAGGGTGGTGGTGGCCCCACCCTGACCAGAACCTGGCCTCGGTCAAACCTGACCCCCCACCCAGGACCTAGTACATGCCCCAGCCCCAGCCCCTGCCACCCCTGCCCAATCGTGTCTGCGAAATTCAAGGAAGCAACAGTAAATATGTGGGCTCCGGAGTCAGGCTGACCTGGATTTCAACCCAACTGCACCTCCTCAAGGTAGGTGAATCTCTGAGCTTCTAGCCCGGTTTCCTCATCTGTAAAATGGGTGCTGTGAGCGGTGCTGCAGTGACATCACGCAGGCACACAGTGGGCTCCCGGACAGGATCAGGCTGCTCTCCTGTCACCTCCTCACGTAGCCTGGCTCTACTTGAAGAAGCTCCTCCTTCTTCAAGGCTCCGGGCCCCTTGGACTTATTAAACCCTAGGGCTATTCTAGAACCAGAGAATTCATGGCTGAAGGGGTTGGGCCCCACCCCAGGACCTTGGCGCTTAGTGTTCCCAGAGCCTGGGAGGGAATTTCACAGGCCAAGAGCACAGAGCAAGAAGGCAGCAGCGCGGGTGGGGCCCGGGGCTTCCCGCACTAGCTGGAGGGTGTCTGAGGGCCATGGAGAGAGGAGCTGGTGGATCTGGGCCCTGTCCCAGGGGCCCTCAGCCGCTGTCCGACCGCCCCTCCCTCTCCTCCGCTGCCTGCCGGGAGACCATTAGTGAAGCTTTGTTTTGAGCACTATTTCCACTATCCTGCGCTCTGGCCGCCGGGCCTCCATTAGGGACCCTTTCCCGGACCGACGACAGGCGGCAAACAGCTCCCCAGCGAGCAGGCCCTAATTGCCGCCGCCTTCAACGCCGGAAATGATTTTTTTAAAACCTCACAAAGCAAAACAGACACCCCGCCGTCAGCTCTCCGCCTTCCCCACCTCGGGCCCCAGCCTGGGGGCTCTGAGGAAGGAGGGGTCAGTCAAGACCCCACCCCCATCCCAAGAGACACCCTTAAAATGCCGGGCTGGGGGAACATAGGGTTGGGCTCTGCACCCTTGCTTTGAACTAGGTGTGGGGCCCCAGCTCACCACGCCTCTCTAAGCCTCAGTTTTCCCCTCTGCAAGGTGGGCGTGTTGAATGGGAGCCCGATGCCTGCTGCGGGCCGTGCGATGCGGCTCTGACAGGTCATGTGCTTCTGGCTTCTCTAAGGGGTCCGTGGAGCACAGGGGAGCCAGGAGCCGGGAGACGGGAAGAGAGCACGAGGGGCAGAGGGAACAGCCAGGGAGAGAAAAGGTCTGGAAGGAACTTGGTGTGTGCAAGGACTAGAAAGGAGGCCAGTGTACACACACACACAACACACACGCATACACACAATACACACACACAAAATACACACATACACACAATACACACACACATACACATACACACAATACACACATATACAGACATACCCACACATACATACACACACCCACACATACACCCACACACATATATAAACACCCCACACACATGCACACATACACCCATACCCCACACACATACACACAGATGCACACACCCACACACCCACACATATACACACAGACACCACACATACACAGATATACACACACATAGACATATACATGCACACCACACAATATACACACACATACATGCACACACCACACATACACACATATGCACACACACCACACACATACACACACGCACACACACATTCGTGCGCGCACACACACACACAATTCCCTCTTTTTCTGATCCCACGTTCCCACCCTCCCTGGATACCGGCCAGCCCCAGCATCCCATGAACCACAAACTCAGCAAGGCTCACACCAAACTCAGCGCCTTCCCGGGAGCAGCCTCTCCTGTCCGTGCACGCCCGCATCCAGCCCCAAGTCCTGCTTCAGCTCCCCATCTCCACTCACCACGGCCAACCCACTCCGACGCCAACCTGGCCGTGCGCCCTCCCCACTCAGAAGGCTTCCAGGGCTGCCCCCTTCTCCAGGGGTAAGACCAAACTCCAGAGCCGATTCTTGGAGGTTCCAGCTGCAGCCTGCTTTTCTAAATACATGCACATGGTTCTCCACGAGGCCTCTGCCAGACCCAGGCAGCCAGGCGCAGCTCCACTCTGGCCTCTGGAGTCCCCTCTCAGCCCCAGCAGTCCCTGGATACAGGCCCAGAAGGAACCTGCCTCCCCCAGGAAGTCTCCCCTGACTGCTCTAGGACACAGTGAGCTCCCTCTAGAGACCTCCCTCTCTTGGCCCACCTGCCTATGCACTGTTCCCTGGGATCCTGAAGAGTCCCCCATTATCTCTTCCTGACCCCAGCTCTCTGAGTATGCTTACCAAGGACTTAGGAAAAGTGAATGAAGTTCGTTCCCACCCAGCTCGCATGAGAGGGCTGCAGGGAGAGAGAAAGGACTCCAGGATCCAAGCCTGTCCCTGCCACAGACTTGTCCCATGTCCCAAGGCCAGCCCTGACTGCTCTCTGGGCCTCAGTTTCCTCACCCGTGAAACAAAGGCTACTTCTGCCTGGGGCCAGAGACAGGCTTTGGGGGCCTCAAAAAACCCTTTGAAGCTTGTGGGCAAAACTCTGTGGCATTTTTTTGAGGAAACAATCCATAGTTTCCATAAGCTTCTTAAGAGGAGTGTGACTTCCAAAAAAATTAGTAACCACCAGTGTAGACAAGCGTCAGTGTCCCCTCCAGCTTTGCCATTTGGTCACTCACTCATTCATTCACCTGACATTTACTGAGTGCCTGCTCTGTGTGGGTGTCACCATGATATACGGAATATATGTATGTGTAATCCTGAGATGTCATCGAAGAGAGCTGTGTGCATACCCGAGAGAAAGGAAGGAATGGGTGGGGGCGGTGAGAAGAGAGGGGAAGATGGATCCAACAGACACAAAGGAGCAAAGAAAGAGGAAAGAGATCGAAAGACAGAGATAGAGAGGAAAAGAGATAAAGATCAGAGAGACCCAGAGAGAGAGGGGGAGAGAGAAAGAGAGAGACCCAGAGAGCAGTAGGGCAGGGAGAGAGAGAGATCCAGAGAGTAAGGGGCCGGTGGAGGGCACTTCCCAGGTACGGGTGGGCACTGCTGCCCTGCTCGCTGGTAGCTTGCTGGAGAAAGGCCCCCTCTCCCGGCTCTGACTCCTGCTCTAACCTTCCAGATGCTCCCATAGCCTCACCTCCAAGGGCACCAGTGTGCAGGTGGCAGGGAAGGCTGGTATTGAGGCAAACAGGCACAGGGCAGAGGGCACCAGCCCAGCCCTGACCTGCCCCCAGGCTCCCTCTCAGCCTGCACTGCCCCTTCAACCACACACAGTCACCCCCCAGACACAGCCCGCACCCACACAGTCAGACAGAAACACCGCTCCATCCACCAGAACCCCCAGGCAGGAACACACAGGGTCTCACACATGCCCCCAGAGCCCCACTGCTTCCCACTAACAGTGCTGGACCCAGACGCAGAGCCTAGACTTTTGGAGCCATGTGCTTGTAGCCAGAACAGGGCATTCTCAGCATTTTGGCATCACTGACCCCTGTGAGAATCTGACCAAGCCAGGAGCGCTGCTCCAGAACAAAGCACCTGCCCACACACACAGCTTGGCAGCCAGGAGCAGACAGATGCGCAGGCTACGAACTCTGGCTCTGTCGTCCCACAAGCTGGGCTCAAGCCCGGCTTTGCTGTTCAGCATCTGTGTGTCCTCAGGCAAGTCGCACCACGCCCCTTAGTGTCCTCCTCTGTAAAATGGGAGGGCCCGCCTCCTAGCATGGTGGGGAGTAAATGGGAGGAGGCAGGGGAAGTGATGAAAACACAGAGTTCTTGATGAACGCTGGCTGCTGTTTGGTCCGCAGATGCCTGCAGGCCACTGAGAGTTAAGGTGCTGATGGAATCCTACCACTCCCACCAGCTCCATCCTCACCCGCACACATACACACATGCACACACACACACACATACACGCACATACATGCTGGCTGCAGGACAAAAGATGTGGTTTCTAAGTATACAGATGGAAGAATTCTACAGGCTTGGAGCTCAAGCAAACTCACCATTGTTCAGTGGGGAAACTGAGGCCCAGAGAGGGGCAGGGACATGCCAAGTCACCCAGCAAGGCAGGCACAGGGTGGGGGAGAGGGGAGTATAGTAGACAAAAAACAGCATTACCCCAGCCCCTCTCCCCATCCTGGCACTTTAAGAGCTGAAGTGAAGTCACCGAGGAGCCACTGTCCCCCACGCCTCAACACAGGGGACAGAGAAGGCCCCATCCCTGCCATGACCCCTGGGTAGGGCCAGGGCATCCTCGGCGTTGGGGGCTCCACCCACCTGGGCCCTTGTGCCAGCACACACTAAATTGCCGTGTGACGGATCTTTATTAGCCGCCCGCTGTGTTCTGGCTGCTCTGCCTACTTCAACAGTCTTTGCTCCTTTGGGAAATAAGGCAGAAATCTCCTCACTAATATCCCCAGCTAATAACGGGTAGGGCTCAGCTTGCACACCTCCTGTGACAGGGAGCTCACTACTGGGTACCCTCCCTGCCCCACAGGTGAGTGTCCTTCTCTGTGTTTCTGTGTTTAATATCATCCCAGCTTTTTTTTTTTTTTTTTTTTTTTTGAGATGGAGTCTCACTAGGCTCACTGCTATCTCCGCCTCCTGGATTCAAGCAATTCTCTGCCTCAGCCTCCCGAGTAGCTGGGATTACAGGTGCCCGCCACCATGCCCGGCTAATTTTTGTATTTTTAGTAGAGATGGTGTTTCACCATCTTGGCCAGGGTGGTCTTGAACTCCTGACCTTGTGATCCACCCGCCTCGGCCTCCCAAAGTGCTGGGATTACAGGTGTGAGCCACTGCGCCCGGCCCCAGCTTCTTAAATCTTATCACAATACGTATATATTCTTCTTCTTCTTCTTCTTTTTCTTTTTTTTTTTTTTAAGAGACAGGGTCTCACTCTGTCACCCAGGCTGGAGTGCAGTGGTGCAATCACAGCTCACTGCAGCCTTGAACTCTTGGGCTCAAGTGATCTTCCCACCCCAGCCTCCCAAGTAGCTGGGACCACAGGCATGAGCCACTACACCTGGGTAATTCTGTATTTTTTTTGTTTGAGAGACAGGGTCCACTATGTTGTCCAGGCTGGTCTCAATCTCCTGGGTTCCAGTGACCCTCCAGCCCCAGCCTCCTGAGTCATTGGGATTACAGGTGTGAGCCACCGCACCCAGCTCTATACTTACATATTCTTTATGGGTTCAGTTTTCTGTCTCCCCTACTAGACTGAGAACTCTAAGAGAGCAAGAACCTTAGCTGTCTTCTTCACTGATAAGTTCCCAGTGGCTAAAAGAGCCTGGCACATGACAGGTGCCCAATTGATATTTGTTGAATGAATAAAAGAATGAATGAATGACCAAGCTTCCCAAACATGGCAGCAGCCTCATTAGGCCAGTAGCTCCCAGTATGAAGAGTATGGAGCATGCAGTGTGACAGGGCAGCCTGTTGGATGCCCCCGGGTCTCCAAGTCATGTCCACACTGTGGATCCCCACGGACATGCCCACGCACCGCCTGCGCTATTATGTCCTTAATGTTTTTCTATAAACTAACCCACCATTTTTTAATACCCCCATTAGTCTCATCCTAAGCAATCATATGTGTGAAATCACAGTTTTGATGTGCTAGTTATATTTTTTCAGTACACATTAAAATAAATGCTTAACTATTAAAATGTAAGAGGTTTCTCTAGGTTCTGCCTAAAATCATCTCTCCGGTAGGACCCAATCTTGTTGCGGGCCCTGGGGGGTTTTGAAGAGGGTTGAAACTGGGGGTGAAGTGGAGCTGAGTCCCAGGGACGCCCTGATGGCTTCAAGGAAGGGAAGGGAGGCCTGGCTGTGAGAAGGGAACCTGGAGGAGCAGCAGCCCCTCTCTGCCTCCCCACTGCCACCTCACTTCTCTGGAGCAGTGGGAACCAGGGGGAGCCAGCTGGGTGGGCTCTGGACCCCAGGACCAGCAGCTAGGAGAGGAGCAGATTTCTTCCCCAGCTGGACCACTGCTGCTTTTTCTGATGCAAGTGCCTCATCAGGGTCAGGGGAGAAGGGCGCGACCCTTGGACTCCCCCATCCTCATGGCTGCAGCATCACATATGCACCCCAAGGCCAGAGCCTGGGCCCACCCACTGCAAGGTGCCATCAGCCTTGCCCACTCCAGGATGTCCTTGCTCTGCTCAGCAGGGATAAGGAGGGGGCTCCAATTTTGTGATTTTTTCCCCCTATAAACATAGATTCCTTAAGAAATTAAAATCATTTGAATGTTTAAAAATATATTGACTTGGAATGAGCAAAGCTTTAAGAATTCAGACCTCATCCCCTGCTTCGTCCTCCTCGTCATCCATTCATTCATTCCCTGCCACCTCCCTGGGCCGGGCATTGTCCTGGGTCCCAGGACACAAGGGAATCTGACCCCAGTGTGCCCAGCGGGCCCCAAACTCCTTTCAGGACTGAGAGAGTCTTCCCACAACACCATCAGCAGCTGGTTTGGTCCCCAAAGTCCAAGGTGATGGCCAAACACTCTCACGTGGGCACCTGTGCCGCTGTTCACACTACACACTCTCCCCATGCTTTCGAAAATCGAGGGAAGTTGGAGGGTCGCTGGGATAGCATTCTGTTCCCACTGCTGCTCGCCCTCCTGGGTGTGGAATGCGGAGGCCATTGCACTCCTTCCACCCCAGAGCCAAGCCTCAAGTCCCAGCCCTGCTCTTCCCCTCTGTGTGACGTGGGCCTCTTCCTCCTCTTTCCTTGGACTCCCAGCCCTGAAGCCAGATTCTTCAGTTCAAGTCCAGCCTCTGACACTTGGTAGGTGTGTGACCTTGGGTAAGCCACTTAACCTCCCCGAGTCTCATTTTCTTCATCTAAACAGTGGGCCCGAAACAGTCTTTCCTCTTGGAGTTCTCGTTAGAATTGAATGAGATGATACCATTCAAGGCCCTGGCATGGCACTCAACACACACTTGCTTCCATATGTTTATCTCTCCTCTTTTTATTTTTATCTATTTATTTACTTTTGAGACAGGGTCTCACTTTGTCAACCAGGCTGGAGTGCAGTGGCACGATCTCAGCTCACTGCAACCTCCATCTCCTGGGCTCACGTGATCCTCCCGCCTCAGCCTACTGAGTAGCTGGGACTACAGGTGCGTACCCATGCCTGGCTATTTTTTTGTAGAGATGAGTTCTCACTGTGTTGTCCAGGCTGGTCTCAAACTCCTGGGCTCAAGTCATCCACCCACCTCAGCCTCCCAAAGTGCTGGGATTACAGGCATGAGCCGCCGTGCCCAGCCAATCTCTCCATTTGTACAGAGTTGGATGAGGTAATCCCAAAAGCCAAGAAGTACCCTCCAGGGCAATTCTGGGCAAATTCTCCCTTGCCCCTGGGTCTCTGTCTTCTCATCTGTAAGAGAGAGGCTTGGGACGATGGTCCCAAGGGGCCTCCATGATTCATTCCAAAAGCTCCATCTCCTGCCCCCACAGCCGGTGGATCAGAAGGGGTCACTTACCCGACTCCCCTCACCCTGCCCACTTGTTTGCCGCAGGCGACTTTGCCCACCATCCTTGCTGTCACCATGGCAAGGAGCCAAATTCCCTGCGTCCTGCTGGCCGCCTGCGGCTTCTCTTGTTTGGGGAAAAGGCTGCAGGAGCTGCTGATGGGCAAGGTGTCAAAACCAATTGGTGTGAAGGACTTGGGGAAAACCGCTTGTGAGGGCCAATTCCCCACAGGAGGCCGGGAAACCCTCAGCCCAAGGCAGAGTGTTTACAGGCGTAATTGATAGAATAATCACCAACGCCCGAGACAAAGACGAACACATTTTTAACATCATAACCTTTGGAAGACAGGACTCAATTTTCTTCATCTTCCAGCCACCAAACTAGCCAGCTTATTGATGGTGAGATACCAACAGTTCAGTAAGGAATGCGAGGAAGCCAGAGTCATTTTTCAGTGCACAGGCTGCTTGCCAAATGGCCCGGTGCCCCCTCCCTCCCCCAGCACCCTGCTGGTCCCTCCTGGCAACAGAGAGAATCTCAGGACAGTGAATCACTCAATGGACAAAGCCCCCGGCCAAGCCAGGATCTTTGTCTGCACTGGGGTATATGAATAATTGAAGGTGCTGGCCTAGGGGTGGGTGTGGGTGTGTGTGTGTGTAGGGGTGTGTGTGTGTGGCAGGGTGGGGGTGGGAGGGGAGTTGTCTGCTGCAGTGTGAGGCTTCTTGGAGCTCCTCTCAGGGACCATCCACCTGCCCCTGTCTGGACCTCTCCCTCCCCTGTGAAACCAAACCAAGCCAGTCCATAGCGTCAGACATTTCCTGTCCCTACATCTCCCACCAGGTATGGGTAAATACTTAGGCAGTGGCTTCCAAATCCCAGGCTGCATGAGAATCCTCTGGGGAACTTATTAAAATGCAGATTCCACTAGATGCGGTGGCTCATGCCTGTAATCCCAGCACTTTGGAAGGCCGAGGAGGGAGGATGGCTTGAGCCCAGGAGTTCAAGACCAGCCTAGGCAATATAATGAGCTCTCATCTCTACAAAAAATTTAAAAATTAGCTGAGGGTGGTAGCACATGCCTGTCACTCCCAGCTACTCGGAGGCTGAGGTAAAAGGATCATTTGAACCCAGGAGGCAGAGGTTGCAGTAAGCTGAGATTGTGCCACTGCACTCGAGCCTGGTCAATAGAGCAAGATCTTGTCTCAAGAGAAATTAAAAAATAATAATAAAATGTACATTCCAGGGTCCCATCAAATAACCATTCTGGCAGCGGGTTTGGGGGATCTGCATTGTAAAAAATTCCCTGGGGGACTCTGCCATGTGAGGCTTCTTGCAAGCTGTAGGGGTCCTCTGCAAGCTGTAGGGGTCTACAGAGATCTTCACAAAGACCCTGCCCTCTGGATCCCTCCCCTGGACAAGATCTGGAAAGATCCTGGGGTCCAGTCCAGCTGCCTGTTTCTAACCTACAGGTATCCTCAGCAAGATCTTGCCACCTTTCTGAGTGGCTGGTTCCTCTTGGTGGAACCCACTGCTTTACTGGTTCCCTGAGGAGCTAGAAGGGAGAAAGCTTGGGTTACGGCTACAAGAAGGAAGACGCCATGGCCAAGCCTGCCTCAAGGCTGTTCTGGAGGAGGCAGTCCCAGAGCTGCCAGATGCATCTTCATCTTAAACACAGCTTTCCAGCTCTCTGTACAGACTCAGCACCCTTGGGTAAGTCACTGGCCCTCTCTGAGCCTCAGTTTCCTCCTATCTCCAACACCAACCTTGCATGAATGGTCAGCCTGAGTGAGTTAACACTGGCAAGGGCTTGGCAGCACGGGGCACACAGTAGGCATTTCATCAATGCTTGCACCTTTTCCTCCCATCCCTGCTGTGCCCATGGGCAATGAGTTAACATTTTCTGATAAGAAAAAATCAAAATCACTCCTGTTTATTGAGCACCTACTAGGTGCAGACACGGACCATCACCACCCCACCTCCCAGTGCCTGATGCCTCCTTGAGATACATGCTCCCCATTCATTCCTCACACCTCGAAAAAGCCCTCTTCCAAGTACCTTGAGTGGAGGTGGGAGGGAGATGGGAAGCAAAACAGATGTCCTTTCTGACCCATCTGACCGCAGGCTTTCCCTGTGACAAGCTCCAGGGCAGGCAGGTGGAAGGCAGGAGCCCGGCGGCCGGGCTGGGCTCAGATGGAGTTGGAGGGGTGAGCAGCCACCAAGCACTTGGGGTCAATGTGCCCCTCCCCAGGAGCCCCTGCTTCCAGCCCCCACCCCCCACCCCCAGACACAGAGACACCTTCCCGACTGGGCCACATTTCCTGAATCAGCTGAGGACACACGGAGCCCAGGAATAATGAAATGATCAGGCCCCAATCTGCTAAACAGCAATTTCTGAGCTTTTTCAGCACACACAGCTTTTATCAAATTGGTATTCTCCTCCTGAACACAAATAGCTTATTAGACATGACCCACTTATTCGCCGCGTCTCACTATCATTAATAACAGTTTCTTTTTGTGATTAAGTGAGTGGCTCCAAACCCTTCCTGTGGTGGCGGGTGCTTGGCACGGCAGAGGGGCAGCTGTGGGGGCTCCTCGGCAGTCACTACTTGGTGACTTTGAACCTGGCAATGTCGGGGGAAGGCAGCCTGGCCCCTGCAGAGCAGCCTGGCTTCTTTGTTTCTTTAGGGACACAGGGAGACCCAGAGGGGTGGCTCACTTGCCCAGAGCCACACGGGGGTTTCAGGAGAGAAGCCAGGTTCCCCAGCAACTAGGGGTGCCTCCTTCTCATCTAGCCCCTGTCCTGGGCCTTAGCTTGACCTTCCAGGGTGCAGAGGGGAGATTACAGCTGGTTGGGCAGAGCTGTGCCCCCTCAGCTTACCTGGCACCAGGGGACAGGTAGAGACTGTCACACAAAGGGCAGACAGACCCTGCTTTTCTATGGGGGGGAGCCACCTTGGGGCCTTGGGAATAACAGACTGGCACCCAAGTCCCTGGGGTCTGGTGCTCTAGGGACAGAACGACCATAAGCCTCAGAGTCCCATTCCTCATACCCCTCGGGACTGCAAACTCAGGGAAGGCCCTCCATGGAAACCCCTCCTAGTGTAAGTTCCAACTGTGCCAAGGGACTGAGCGGAGCGAGGAGAGGAGGGGTGGAGAGGGAGGAATTCCCAGTTTCCCTAGAATGGGAGGGAATCTGACAGGGAGATGAATGTCCTGGAAAAAAGCGCTGTCTTTGCCTGACAGACCCTGGGGCCTGTCCTGGCTCAGTCACTCTCTTACTGTGTGACCTTGGGCAACTTCCTTCACCTCTCTGAGCCTTGGTTTCCCTATCTGTAAGTTGAGGATCAAAAGAACCCTTTCCTTATTTACCACCGCTCTAGCCAGGTCGGTAGAAATGAGGTGAGGGGCATGAAGGGTATGTAAATGATGCACACAGCAGTTACTACCAAACATGGTGAGGCAGAAGGGGGCGGGGAGTCATGGTTCCCAAAAAGCAGAGACCCTGAGGATGGCTTCGAAGCCCCCCTCTCCACTGGAGCAATCCCACTCATGTGTCATACCCCAGCAAAACCTTCCCTGATTATCTACCCTGCCTTACCCCCACTCACTCCCATCAGAATAAATCATCCAATTATCTGGCCTTTGTGCAAACCTCCCCACAGCCCTGGGCCCACAGTGCCCAGCACTGGGGCTGCAGCCTCCCCAACAAGGCTGTCAGCCTGTCTAGTGAAGGGCTGCATGGAAGAAAGGTCTCCTTTGGTTTCATCTATGCTCGAGCCTCCATCCCAGAGCCAGGCTCACAGGGGTCAGGGGGAGCCCCCACAGCTGCCGGGCTCATACAGTCCAACTCTGCTGCCAACTTGGGCTCCTTCGGGGCTAGCAGGAGCTTCTGACACTCAGCCAGCCAGTGCTGGGAATGCTTGTCTGCTCCCCGGCTTCCACAGCGGCTGGAGTTGAGATTTCCCACATTTCAGTCCTCTAGGGCCGAGGATGAGGATGGGGGTACCCTATGGAAGGATGGCACGGCTTCCTGCCCATCCCCAGAGGCAGACAAAAGCACCCGGCATTCCACTTCCACTCCCACTCCCATGCCTCTGGCTGCAAGCAGCAACCCCAACTACTCCGGTGGCTCTGAGGGGCTTCCACCAGGTGCCACCCGCCCAACTGGGAGGCTGCAGCCCCAGGCGACCAGTTCTCAAGAAACAAGGTCTTCTGCCCCCAAGGACCTTTCCAGTGGTATAGGGCTGGGTGTGGAGAGGAAGAGGACAAGGGCCTCTGTGCGGTTAAACCCAGAAGAGTAAAGGCAGATGGGCAGAGAGGAGTGGGTGAGCAAATTGTGTTCATGTGTGTGTATGTGTGTGCCTGTGTGTGTGTGCGCGCGCGCGCACCAGTGTGTCTGCAGGTGGGCAGGCAAGAGTTGTGGCGAAGCGTGTGCGCCAGCTGGCAGAGTGAGCCCACCGGCGCAGTGCCTGATGTGCGTGTGTAGTGGGCATAAGTGTAAAGGCTTGCAGTGAGGAGGGGGACCTGAGGTGTGTGGAGATGTGCAGGGTAGGAGTTGTGAGTGTGAGAAAGCAGCGACTGTGGCTCTGAGTGTGTCCGCGGCTGTGCATATCGGTGTGGCCATGCAGGTGTGCGTATCCGCGCGAGTGTGTGGGGAGGAGGTTCGGGGGTGCGCCCCGGGTGCCCCCTTCTCTGCAGGGCCAGGGTGCCAGGGCGGGTCCACCGCGCCGGCAGGGGGCGCCCCGGGATGCCCGCCACGACTGGCGCCGGTTCGAGCCCCGGGGCGGCCAAGTTGGAGTGGCGCGGCCCGGGTTGGGGTTTGGTGGGGAAGTCCGCGGGGGCGGCGACCGAACTCACCGTGGCCGGAGACGTGGTTGTCCCAGGGCGCGTGGCCGGCGGGCCGCGTGGCGCCGCCGAGTTGCAGGAAAAGTGCCAGGTAGTGGAGGGCGCCCAGCGCTACGGCGAGCGGGGCCCCCATCGTGCGCTCTCGGGCCGGGGGCGCCGCCGCCTCACATCTGGGCCCCGGAGACCGCAGAACCGGCGCCAGCTGTCCCCTGCCCTGAGCGGCCTGGCTGCCCGGCTCCGGCAGCTGCCCCTCGCCCGCTGTCCCCGGACCCGGCCCAGCTCCCAGCCCTCGCCCGGCTCCGGCCCAGCCCCGGCTTCGGGGAGCGAGCGCACGCCCAGCCGGCCGCCTCCGACTGCGGGACTCTTCCCTTCCGCGGAAGGCCACGCCGCGCCGCCGCCGCACCCTCCTCCCTCCTCCCGCCTCCCTCCTCCCCTCCCTCCTCCCCTCCCTCCTCCCGCTCGGAGCAGGCGGCGGAGGGATCTGCCGCTTGATTTATCATCAAAGTTTTGCCCAGGCTGGGATTTTTAAAGCGGTACCCGCAACTTTCCCCCGCCCGAGTGCGGAGGCGGGGCCGGGATGGGGCGGAGAGAGCCACCCCAGGGACGCGGTTCCCGCAAAGCACGACCCAACGGGCTTCAGCCACAGAAATGCCGTCCAGCGGGGAGAGGGAGAAAAGCCAGGGCACCCGCCGCCAGGCCAGCGCACTCAGAGGCTCCTAACTTTACCGGCAGGGCGGGGCCGGGGTCAGGGGCCAGTGGGGCTGGGGGTGAGGGCGAGGTAGGGTGGGAGCCTGGGCTGAGACCCAGGGGACCTGGTGATAGCTCTGCCGCCGACCTCGGCTCGCTGTGTGATCGCGTCCGGGTGTCTACCCCTCTCTGAACCTCGAAGTCTTCATCTGAGAAATAGGGGTAATAGCTGTCTGCGGGGGTCCTGGTGAGGATTTGCGAAATCGTGCATGCAAAGCGCTTAGCATAATGCTGCCTACGTGGTAGGAGCTCAGTAGTTATTATTGTCGGTGTTCCCCTTTCTGGGACTCAGTTTTCGAGTCTTTGTAATGGGAGAGAGACAGGCCAGTTAGTTGTTGCGGCTCCTGGCTCTTGAAGATACTGGACCTTATGTGGTGGATGGGATCGCCCCCTTCTGGACTGTAGGCTCCTTCCCTAGACCAATGAGCCTTGATGGTGTGTGTGTGCATGAGTGTGTGTGTGCGTGTGCGTGTGCGCGCGCGTATGCGTGGGTGTATGTGTGTGTGAGTGTGGCAGGGGAGGGGGATAGGGCACCATTCCCATTCCCAAGAGCAAGAATCCAACAAAGTCCTCCAGTTCCTTCCCAAGCCGTGTTACTGGGGCTGATGGGACAGACAGGAGGGCGGAACTGTGGTCCCATTTAAAAGATAAGGAAGCGCCTGAAATCAGGTAATTAGCTTCTCTGAGGTCCCACGGCGAGTCGGGCGAGGCCCCTGACTCCTGGGCGGGGTCCCTCCTGCTCTCATCCCTTGCCCTTCCCCAGGCCTCCCTGCTCACACAGCCTGGTCCTCCCGGTTTCAGCACCACGGAGGAGGACAGCGCCAGCCCCCCCCCCGCCCCCCGCCCCCCGCCCCACCCGGGCCCATCCTTTGGGCACCGTGGACAGCGTCTCAACTGGCCCTTTGATGCTAGGGTTCACACCGTGGACAGACCCTCAGACTTTCTTCCCCGTCCCCGTCGAACAGGGTCAACCCCTCCGACAGCCCACTCCCCACTCCAGAACACAGGTGGATCCCGCGTCCAGCCGTGTGTACAGCGCCCAAGTTTGAGAACAAGGTTAGAGACCAAGGAACATAGCCCCTCGCCGTCTTCCCTCTGTCTTAGCGCCCCCCTTCCAGTATTATGGGGGGGGGGTAGCACACCGGATGGGGCCCGTGGTAGCCAGCAACAATCCAGCTCCTTCCAAACTAAGGACACCTCCTCCACGATGTCCCGCACTTACAAGCACTGTGTTCTAGCACCGTCCACAGCCCCCGCGCTCCCTTCAGTACCGAGGACAGGTCCCAAGCGTCGACCGCTTCCCCCACCCCCCGAACCTTCTGGACCACATGCCTTGGAGGAAGGGGCCGTGTTTGCCTGATTCTCTCACTTCTCACTTTCTTCCCACACAGAGGTGGTGTTTAGGTTATCCTGGGCTGGCCAGGCGTCTTGGACTCTATGCACGTGTTTTCTCATTCATTAACTACCCTGAACCCCGCTCCCAGCGAAATGAACTACTGCTTCCATCATAAAGATATGGAAACTGAGAATCCTCCAGATCACATAGCAGCCACCATGTTAGCCAGACTAAAACCCAGGACTCCTTCAACCCCAGCCTGAGGCCTCACCAGGAGACTGTGGTGACAGAACTGGGACTCAAACCCGGGCTTTCTCCTCTTAAACCACAGATTGGAGGGAGCAGACACAGGCAAGGGGACAGGGAGGGAGAGGAGATTAAAGAGGAGTAAACAAGAGATTGCTCAGGCCTGCAGAGGAAGGGGGTCTGGCGGGATGGCAGCACATTGCTGCTGTGCCCCTAGCCCACCGGCTGACCTTCAGAAATCTTTTCTCTTTGAAGCCTGGAACAAGGTCAAGGTTCCTTCAAGGACAGACATCCAGGGATTGTATGCCTTTGAAAATGCTCGTGATCGGCCAGGTGTGGTGGCTCACGCCTGTAATGCCAGCACTTTGAGAGGCCGAGGTGGGCATATCACGAGGTCAGGAGTTCGAGACCAGCCTGACCAACATGGTGAAATCCCATCTCTACTAAAAATACAAAAATTAGCCAGGAGTGGTGGTGGGCACCTGTAATCCCAGCTACTCAGGAGGCTGAGGCAGGAGAATCGCTTGAACCTGGGAGGCGGAGTTTTCAGTGAGCCAAGATCACACCATTGTACTCCAGCCTGGGTGACAGAGTGAGACTTCATCTCAAAAAAAAAAGGAAAAAAGAAGAAAATGCTCATGATATAATGGTTCTGCTAAAAAAACCCTCTGATGGCCTGTTTATGTGAGAAATCCTGACTTCTCTAGTTTGCATTCAGGGTCCCAGACTCACCTCCTGCACATATCCTGTGCTCTCTTGGGCATGCCTTGGCCTCATTACATCTTCAACCTTCCCAGTGCTTCCCCTGTGCTTGTATGCCTTCCCCTCTGTCTAGCTGAGTCCCCAGTTGGGCGAGGTCCAGCCTGAGTCCCCATGGGAAGAAATGCCTGCTGCCTTCTCCCAGTCCCCAAGCCTCTGTTGGCTCATCACTGTATGCCCAGCATGGCCCTAAGAACTTTCATTATTCCCCTTAATCCTCAGAACCACCAGGCCAGGTAGGGTAGGATGGTGTGGTTAGAAGTGTGGGCTCTAGAGCCATATTCTCTGTTTTGAATCCTGCCATTTGGTAGCTGTGTAAACTTAGACAAGTTGCTTAGCCTCCCTGTGCCTCAATTTTCTCGTCTGTAAAACAAGGGTAATAATACCTCCTTCACAGCAGGGTGGTGGGGATTAAATGAGTTGTTACATGGAAAGCACTTAGAACAATGCCAGGCACATGGCAAATACATGATACATGTTGACTAGTGTTCTTGATATCTACAGATGAGGACATAGGTTCAGAAAGGTTAGGTATTTTGCCTAAAGCGACATAGCAAGGCCATGATGTGTTTGATTCCAGAGCCAATCAAACATTTCATATGTTTGATTCCAACCTACCCTCTTGGCACCTTAAGAAACTAAGACCCAGAGAAAGTAATTCACTTTCTCAGAGCCACACAGCCACTCATGACAGAACTGGATCCAGGTCCTTTGTCTCCCAACTCAGAGACCTCCCACTATACTGTACTGTCCCACTTGTATTTCCTGCAGCACCTAAACTACACTTTACAGTTTACAAATCACATTCACACCCATGATCTCCTATAATTCATACAACAACCCCTGAGGCTGCTATTATACCCTTCCTTCTTTTACAGATGGAGAAACAAAGCTCAGAAAGATGATGTAACCTGCACAAAGTTGCACAGTGAGGTAGGGCAGAGGCTGAATGTGAACGGACACATCCCAGCCCATCCTCCTCCCCTGTGTAATTGTGCCTCTTGTCTGCTTCCCAATGCAAGTGTAATCTCTGGGCACCGTGGAAGCCGAGAGCCTAGTGGAGGCAGAAGGTAAGCAAAGACTAGCCCAGGAAACAGTCTCTAGGAATTCACTAGAGTGGGTGACGCCTGTCACTCATTTCATTCTGGGAATGCTGCAGGAGATGGAAAGCCTCCCATCCCTGGAGGCAACTAACATGCCTCTAGTGGTCGTGTGGATGCCATGAGGCAAATATCACTGCTATTTCCATTATATAAATGAGGCTCAGAGGTGAGCATCACGTCAAGTATTTCAATTGGGAAAGATGATATTTTTAAACTTCCCTCTAAGCATGGGATCTTGCACTGCCCCTTACTGCTGAGCCAAGCTCCCTGGAGAGTCTCCATACCCTCCCCTTGACTCAGACAGGCCACCCTCCCTCCCCTCCTTGAGAGGTGTCACTTGAGCACTGTGGCTCTGTCAGTGGTAACAGCTGTAAGATTTGTCCTTTTAATCCAGAATCAATAACAAATTTCATTTAAAAATAAATTAAACCAGGCATTGGAAATCATTCACCACGTGGGCTGGAGCCCTATATAGCACCATCTAAATGGCTTCCTTTTGCTCATCTATCAATGCCAAGAGTGGGGGAAATACCTAGGCTGCCTGATTCATGGAGAAACTACTTAAATGTATCAGCCCCTAACAATGAGCAATGTAAGCCTGGAGTTGCACCTTTTAGCACACCAATAACATGTGGAGTGAGGCTTCATGAGAGCTTATCAGAGCCCCCATGGTCACTGGCTTTGAGAGAGCCCATTTATAAGGGGGAACAATGGCTTTAGTATGTAGCCGCCTAATTTCCAGAATGCATTACTGAGCTCTGAGGAGCAATGGAATTCTATTAAAGTCTTATCTGCCATGGGAGGGTATGAAACCGGTGCGGAACTCCAGGCTTGGCATAGACATGCCCAGAAAGCAGCAGGGCTGACCCTAGGAGGTGGGTGAACAAGCCCAGAGGGAGAGGGGGGAGCAGGAGGGGCCCCGGATGTGTGAAAATATGTGTGTTAATAAGAGCTCCGGTTTCCAGCGATTACGTTTACATCAGTGAATAAAACTTGGCAATAAAACATCGGAGCTGCGTCTCAGACAGCATTTCCTTTTACAGCCTGGTGTATTTCACTCATTATAACAGGAGGCAGGGAGCGCGAGGTGTCCCCATTTCTCCCCCTTTAATTAAATTTTCTAAATTACTGCCCAAGATTTGGATAAAGCGAAAGACTTACAGCTCCCCTAATCGCCATCGAGGCTCCCGCCCCACCACTGTGGTGGCCCTGACTGTACCGGTTTCCAATATTATTAAAGTGAAATACTGTGGGCATTGCCTGCCTGGGCTCTGGTTTTTAAAAAGAGATGCAGCATCAGGAAGAAATTGGCCCACGGTCAGGAAAGAGGCCTGGGTTTCAGGACGGGCTTTGCCATCACCACCTTGTGTGACCTTGGGCAAGTTATTTCTCTTATCTGAGACTCATGACTTCTCCTTTTCCCCAGATGTTCATCTTGAGGCTCTTAGAATTGATCTGGAGCTGGGGCAGTCCTTGGACCCACACTGGGACGACTGGGGAGCTTTAAGAATATATGGGTGCCCAGGGCACACCCCAGAGATTCTGACATAATTGGTCTTAGGTGAGATCTGGGTATCAGGGTTTAAAAAAAATTCCCCAGGTGATCACAGTCCACAGCTAGGATTGAACACCATTGGCCTAAACACAGAGTTATTAGATATTACTGGACTTGAGACTCTCTGGAGAGGCTGGCTGTGGCCAGGCCCCACCCCTGGGTGTTCTCTTTCAGACTGGCTTTTCGGGGTGGGTATCTGGGAATCTGCCTGCTCACTAAGCACCCCAGGTGTGTCTCGTGCAGGGATCCAGTGGGCTGCAGTGAGGATTCCAACAGAGGTGGGAGGACAAGGGTTCCTTGAATTGAGCCCAGCCAGCCTCGTGGAATGAGGAGGCCCCTCTGCCCCAGTTCCCCTCTGGAGGGCAGCACAGGGAGCCGATATGTGACCTCCCACTCCGGTCTGGGGTACTTCTCTCCTCTGATGACTGATTTCTTTATCTGTTCCACTCACCGCTGGCAGGAGCCTTGACTGGCCTCCACAGTCACATCATGTTCCCATCATAGGAACCCCAGGTCTGGCCCCTCTGCCCATGTGGTTCACGATCGCCGCAGACCCAGGTTTTCCACATGGACGGACTCCGAGCCTTTATCTGCACTCTGCCTCCCGCAGGGCTCCTAGGCCTCCTAGGAAGGCCTTGTCTAGGCTGAGAGCCATGCTTGGGCCAAGGGCTAGGAGCCAGGGACAGCAGGGGGGCCTGGGCACAGGAAATTCATTCATTCTGGCTCCTGCCTTTGCCAGAAGTCCTAGGGAGTGTCCCTGACATTTTTCTTCTGGATTCCGGTCTAAGTGGACCACACAGAGTGAAGACATAATCTAAAACCTAAAACTTAAATTTAAAGCATCTTTTTAATTTATTTATTTAAGACAGGGTCTCACTCTACTGCCCGGGCTGGAGTAAAGTGGCAGGCACTATCACAGTTCACTACAGCCTCAAACTCCTGGGCTCAAGCAATTCTCCCGCCTCAGCCCCCGAGTAGCTGGGACTACAGGCATGCACCACCACACCCAGATAATTTTAAAAATATTTTGTAGAGATAGGAGTCTAACCATATTGCCCAGGCTGGTCTTCAACTCCTGGCCTCAAGCGATCCTCCCACTGTGGCGAATGGAATTACAGACGAGAACCACCATGCCCAGCCAGCATCTCTAATTTTTAACGGAGAAGGCCATCAAAGATCAATCCTCATGTCCCTTTTGTGCAGACAGAGGAACTGAGGTCTAGAAAGACATGGAGAGAAGCCTAGGATCTCACAGTGAGGGAATGGCAGAACGAGGCCAAAGACCCAGGTCTCCTGACTCTAGGCCGGGGTCCTTCTTCCACATGCCACTTGCCTGAGGAGGTCAGACAGGATCCATCATCACCTGTGCAGCCAAGCAGCTCCTCAAAAAACATCCAGCTCTGTGGCTTCCCAAAGAGGGAACTTCTCCGAGGCCCAAAGAACCTTTTGTCCTAGTCTGCTCAGGCTGCTGTAACAAAACACTGCAGACTGGTTAAGCAGAAATTAGCAGAAATCTATTTCTCACTGTTCTGGAGGCTGGAAAGTCCAAAATGAAGGTGCCAGCAAGATAGGTTTCACTCTGAGGCCTCTTCTCCTGGCTTGGGGGTGACTGCTGTCTGGCTGTGTGCTCACAAGACCTCTTCTTTGTATGTGCAGAGGAAGAGGGTGGGAGAGGGAAGAGGAAGGGAGAAAGGGAGTTCTCTGGTGTCTCTTCTCATTATTTATTTATTTATTATTTATTTATGTATTTTGAGACAGAGTCTCACTCTATTCAGACAAGGCTGGAGTGCAGTAGTGTGATCTCAGCTCACTGCAACCTCTGCCTCTCAGGTTCAGGCGATTCTCCTGCCTCAGCCTCCTGTGTAGCTGGGATTACAGGCACCTGCCACCACACTCAGCTAATTTTTGTATTTTTAGTAGAGACGGGGTTTCACCATGTTGGCCAGGCTGGTCTTGAACTCCTGACCTCAAATGATCTGCCTGCCTTGGCCTCCCAAAGTGCTGAGATTACAGGCTTGAGCCACTGTGCCCAGCCTAATATCTATTGTCTCTTTTATAAGGACACTAATCCTATCAGATCAGAGCTCCACCCTTCCTACTTCATTTAACCTTATTTACTTCCTTACCCCAAATACCGTACAGCCACATTGGGAGTTAGGGCTTCCACATATGAATCTGGGGGACACATTCAGCCCATAGTATCCCTCCAGGCTTTGGCCCTCAGATTTGAACCTAAACCCACAAATTGCACTCTACCAAGGCCAGTAAGTACATGTGGCTCGTATCTGTGTTGTCCCAGCAAGAAGCCTAATGACAATCCCCATCAAAGGCAATTAATTGCATCAGGGAGGGGTTCCTAGGGCCCTTCACCCTGCAAACCAAGTGCTTATTAAACACCGCGGGACAGCAGGGTCTCTGCCAATTACAAGGCCCTGCTTGTAGGAGTGTTTTTAAAATCCTGAACTGACTTTAATGGCGTGGTTAATGCCAGTCTAAATATTCCATGGTTGTGAGTAATTAGCTAGGCCGATGCTGTCCAACAGAAGTAAAATGCGAGCCACCTGTGTAATTTTAAATTTTCTAGTAGCCACATTTTAAAAAAGTAAAAGCAATCAGGTGAAATTAACTTTCATAATCTGTTTTATGTCACCCAATATATCAAAAATATTATCATTTCAACACATAATCAATATAAAGCATTATTACTGAGATATTTTACGTTCCTTTTTCCATACCAAGCCACCAGAATCTGGTGTGTGCATTTTATACTTAAAGCACATCTCAATTTTGGACAGCCACATTTTCAGTGCTCAATGGTCCGTGTGGCTCATGACTACCATAGCGGACAGCACAGAGCTAGATGCCTCTAAGGGAGGCCTGGGCCTAGTATCTCCATGGACCCCACACAGGAGAAGGGGATGAGCATCTGTTGAGCGCTTCCTGTGTGCCAGACACCAGGATTTATCTCACCAAATCCTCGTGACAAGGATGGGACTGTTCATTCCATCTTACAGCTGAAACCACGAAGATTCAGAGAGATGAAGTGGCTGGGCTGAAGTCACACAGTGGCTGGGACCAAGGTCCACTGCCCCCAGCCTCTGCCATCAGAGCCCTCAGGTGGAGGCAGGCAGAAGACAGGGCCTCAGGCTTGGGGAGGACCTGCCCAGGTGGCTGGTAAAGCTGGGCTTGTTCAAGGATGCCTGCAGCCTCAGGGGTTAATCCTCCTTGCTTTCCCCTTGGGTGACAGCGTCTTCCTGAGATTTCCTGCTGCAGAGCAGAGGGAGCCTCTGAGGGCTGCCCAGCCTTCTCCAGCTTCAGAGAGGAAGCAGGGCCCCAGTGCCAGGGTGGTGGAAGCAGCAGCAGTAACAGCCATCATCCTGGTCACTTTTTTTTTTGAAGTGATGGGGTCTTGCCAGGCACAGTGGCTCACGCCTGTAATCCCAGCACTTTGGGAGCCCGAGACAGGAGGATCGCTTTAGCCCAGGAGTTTGAGACCCACCTGTACAATATAGTGAGACCTAGATTTTACAAAAAAAATATAAAAATTAGCCAAGCGTGGTGGCACGTGCCTGTATTCCCAGCTACTTGGGAGGCGGAGGTGGGAGGATGACTTGAGCCTGGAAGGAAGAGGTTGCAGTGAGCTGAAATTGAGCTGCTGCACTGCACTCCAGCCTGAGGGACAAAAAGACTCTGTGAAAGAAAGAAAGGAAAGAAAGAAAGAGAGAGAGAGAAAGAAAGAAAGAGAGAGAGAAAAGAAAAGGAAAGAAAGGAAGAGAAAGAAAGGAAGAAGAAAGAAAGAGAAAGAAAGAAACAGAGAGGAAAGAAGGAAGGAGGGAAGGAAGGAAGGAAGGAAGGAAGGAAGGAAGGAAGGAAGGAGGGAAGGAAGGAAGGAGGGAAGGAAGGAGGGAAGGAAGGAAGGAAGGAAGGAGGGAAGGAAGGAAGGAAGGAAGGAGAAAAGAAAAAAAGAAAAGAAAAAAAAGGATCTGGCTCTGCCACCCAGATCTCGCTCTGCCTCTCTGCTGCCTTGGAGTGCAGTGGCTCAATCATAGCTCCCTGTAACCTTGAACTCCTAGGTTCAAACGATCCTCCCACCTCTGCTTCCTAGGACCACTGGTGCACACCACCATGTTCAGCTAATTTTATTTTTTGTAGAGATGGAGTCTTGCTATGTTGCCCAGGCTGGTCTTAAACTCCTAGCCTCAAGCAATCCTCCCACCTCGGCATCCCAAAGTGTTGGGATTACAAACGTGCACCACTGCACCTGACCACAATTTTAATCAAATAAGTAGTTGTGCACCTAGCTGTTTAGTGTTTATCTCCCCTACCAGTCCATAAGCTCTATAAGGGCAAAAACAACACTCTCATTCTCTGCTGTATCCTCAAGGTTGCATGTGGCTCCTCCTTTGGCCAGCTGCACCCTGCAGGGTGGGGCTAACTTCTTCCAGGACCTCTCCAATCAGAGGGAGCCCCATACCTCCAGAGGCATCTCCTTCCAAGTCTGAAGCGCACTGTCCCTTAGAAAGGCAGCCCCGGGCCTGGGCTTGAGACCTAGCTCTGCCGTTTACGTACCCGGTGGCTTTGGGCAAATCTCTTAAGTTGGCTCAATCTCGATTTCCTCTTTTGTAAAATGGGGGATAGAAGAGCCAATTTCATGAGGTGCTTGGATTAGAGGCGACGGCGATGGGAAATGCTCTGTCCTCTGCCATGTCTGCGTTCCTTACCACACACACCTTCATTATCATCATTTGGCTGAAATTGCCTTCCTCCCTGGGACATCCATATGTCGGACCTTGGTGGACGTGGACCCTCTGGGGCCAGAGAACAGGGACCAGGCCTCCATGTTACTTGTCTGTGCCCTGGGCATCCCCAGGCCCCTCCCCCACCAGAGAGTGCCTTTCTAGATTTTCTTTTCTTCTCTCCTTCCAAGTGTTCTGGAGTGCCCACCATGCTGCATGCTGGAGCTGGGCTGCAGGGGTCCCGAGGCAGATGGCAGGCTCCCACCCTGGCGCCTCCCTTTGCAAAGCTGGTCTCCTCACTCAGGCCAAGACCAGGGTGCTCACCACACCTCACAAGACTCGCCGTGACTGTGACCTGGGCCTGTATCTGCCACCTGTCTGCCTCCTTGCCTCGCAAACGCTCCAGGACCATCTCATCTAAAATGCAGCCCTCATCCCTCTGAAGCCCCTAACCCTTCTATATTTTCCTCAACACTTACCCTTCTCTGCCACATTACATGTCTATTTCTTGGCCGTGTCCTCACTACATGTAAACTCCATGACAACAGGGCTGTGGCTCCTTGTTTCCTAGCAGAGGTCCTGGCGCCAAGTGGGAGCTCCAGAAATAATTATTGAATGAATACACAAATGTGATTTCTGAAACGTGTTTGTGCTGGTCTCCTCCACAGGACTGAGAGGCTTATGAGGAGAGACTGAGTGGATTTTGCTCGTCACTTTGCCACGGCAGAGCCCAGTACGTAGTAGGCCTTCAGCTATGGTTGGCCGGGTGAAGCCGGACACTCCACATCCTGGCAGGGGTTATTACTTCCTCATTGCCACGAGCTGCAGCCATCATTTGCTGAAGGCCCAGAATGTATCAGGCCACGTGCCAAGTGCATAACCTGTTTTATAATTCAATGCTCACAGCACTGACAGGTAGGGATTTGAATCTCCATTTTACAGGTGAGGAGACTGAGGCCCAGAGAGGTGCCCAAGGTCTGACAGCCGGCAAGTGGCAGATCCGGGACCCAGTTTGGATCTTCCTGATTCCAAATCATAAACCACACTTCCTGCATTGGCCGCAGGCTGGTCCCTGAGCTGGGCTCTTGCTCATGTTTCTCCTTGAAGCTTTAGAGTGACCCTGTGAGTGTGCACTGCTAACACCACCCTTTATACATGAGGAACCCAAGACTCAGAGGTGCAGAGGTGGCCCCAGCCTCCAGTCTACAGAGCTGGAGTTTTTAACCACAAGGAGGCCCCTTCGGCTCCAAGGGCATTGTTTAGGGCCAAGATCTCAGCTGAGTGGAGGGGAAAGGGTCAGGCTGGCTACGTCTTTTTGTTTTTGTTTTTGTTTGTTGTTGTTGTTGTTGTTTTGAGACAGGGTCTCACCCTGTCTCACCCAGGCTGGAGTGCAGTGGCATGATCATAACTCACTGCAGCCTCGACCTCCTGGGCCTGAGCTATTCTCCCACCTCAGCCTCCCAAAGTGCTGAGATAACAGGTGTGAGCCACCACGCCCGGCTTGACCAACTTCTGATGCTGGGATTCAGTTTCCTCCATCATGTGGGCTGGGAATCAGGCACACTGAGCCCTAGCCAGTCTCTGCTTCCTCTGAGTTCCAGGTCACCTCTGGCGGCATCCTCTCCATGCGGCTGCTTCTCCATCTCTAGAATGGGAGGGCACAGCTTCCTCATCACTGGGGAGCATTTCCAGCTCAGTGCTCTAAGGTGCAAGAAGGAGAAGAGGGGTAGTGACTTGACCAAAGTGCCCAGGGTTCTAACAGGGGTCTTCAGAGACCCAGGCTAATGTTCTCCCCACTGAAGCAAAGGCTCTTTAAACCCAGGGCTGGGGCATTAAACCAAAGGAATGACATTCTAATGGTGAAAGTTCAGGCAAGGGTGGGGGTTCGGACAGGCTTGACCCACTTGACCCCAGATTGCTGGGCCTGGGTGGGGGCCGAGCTGTCTTCTGAGGCTTCAGTGGGCATCCCGGGCCCCCTGTATTCATGATCTACTGGCAGAATCTGGATGGAGGCACCAGGTAATTATATTTAAATGGCTGGAACCTGCTCCGGTCTTTCACGGAACTCGCCAAGGCCTGTAAATCACGCCACAGCAGCTCACGGAGGGGATAAATTCCCCTCTAATCTGGGAACATCTCCAGCTGTGATCCCGAAAGCAGCGCAGCATCAGGGGCTTTCCCAGCCTCTTCACCCGCCCAGGGTACAACAGCCGTCCAGGAGCAGAAGTGGGTGAGCAGGTGGCAACAGGCCCAGGCGCCTGGAGCTGCAGGCCTCCCACCCGCCCTGCCCTCCCTCCATGAGAAACCAGGTAGAGGGCCCCAGGGCAGCTTTGGCAGGAAGAGATTTCCCGGGACTGTGTGCACATTTTCATTTTTCTGGCCATCCACTCATCCATCCATCCATCCATCCATCCGATATTGATAATCTGATATCTGCTCTTTGCTAGTGTGGGGTAGTGGTGACAGCTCCCCACTGGGTTCAAATCCCAACCCCATGTGGCCTTGTGCAGCTCACTTCTCTCTAAGCCTCAGTTTCCCCATCTGAGAGATGTGCATCTCCCCTTCCCCAACCCCAGGGCTGTTGCAAAGAGCAGATGAGATAGAATCTTCTCACCATTTGGCAAACGGGCACTGTGCCCATGACTTTCTCTCCTCTCATTTAAACTGCCTGAAGTGGGGGCTGTGACTATCCCCATTTTACTGATGGGCAAACTGAGACTGGAGGTGATAAAGAAACTTGGCCAGAGTTGCATGTTTGCTTAGTCTCGCTTCCTTCCACCCACATTCACTGCGCTGTTCCTCCCATGCTCTGGTGCACCCTTTCCCCTCAAACCCCACTTCTCACACACCTTGCAGGGTGCAGCTCTGACCCGGGCATACACACCGTCACACACGTGTGCAGTGAGCTGTGGATGGCCTCATCTGAAGCCAGGGAGAGATGGGCATGAGTCCAGCCTCACTGCATCCCAGCTGCGTGATCCTGAGAATCCTTTCTAAGTGACTCATCCTTTCTAAGCCTCAGTTTCCTCACCTCTAAAGTGAAGATTATGATCCTTATTTGACTACTTCATGAAAATTATTCTTTTTTTTCTTTCTTTTTTTTAAACAGAGTCTTGCTCTGTTGCCCAGGCTGGGGCGCAGTGGTGTGATCTTGGCTCACTGCAACCTCTGCTTCCGCCAGGTTCAAGTGATTCTCCTGCCTCGGCCTCCTGAGTAGCTGGGATTATAGGCACGCACCACCACACCCAGCTAATTTTTGTATAGTAGAGACGGGGTTTCACCATGTTGGCCAGGCTGGTCTTGAACTGCTGGCCTCAAGTGATCCACTTGCCTTGGCCTCCCAAAGTGTTGGGATTACAGGCATGAGCCACAGTGCCTGGCCAGCTTCATAAAAATTAAACGAGATACACTTGAGAAGCATGCATTCAGCACCTGGCACAGAGTAGAGGCTCAATAAAGGTTCGCTATTGACTTGTTTGTCCTCTCTGTCTCGGATAATCTATAGCTGTGAGGAATCTGGGCATCATCTTGATGCGCCACCTCATTGTATAGGAGGGGTAACTAAGGCCCAGGGAAAGGCAGGGATTTCTGAGGTCACATGTCTCCTAATTTAGGCAGAGACAGGCCTGGATCCTGGAGCTCCACTCCATTCCATCAGTCCTCCATCCTGTGCCACTAGCAGCCAAAGAAACTAGAAGTCCAGCACTGGCCAGGGGAAGAGGCTGGAAGGCCTGTGTCCCAAGGAGGCCACCTCTGGCCAAAGGTCCAGTGTGCATCCTCTGAGCCCCAGCTCGGCCCTGGCCTCAGCATGTCCTGCGTCCACTATTCAGTCACCAAACCTGTGCTTCCCTGGTCCCTGGTGTTTCCAGAGCAGGAGCCAGCCGGGCAGTTCCTGAGGTCACCATTCCTTTGTTCTGCGCTCCTGTCCCCCTCCACTGGATGGGATGTGTAAGGCCCCACTGGCCCCTGAACAGGGGCTCTCTCCCACCCCTCACCCCCACCCCAGTGAGGCTGGAAAGGCCTATTCGGTCGTCAAGAGGCAGCTGGAGTACCCCCCTAGTGTAAGCAGGTTTGAGTGCCGACTGCCTCGTCCAGCCTGTGTGACCTTGGGCCTCTTCCTTCTCTGAGCCTCTATTGCTTCATCTGTAAAATGGGAATAATAACAGTGCTTATTGCAGAGGGTTGTTGGACAAGTTAAACATCATCACTTACTACATATAGCACCCGGCTCAGTAAACGGGAGCAGTGACCACTACCAGCCAGGCCTGATCAGAACCCGGCTTCCTGTGCCACGGGCCTGATTCGGTGGATGTTCTCCTGCTGGACTCCAGCTCAGGGATGGAGGCGTCTGAGGAGTGAGGGAAGTCAAGATGCTGGGCCTCGGGCCCTCGGGAGGACTCCAGCTCCACTGACAGTAGGGACAAGGCCCCTGGCCAGGACATGTGGACCCTGGTGGTGCTGACAGGAGCGCACAGCCTGGAACAGGGGAGCTGTCTCTTCTGCTCCACTGTCTTCTGTCTCCCCATTTAAGAGGGACACTGCTGCACTGACCTGGGAAGGTGGCACCAGGCTGGGAGGGGCCCGCAGACCAGGCACGTTCACCTGGGTGAGCGCATCAGCAGCTGGGGCCACAGTGAAGCACAAGGCTATGTCCCACTCTTAGCCCTGACCAATGCACCACCCTGTCTATCGCACATCCTCTCCTGACATGCCCCCAACCAAATTCCTGACCTTTCCCATCTCACGAGGGGCACCCCCATCCATCACCCACCCACATCCCCAGATCTAATCCCTCCAAGCCCTGCCCATTGAACCCGGAACTTCTTTCTCATCTGTGCACTTCTTGGGGCGCAGCCCCGTGTCTCTCAGCAACCGCAGGAACCTCCTGCCTGCCCTCTGCATGGGAACCCACACCCCGTGGTCTGTTCTGCTCCCAAAGCCAGAGGGTCTTCTTCCACAGATGCAAAACCGACCACCCTCCCTTGCTGCAAATTCTCAATGACTCTCTCCCATGGCGTAGAATAAAATCCAAACAACTTCTTCCATGACGATCTGGGCTTCCTCCTGTGACCTCACCTCCCACCAGCTCCCCCTCACGCTCTCTTCCAGCTACTTGGTCTTCTGGCAGTTCTAGAATGTTCCATCCTCCCTCCCACCACAGTTCCCTCTGCTAAGAACACCCTCGCATCTCCTCCAGAGTTGGCTTCAGTGCTGCTTCCTGGAGGGGCTGTCTCTCCCTCTCACAGGTCTCTTAACCCTTGGCCTCCTTCCCCTTGGCCTCCTTCTTGGCAGGCCTGGCCATCGTGCCTGCCCGCCCCTGACTGAGCTGTGAGCACTGCAAGGGGTCCTTCTGCTTTTCTCTTTCTGTCCTCTCCAGCCCTAGTGCACAGTCGGGTCTCAGTAAATCTTGCAGAATGAATGGAGGGAAGCAATGGATGAGTGAATGGAGAGCAGCAACTTCAGCCTGGGAGAGAAGTGATGCACAGTGAGGCTGATGCCTGCACTCCAGACACAGGGAAGGCCCACCCATTAGTGACACCAGCACGCTGTGTCCCTCTGGTGTTTTGTATCCCTCTCAGCCTCAGTTTCCCCAGGAGAATGAGAGAGTTGGGTAGGATGACCTCTGAGGCTCCTCCTCACCCTGGAGGTCTGTGTTCTGACATGTGAGGGAGGTAGGGGAGTGGCAAAGCAGGGGCCCTGGAGGTGGCTCTGGAGGGAGTTAGACCAGGTCCACACAAGGACAAAGCTCCCATAATGAGCTATCCTGCCTCTTTGGGCAGAAGTGAGCTCACCACTGCTGGAGGTATGTAAGCAGGGGTGCTGTTGAGAGGGCTCCTGAGGTTGGACCACGTGACCTGGCACACAGCCTGGAACTCAGAAAGGCAGAGGCTCTGCTCTAGAGGTCAGTCTCTCTGTTCCTGTTAGCTGTGTGACCTTGGTAAGCTGGTTCAGCTTTCTGAATCTTGATTACCTAATCTGAAAAATGGTGATACAGCATCAGCCTTGCAGGGTTTTGGGAACATGCACGGGGCCTGGAGCAGCATCAATGTTTAATAAGCACCAGCGCCTTCCCCGGCCCAGCCTGCAGCTCTAAGATGAACATTCTGGCCATATCAGGGACAGGTTGATGCTTTGTCCCCAGAGTCTAGCAGGGGCCTGGTCGCTAATTATGGGGTTTCATGAGTGCCCCACTTGGGGCTTCGTACCTGGGGGCCTGGCCTTGACCATGGAGTCCAGAAGAAAGGGCAGCCTTGAGTTGGCCCCTTAAGGTGCTGGGCACCCCTGCAGATCCACAGGCCTATGAATTCTACCCCCTCTCTTCCTCATCCCTCGCCTCCACCCGGGGGGAGCCCCATCCTTTCCACGCCTCCCAATCACGGCAAACTGCCTCATCAATCATGTTCTCTCTAATTAACTTCTAATTTACCTCTTTAGTCAAATCTGTTTACAATCAGAGACAAGAAAACACGCAGCAGCCCAAGGTACGGACGAGGGGACCAGCTCCGGGGACCATGGAGGATCAATCAGCCCTTGACCGGGGTGGGAGCCACGGGGCTCTGCTCCCCTCCCTTCCCAGTGAGGGCTGAGGGCACTGCAGGGCAGGGGAGAGGGTTCACGTGGCTCAGTGCCCTGGCCCGTGGCAGCCTGGCAGCCAGCATCTCCATCCCGCCTCCCAGCCCAGAGGCCTCCCCTGCCCAGCCCCGAAGCGCCAAGTCGCCGGCCCCAGCCCTCCGCAGCTCGTTTCGTGTTTTTTTCTCTCCTGACCCTCCCACCTCTCTAGGGAAAGCTCCTCAGGAACACGCATCCTGTCTCTCGCTGGCTGTGTGGACTCGGAAAATGGCTGAACGACTCTAAGCTTTTGTTTCCTCGTTGGCAAAGTGAGGAGTAAAATCACATCACCCGCCCCTCAGGAGCCAGTGAATACAAAACGTGTGTCCATCGGCAGCCCGGCCAGCTCCGTGCCTGGCCTGGGCACTGACCCGGCATGGACGGAGCGCTGGTCCTTGTTTACTTTTATATTTTGGATGTTTTAATTTTTTTTAATTTCCAATGAATCTCAAACCTATAGAAAAGTTGCAGGTACAGTTCGTGATACATTCTCATCCCTGAATATTTTACTGTGTATTTTCTACAACAAAGACATGCTCTTACATAACCAGAAGACAGGGACCAGAATTGGGAAACTCTTGTTGAAATAGCCCTAGTGTCTAACCCAGCGAAAGCCTGAGTTGTTTTTAATCCCACTGCACCGCTTGCTGGACATGTGACCTTGGTCAAGCCACAGTGTCCCTCCTAGGCCTGGTCTCCGCATCTGTGAAGGGTGGTCCAGGTAATGCCCCCATCGGCAGGGAGTTGTGAGAATTGTGAGCCAATGCCTGGGAAGCAGCATGGGGTGGGGGGCGTAGTTGCTCTCTTCCTCTCAGGTGCAGAAACAGAGGCTCAGGGCCAAGCCGGGTGGCTCATGCCTGTAATCCCAGCACTTTGGGAGGCCGGGGTGGGCAGATCACCTGAGGTCAGGAGTTTGAGACCAGCCTGGCCAGCATGGTGAAAGCCCGTCTCTACTAAAAATAAAAAATTAGCCGGGTGTGGTGGTGCGTGCCTGTAATCCCAGCTACTTGGGAGGCTGAGAGGCAGTTGAATTGCTTGAACCCAGAAGGCAGAGGTTGCAGTGAGCTGAGATCACACCATTGCATTCCAGACTGGGTGACAGAGTGAGACTCCATCTCAAAAAAACAAAAACAAAAACAAACAGAGGCTCAGGGAGAGTGACCACTTGTTGCAGGTCACACACAGGAAGGCTGGAGTCAGAGCCCACGGCCCAGAAGAGGCAGAACCTAGCAGGCGTGGCGGGCACGTTCTCCATTCAGAGAGAGGGAACCCGGGCTCAGAAAGCCCATGGACTTTTTTCTCAGGCCTCGGCCTGTGAGCAGGGAGTCAGGAGGTGGTAAGAAGGGAAAAAGCATGGAGGAAGGAGGATAAAGATTATTCATGGTGCACTAATAACACCAGGAGGAGGGAATGGGCACCTCGGAGGAGGTCACTCGTGGAGGGACTGGAGGGAGGACACCCCCAACGCTGGGGACCCTCAGAGGGGCCTGTGGCCCATCAAGGTGAAGGACCCCGGCAGAGGGGGGCAAGACCTGCCGACTTGGCTGTGGCCCTGGCCTGTCTTTGAAGGAGACCCCTTCTGCCCGCATTTCCATCTATCTACTCGCTGGCTGATACATCCGTCCACTGGCTTATTTGGTTTGCACACACTCTTCCCTGTTTCTGGAACATTCCTCCAGCTCCTCCCACAGCTGTTCCCACTCACCGTTCAGGTCTCAGCTCACACCTCGCCTCCTCAGAGAGGTCTTCCAGGACCATCTGGCCTTGCACAGACCTTCCTACACCCACACTCCAATTTGCTCGATCTCATTAGCTTGTGCATTTGCTTCCTATCATTTTATTTATTTATTTATTTATTTATTTATTTTTAAGGCAGAGTTTTGCTCCTTTTTGCCCAGGCTAGAGTGCAATGGCGTGATCTCAGCTTACTGCAACCTCCACCTCCTGGGTTCAAGCAATTCTCCTGCCTCAGACTCCTGAGTAGCTGGGATTACAGGCACACGCCACCATGCCCGGCTAAGTTTGTATTTTTAGTAGAGATGGGGTTTCACTATGTTGGCTAGGCTGGTCTCGAACTCCCGACCTCAGGTGATCCACCTCGGCCTCCCAAAGTGCTGGGATTACAGGCGTGAATCGCCACGCCTGGCCTCCTATCATTTATTTATTTATTATTTTTTGTAAGAGACAGGGTCTTACTCTCTTGCCCAGGCTGGAGTACAGTGGTGCCATCATGGCTCACTACAGCCTCGAACTCCTTGGCTCAAGCAATCCTCCTGCCTCAGCCTCCTGAGTAGCTGGGACCACAGGCATGCACCACCATGCCTGGCTGATTTTTAAATTTTTGTAGAGATGAGGTCTCACTTTGTTGCCCATGCTGGTCTTGAACTCCTGGGCTCAAGCTATCTGCCCGCCCTGGCTTCCCAGTGCTGGGATTACAGACATGAAGCACCGCGTCTGACCCCACCATTTATTCCTATCAGAAATCGTATCATTGGATTCCCTCCCTTTGGTTGGTTGGTTAGGTTGTTTAGTGTCCATCTCCTCTTCATGAGTTCTTTGAAAGCAGAGATCTTTGTCTGTTTTGCTCATTTCTGTCTCCCTAGAGCCCAGCGTCATTACTGGCACATTCCTTCCTGTCTGCCCTGGTGCCGGCCAATGTGGGGAACACGGAAATGGAATCAGACAGGGCCTCTGCCCTCACCTGCTTGCATCCTCCTGAGATACAATAGCAGAATCTCGCAGCAGGCAGGGACAGCCAAGTCCAGCTTCCTGCCCGTGATGCTACTGGATGGGACTAACCCTCCTGGGGACAGACCTCCAGGTGTGCTGGCCAGAAGAGAGGCAGCACCCACAGGAGGCACCCCAGGCAGAGCCCCGTCTCCAGGGTCAGCAGGTGTGGGCTCAAGCCCAGCTCTGCCCAATCTCGCTGGGCCCCAGCTGGGCTGCCCTGGCTGTCAACCTGAAATGACACCTGAAATGACTTCCACGCCTCCCCATTCATCTCTGGGAGCCCTGGATCAGTGCTGTGGGGAAGAGGGGAGGTCTGTGTGTGAGCCTCCACCTGGGGAGCGGGGATCTTATTTGAGGACTGGGAGACACATCTTGTCGCAGAGGCTTGAGGGGGAGGGGTGGCAGCTCTGGTGGTGGGGAGGGCGCCCCGTTGTCTGGCGGTGCTGTTTGTTCATATTTCTATTTCCCTGCCTGTGTTTCTCTTCCAGACTGTGTAATTAGGTGTCCGGAGTGCCTCCGATTCTGTTCCGATAGAATTTGCCTTGTTTAATCGGTAACAGGGTGGCTGCCTCTGACAGCTGTTTTTTCCTGGAAAAAAATAAAGGCAGCTAGAGATGGAGTGAGTTGGGAGGCATTTGGGAATCGGGTTTCTTGGCTTCACTCCACCTTCACCATAGACTTGCGGGTGACCTGGTTCCTGTCCCTTCCCCTTCTGGGGCCTCAGTTTGCCCATCTGTAAGACAGGGGAGTTGGGCCTTGTGATGCCTGAGCTGTGAATTTGAACTTAAAGGTTGGCCGAGCACCTGCTAAATGTGCTGTGCTGTGACAGGGTGTGGGGCTGAGCTCAGGAAAAAATCACTCACTCCGGTGCCAGAGAAGAGGCATTTAAATCCAAGGTGCCATTTTTGTCACTGTGTTCTTAATTGTAATTACCATTTAAATAGATTAATGATAATTAATAACACTAATAATGTACTGTCCTTTGTCTGGGAGGATGACATTGCAGACCCACTGTCCCGAGGTGGAGCCGGGCTGCGCTGACCCCTCCGTCCTCTCACCTCCCGCTCTTCCTCCCTCCTGACTCTGTGTCCCCGGTTGCGTGTGCTCGTCACTGGGTTGGGATCGTCTCTTAGCATGAAGGTCTCTCCCATGAGACCATGAGCTGCTCCAGAGAGCAGGGGTCAGTTCAGTCACTCTCAAATCCTCCAAACCAGGGAGGAGCTGCCCCGAGAGGGGACCAGTACATGCTGGATGGATGAATGGCTAGACGAAAGGCTGATGGGAGAGGTGGGTGAATGAATTCAGGAGTGGCCTTCATCTCTGGCCAGGTGAGGTGACTGAGCTGTCTCAAGGATCCCACCTCTGCTTTGAGCCCCCTCGTCTTCCCCTCACTCACACACCCATCTGGCTGCTCCTGGAATATGTGAGGCACACTCGAGGCTTTGCCTCACTATTTCCTCTGCCTAGAATATTATTCCCAGCTTCCCCCGGCGGCTGGTGCGTGCGTCAGTCCACTCTCAATCTGACATCGTCTCCTTCGAGGACCTTCCCTGACTGTCCAGCCCGAGTGGCCACCCTCCCTTCCAGTCACTCTGTTATTTTCAAGCTGCCTGGCTGTGTGTCTGCCTGCCTGTTTACTCTGGGTCTCCTGCTCCTCAAAGGCAGCAGGGCTGGGAGCGTTCTGCCTCGTTTGCTGTGAAATCCCCATAGCCCTGCCCAGGGCCGGCTCACATGCTAAGTGCTCAGAAGCGACCTGCTGCAGGCGTGTTGGAGGCACACCTCCAGGGTGGCATGCCCTGTGCTGGGCACCAAGTGCAGAAACGGATGAAAACCAGCCCCGTCCTCAGGCAGCAGGGCCTGTACTCATCATGACCTGGCTGATGGCGGGTTGTGTCTGCATCTGTCTCCCTCGCCAGGGCAGGACTTGTGCTCCTGTTTCCCAGAGAGGGCTGCATCCAGCCCAGAGCTAGTCCTGAGCAAGGAACAGAATTGGCCAAGGAGAAATGGGAAGTAGCGGGGCCGGGGAGTAGAAACGGAGGTGGGTGGCCTTGTGAGCCGACAGATGAGGGAGCATCCATGGGGGCTGGAAGCCGTGGCTGGAATCCACTAGCGGCTCAGGCCCACAGCACTTTGGTTTAAAGAGCACTTGTTGTGTATATAGGCATACTGCTCACTCTTTGCTCCTAAGGGACTTTGCCTTGGGTGGTTGCTGATGATTGATGTTTTACAGGTTTGTTCAGTTGTTCTGGTATAAGTAATGACGAATCACGTTGTAGTCCAGTGGGGAACAGTCTAGTCTCATCTTACGGTATTTCAGGAATATCAGTAATGACGACATGAGCCTGGATCAGCACTTTATAGTTGATCAAGCTCTTTGCGTGCATCAGCTTGTGGCAGGTCTCCAAAGCGAGGGGTCCCCCCATATCACAGATGAGGAGACTGAGGCTCAGGGAGTGAAGCAACTCACACAGCTGGGGAGCAGCAGGGCTGGGATTTGAGCCCAGGCAGCCTGGCTCCAGCGTCCACGTCCTGTGCTCACTCACCACACGGGTCCACGTGCCCAGCCCGGAGGAGGTCAGGCAGCAGGTGGGGCCCAGAGGCCAGCCTGGGGAAGTTCGGTCCGTGTATCTTTGGATCTTCCCCCATGACAGAGAGACTTCTGCTTGCAGCTGCTGAAAGCCAGTGCCTGTCATCAGGTCCTATTCCCAGGAGGGCTGGAGTGGGGTGGGGAGGAAAGACAGCTGGCCCAGGCCACGTCCTGTCACGGCTGCTTAATGAGCTTAAGTGATAACCATGGGCCCTGGCATGTTGCCAGCTGGGCCTGTCCATTTGGCCAGTGTTCCTGGCCTCACACTCATGGGCTGGGGGAGGTAGCCATGGGGCCGAGGGAGGGGTCTATGGGTCTCCAATTCTTCTGAGTGCTGACAGCCATGGCCAAGGTCAGAGGCAAAGCTGTGCGACCTTGGGCAAATCCCTTGATTTCTCTGCGCTTCCTTTTCTTATCCGTAAGATGGAAGTGAGCATGGCTACCTTGGAAGAAGCTACAGGGATGCAATGAAGTGCTAGGGACAGCATCCTTCATTCGGTTCAGAGACTACCTGGCACACAGTAGGCACTTGGTCAGCTTTTTTTTTTTTTTTTTTGAGATGGGGTCTAGGCTGGACTGCAATGGCGCGATCTCGGCTTACTGCAACCTCCGTCTCCCAGGTTCAAGGGATTCTCCTGCCTCAGCCTCCCGAGTAGCTGGGATTACAGGCGCCCACCACCACGCCCAGCTAATTTTGTATTTTTAGTAGCGACAGGGTTTCACCATGTTGGCCAGGTTGGTTTTGGACTTCTGACCTGAAGTTATCCACCTGCCTCAGCCTCCCAAAGTGCTAGGATTACAGGTTTGAGCCACTACGCCTGGCCAGCACTCAGTGAACTTTCTACCCCAAGTCCTTCCAAAGACTCTCACTTTGACAATTTGTATGTCCAGGAAAACATAATCCCAGCCCCGCCATACTTGAAAAAAACAGAAAAAGGCTTCTGTGGCAGGGCAGAGACCTGAATACTCATCTGTGTCTGTCACTAACTGATGGGAAGGTGTGGGTCCTAGTTCTCTCTGAGCCTCAGTGTTCTTATCTGCAAAATGGGCTAGTAATAAGACTCAGTGAGATGGTGCATGCCAAATGCTTAGTATAGAGCCAAGCATTTGATTAATGCTAAAGACTGGAGCTGTCACTTTGGTAGTTTCTGAGTGCCAGACCTGCAGACCCTGTGTGACCTTAGGACAGTCACCTACTCTTTTTTTTTTTTTTTTTTTTTTTGAGACAGAGTCTCAGTCTATCACCCAGGCTGGAGTGCAATTGTGCAATCTCAGCTCACTGCAACCTCTGCCTCCTGGGTTCAAGTGATTCTCCTGCCTCAGCGTCCCGAGTAACTGGAATTACAGGCATATGCCACCATGCCCGGCTAATTTTTGTATTTTTAGTAGAGATGGCGTTTCGCTATGTTGGCTAGGCTGGTCTTGAACTCCTGACCTCAGGCGATCCACCTGTCTCCCAAAGTGTTGGGATTACAGGCGTGAGCCACTGTGCCTGGCCGAGGACAGTCATCTACTCTCTTGGGGCCTCTGCTCATTTGTAAAACTGGATACCTGCAAGGTATGCTTTGCCCCAGCTCTGCTGTTCCAGGAATCCCTGTGTTGAACACTGCTTCCCCTGAAACTCATCTGCATTAGGTGGGGGCAGAAACTGTCATGCCCATTTCCCAGCTGAGGGGAGTGAGGCCCCTGGTTTTCAGTGACAAGCCACAGCTCTCTGCCGCCTCTTGCCTGTTCAATGTGGGAGTGGGGCAGGGAAGGCCCAGGCTCTCCTGGGCCCCAGGAAGGCCTGGGGAGAAGGGTCTGGGTCTGGACTCTCCAGCGAGTGGGGCTGAGCCGACTCAGAGTGGAGGCAGGGCTGAGGGTGGGCGGGCAGATTTATTGCAGCCATTCCTCTCCCCTGCAGCGCCTGCTTCTAATGAAATTTTACGGCAGGTGGAAATGATACGACTCCGCCAGCCCTAAAAGCACTTCTATTTATTCATTAAAGATATTTATATACTGAGCAGCTCTCTCTGCTGGCTCCACCCCACTCCTGCGGGGCCAGTGAAGTTGCTCCCAGCCCTCTGTGCTGGGGGAAGGCTCCCAGGGCCAGCCAGGGGCCCCTCTCTGCAGTGACTGGTTGGCTCTGCCTCAATACATCCCAAATCCCCTATCTCCAACCCATGCCCATTCCTGGTCTGAAGAACCAGTGTCTGTCTCCTCCTGGTCCAGCGTGCACCAGACACTTCTTGGATCTCTGCTTCCACGCTGGTCTCCACAGTGTCCTCTATAGAGCAGCCACAGGCATCTTTCCAAAATCAAATCATGTCCCTTCCAGGCTCAAAACTCCCCTGAAGCCCTCAAGGCCCTGTAAGATCCGTCCTCTGCCTCACTCTTGGGTCCAGCCACAGTGGCCTCTTTGGACTCTTTTCTAGAGGACGATGCTCTGCCTCAGCTCAGGACCTTTGCACTTGTGCCTCTGCATAGGCCCCCTCATTCCCCGGCTCTTTGGCTGCCTGACTCCTTGACGTCATTCGGAGATTAGCTCAAGCTCTAAGGCCCTCATCAAAGAGGGCTTTCCAGGCCACTCAGCCTGAGGTCCCCCGTTCCTTGTTGCATCCCGCTGCACCTTGGTTGCTCCTTCATAACACTCAGTTGTCACTTGATGTAACTGTTTGCATGTTTGTCTTTTGGTCTGTCGCTTGAGGATGCACGCTCCCGGAGGCCAGGGACAACGTCTGTTTTGTTCCCCTATGTGGCTTATGAGGGGTGTTTAGTAACTGATGGAGCCATGAGTGGTGGAGGATCGGCTGGGTACCGTGACCCAGCCACAGGTACTGGTCTACGTGGGACTCCCCAGGCTGGACACTCGCTGTCATTGAGTGAAGAAGAACTGAGACTGAGTGTGAGGGTCATGCTCGTGGCTCACAGCAGCTGGGCTGAGGGCAGGTGCCCACCCCTGCACTCCTGGGGGTTTCCTGGATGGGGCTGGCTCAAGCAGGCTCCAGGAGCTGCAGGCAGATTGGAGCCTTTTCCAGCCTTTTCTCTAGCCCTGGCCTCTGTCAGTCAGTCCCCTGGTGGCTTTTCCCCAGCTGCTCCCCAGGGGCTGTGGACTTCCTACGGCTCCTCGGTGCTGCCCGGATGGCCCTGCTTGTCACCCTGCAGTGGAATCTGCTTCCCCCTCATTCAGGGACTGAAAGAGCCTAGGGGAAGTAGACACAGGACTTGTCCGGGAACAAGCTCTGTGACTCTGGACCAGCACAACCCCAGAGCCTGTCAGCTTCTGCCATGGCCGGGAGCTCATTGAACCCCCATGCCGTGCCAACGTCAAGGTAGTTGGGGCCTCCAATGAGGCAGCTGAAAGCCCCAAAGTCCCCAGAGCCCTGTGTCTTATTGTGCCCTAGCCCTCTGCCTGGGCAGTTCCCTCTGCCTCAAAAGACTTTCCACCTCTAGCTTTCGAGGCTCACGGCCATCATTAAGACTCTGGTGAAAGTTGCTCAAGACACAGGGTACGTGGTCCCCCAGGCATGGGGCCCTCCTCTGTCCTACAGCCTTTGCTCACCTCTATGAAGCCCCCTGTCACTCTACAGTGATGCCCTGTGTGACTACGCTGAGAGCTCAAACCGCATCTCAAACTTCGGTGTACCCCTCAGCACCCAGCCTGGGCCTGGCACACAGTAGATGCTCAGCAAGTGCTTCCTGGGAGGTGTATGGAAGGAGGCACAACATGGGGTGAGGAGAGCAGACTGGTGGGATGATCTGGACGAGAAGGAACCTGGGCTCTGTGTGCAGGCAGGGGTGGGTGGATGGGGTGGGGGGACAGGCAACAATCCTCACTGCAGCAGTGCCAAACAGTGGCTCTCCTCACTGCTGCAGATGGAAAGCCCCGGCTTCCAGATGTTTCTCAGATTTCCTCCCTTTCCCATGGGAGAGCAGCCAGGGCCACATCCGTGTGACTGCCCATCCCTAGCCAGGAAACCTGGGCTGGGGCCTCCATGCAGGTGAGGATGACAGCCAGGCACCGAGATGTGGCAGGGACAGGCTGAAGGGCGCTGGGCCTCTGCAGAGCCGCACGGGCTTCAGTCATGGGGTTGGGGGAAGGGCTGCCTTGCTGGGGCTTCTGCTCCCAGTGTATTCTGCGCCACCTTCTCCAGCCTCACCAGGCCCTCTCTAGCAACCAGCTGGAAAACAGGGTGGCCCTGAGATTAGGAGCAGGGGTCTGCTTGGGTTCCATTCCCAGCTGTCACTCTAAACCACTGACCCCCTCAGTCTGGTGTCCTCATCTGTGAAATGGACTTGATGAGGCAAGTACCTACACGTCAGGCTGGGTGCTCACGCCTGCAATCCCAGCACCTTAGGAGGCTGAGGCAGGAGGACTCCTTGAGCCCAGGAGTTTGGGACCAGCCTGGGCAACAACAACAAAAGGAAGTACCTACACTTCAGGAACGAGGGTTAAACGAGCTAATCTGAAGAAAGTACTTAGCTCAATGAGTCAAGAGCTCAATGAATATTAGCTAATATGATGCACGCATAATTCGATTCTAGCGCACTAAATGACCTCACTTATAGGAGAAATGCAGATTAAAGCAACAAGCAGGCCACACTGTTCACCCACCGAGGCGAAGCACTGAGCTAACAGCGCGCTGGTGAGGGTGCGTGTGGGCAGAGGACACTCGTGCACGCAGTTGACAAAAGAAGGGCAGTGTGGCAATATATATCACAATGAAAAAGGCACACTGTCTTTGACTTGGCAATGCTCCTTGGGAGTTTAAACTCACACGTGTGTGAAATGACGCCCTACACAAGGATGATCACTGCAGCATCGTAATAGCCAAAGATCGGAAACAGTCTGAATGTCCATTAACACAATTAACAACATCATGGTACAGCTCTGCGATGCAGTGAGCCTATTAAAGGAGTGGGGGCAGCTGTGTGTGGTGACGGGGAATGAGAAGCAAGGTGCACGACAGGACACGATGCCACCATTTGTGTTAAAAATATTTTTATTCACTTGAAAACACATAGGAGTCTCTCTGAAAGGGAAAGGGTACTTCCGCTCATGAGCCGTGGTGGCTTCTGAGGAGGGGTGCTGGGCGGCCAGGAGACACACCTGGCAGGGAGATGCGTGCACTGTGTGCCCTTACGCACCCTCTGAGGTTTACACCAAGGGCACGTGTTACCTAACCAAGAAGGTGACTGAGAAACGCCTGCCATTTTCCCCAGCACAGATAACGAAGGCCCACCGCTGTGCTACCAGCCACTTTCCATGTGTGCCAAAGAGCAAGACAGATTGAAAAATGTGGGTCTGCTTTTACCTCTACTGTTGGGTAAGGAAATCTAATCAAGAAGCCTTGCCTTTAGGAAAGCGAGTCTCGTCTCCCTGTTGACACTAAATTGACGCCCTCAGTAATGGCAGAAGATGCCACCTGTGCACTGGTGCTACCGTGGGGGTGACTGAAGGATGCCTTCCAGCGGCCCTGACAATGCGTCTCCCTAGATAAGGAAGGCACGCAGCCTGCATGCAAATCTCTGTGAATTAGAGACGGCCCATCTTGCTGCTGCTGATTCCAGGCGTGCGACCACCACAAACGGAGCAGCAAGCCGCCATGGAAAATGAGGGTGGAATCCTATTTCCCCTGTGAAGAAACCCTGGCGAATATTGCTAAAAGGCAATCCGATTGCCATGTTTGGGTTGGAAAAGGAATACTGCCTCTCTGGATGCTATGGTCTGGTCCCACTCAGCTATGGACATGAGGATGAACATGAAGAAGCTTTGTTTGAAGGGGCAAATTTAGACTGAGCCCTTTCAGTGGGCAAAGAAGTCAGGTTCGGAGCCACAGGCCAAGGGCAGCCTTTCCTGGAAGCCCAAGAAGCTCCCCCAGAGGAGAGATGCTGCTTTGTGAGTCAGAGGGTTTTTTAGGCAGACAGCGAGCTGCCTGAAAGCTGGGACCACGCCCCAAGAGCCCAGGGTGAGCAATGAGGAGCTCTACCTCGCCCTGAAAAGCTTTGCGGGGCCTTGGGTCGTTGAAATCAGGGAGTGGTGGTGGCTGCTTTCTCCTTACGCTGTCTCCTTGGTCCCTCGGGCCCTGGAACCGTACTCCCCTGCTGCACCCGAAGGGACTACACCTCACATTGCCCCTAACCCTCCGCACACAAAACTAATGGAAAAGGGGACCGCTTCCTCAGTTGTCAAGAGAAGAGTTCCAACTTGCTTTTAGCAAAGGGACAGAATTCAGGAGGCTGCCACATGCGAAGCAGGGCAAGGTGCGGCAACCATGGAGTGCCTGAGCCGCCCCGGCCTTTCCTTCCTATGCTGGCCTCTGGGAGCTGGTGGGTAGCCTGGGCTTCCAAACACGGCTGGCAAAATGCTGGACAGAACTCTGGAGGAGAATCAGATGGCAGCAGCTGCCTCCAGGGGCAGGAAGTCCTAGGCGATGGGAGAGGAGTGGGTGGACTCTTCACTGCCTCGCTTTTTGTTAAATTTTGAACTCCTATACCGTTTGCAAGCATTACCTGGTTAAAATTAAAATTGAAAAAGAAAATCAAGGTGAAGGACTGATGATGTCTAAAGTACCGATCTTAGCTCTAGAAGTCTGCTTCTCTAAGTTACACCTGGACATGCTCTATTTTTTGTGAATTCATTAAACCACACAACAGATGAAAGGATCGGAGCACGGCGTCAGCCGGTACGGTGTGACCCTTCCAGGTAGAGGAGCTCAGCGGGAGAGGGTGTGAACTGCGCCGTCGGACAGGCCTGGCTAGAATGTGCGTTCTGATGCTTGTTGGCCACAGGGCCTTGTGCAGCTACTTACCCTCTCTGAGCCCTCAGCCTCAGCTTGCATAAATCGGGGATAACAATGCCACTGGGCATTCGATATGTGCCAGCTACTACAGTTACAGAAAAGTCAAGGAAGAATTAGACCCAAAGTGACGGCACCGCCATCTGATCCTGTGACAGGCCCTGTCGCGCTCTCCTGCCCCTCTCTGTGGGGACGCTTACAGTTATGCATTGTTCTCCCGCCAGGCTGCAAGTGAGCACCAGCAGGCAGGGCCTGCCTTACTCTCTGTTCCGTCACCAGCCCAAGGCTGGACACAGAGCAGGTGCCATCTTCTTCAGGGACCTCTCGGTGGCTTCCTGGGATGGCAAACAGGTTTCACCCAGCATGTCAACTCTGGCCTGATGGCAGTGGCCGCTTGGGGCCCTGTCCCTCAGGGTCTAGGGAGCAGCAAGAGGGGCAGGGACACAGTGCGAGGCGTGTAGCATCCCCAGCAGCCTGTCTGTGACCCTGGGCTGCACAATGCATTGGAATGAAATGCTGCTTTCTTCATCTGGCCACTCTTCTGCCTCCTCACTCATGGGGACTCTGTTCTTTGAGGATTGATTAAAAACATGCTAAAGCACTGCTGACTTCTGAGGGGGAAACCAACCTTCTCATCACCTATGTCGAATGAGTAGAATCACAGTTCTTTTTTATTTTTTGAGACAGGGTCTTGCTCTGTTGCCCAGGCTGTAGTACAGAGGAATGATCATAGCTCACTGCAGCCTTGACCTCCTGGGCTCAAGCAATCCTCCTACCTCAGCCTCCCATGTAGACGAGATCATAGGTATGTGCCACCATGCCTGGCTAATTTTTCTATTTTTTGTAGAGATGGGGTTTCACCATGTTGCCCAGGCTGGTCTCGAACTCCTGAGCTCAAAGATCCTCCCCGCCTTGGCCTCCCAAAGTGCTGGGATTACAGGCGAGAGCCATCACATCTGGCCTGAAATCACAATTCTGAAGTCACAAATGTGTGTGGGAAGAACCAAAGGAAGCAGCAGCTACCAAGCCACGACTGTGCCTTCATCACTGCGCTGCAGGCTTGCTGAGCATGCCATCCTCAGCAGCAAATGGGTATTATTGGCCCCACTGTGCAGTTTAAGAAGTGAGATTCAGAAAGGTGAAAGTCACTTATCCAAATGTACAGCTAAATCAGCCAGATGTGGTGGCACCTCCCTCTCAGCTACCCAGGAGGCTGAGGTGGGAGGATCGCCTGAGCCCAGGAAGTCAAGGCTGCGGTGAGCTGTGGTTGCACCACTGCACTCCAGCCTGGGCCACAAAGTAAGACCCTGTGTCTTAAAAAGAAAAACAAAACAAAACCGGCCAGGTGCAGTGGCCCACGCCTGTAATCCCAGTACTTTGGGAGGCCGAGGCAGGTGGATCATGAGGTCAGGAGATCGAGACCATCCTGGCTAACACGGTGAAATCTCGTCTCTACTAAAAATACAAAAAAATTAGCCGGGCATGGTGGCGGGCGCCTGTAGTCCTAGCTACTCGGGAGGCTGAGGCGGAAGAATGGCGTGAACCTAGGACATGGAGCTTGCAGTGAGTCGAGATTGCGCCACTGCACTCCAGCCTGGGCGACAGAGGGAGACTCCGTCTCAAAAAAAAAAAACAAAACCCAAACCAAAACAAAATGTACAGCTGGTAATGATGCAGTGGGGAGATGGACCCAAACCTGTCCACTCTAAAGCAGTGGCTCTCACCCTGATGCACGGAACCACTGGGAGCTTTAAACAGCCCAAATGCCAGGGCCTCACTGAGAGATTGGATGCTATTTTTGCGGTGGGGCCCACGTTGGGATCTGGTAATTCTCCATGCAGCCCCCACCCGAGTGGTCTGACACGCGGCAGGGCTCTGCATGCTCTGAGGGCTGTGCTGTGTGGCTGGCCTCCCCAGGGAACTGGAGCATGAGGCCAGGGCCTTGGGTCCCACATCTAGACTCTAGGCGGGTCCCCAGTCCAGCCTCACAGCAGCACCACCTGCGTAGCCACAGTGGCGAAGTTGTCACTGCTACACCCTCTGAGCCTCAGCTTTCTTGCAGGCGGAGTGAGGCTGCCCATGTGCCTTCCCTGGGGGAGTCCTGAAGTAGCTGCTGTGGGGAGGGGGCAGGGAGGGTCAGCAGGCGAAGCTTAACTACAAAGAAAACTGGCCCGGGGATACCAAAACTAGCTTTAATTTGTCCAAAAGCCACACAGAGTTGTGTAGAAACTGATCCTGGGAGGGAAGCTGAGAGAGTCCATGATGCGCAGGGCCAAGGTGCCTCTAGAAGTTCTCCAGCAAGCCCAGGATGCGCTTTTGCTCGTTCTCCCGGAACTCCGGGCTCCGGCCGTCCCCGATGTTCTCTGCATACTCTAGGGGGACAAAGATAGAGTCAGGAGTGGATCCCAGGCATGGCATCCACCGTGGCTGCGTCGCTTCATACCTTTCCCAGAACCCCAGCTCCCACAGAGGTGCAAGTCGCCCTAATGCCCCCACTGTAGCCAAATTCCTTGGGGTCTTGCCTTTGAGGCCTCAGTGGAAAGGTCCCAACTTACCTTTCCATGCTTGGATTCCCCTCCTAGCCACACCCTTCACTTCCGCCCTCATGTATTTATTCACTCAACACACATGGCGTGGATGCTACTAAGGTCTGAATGTTTGTGTCCCCTCCAAAACTCATGCTGAAACCTCATCCTCAACGCATCGAAGGCCTTTATGGGGTGATTAGGTTCTTACCATCTAATTATAAGATTAGATTAGGTCTAGATTAGGTCTAATCTAGGGGGATTAGACCCTTGCAAAAGGACTGCAGGGAACTCTCAAGACCCTTTGCCCTTCCCCCTTCTGCAATGTGAGGATGCAATAGGACGGCCCTCAGCAGACACCAAAGGTTGGGGCAGTGCTCTTGGACCCCCCGCCTCCAGAATTGTGAGGAAGTACATTTCTGTTCTTCATAAATTACCCAGTCTCAGGGATTTTGTTACAGCAGCACGAACAGACTAAGACAGACACCAGCTGGGCAGGCACTGCTCTGGGTGAGTGGTTCTGAGTGTGGACCCGAGCAGCAGCAGCAGCAGCAGCACTGCATGGAAACTTACTAGAAACACAAATTCTTGGGACCACCCTAGACCCACTTAACAGGAAACGGGTGGGGCCCAGTGATCTGGGATTTATTGAGTCTCCAGGTGATGCTGATGTATGCTCCAGTTTGAGAACCTTTTTTTGGGAATGGGAATAAAGCAGTGATAGAAACAGATGCAAATTTCTGCTTGTGTGGAGCCTACTTTCTAGTGAGGGTCACAAACCAAAAAGTGAACAAAATACACAGGTGGCTGTCAGCAGGGAGTATCTGCTTAAAGATCAGAAGGAGATGAGTGTGGAAAGGTCTAGGAGCGAGTGGCAGGGCAGCCAGGGCAGAGGATCTAAGGGGAGGCACTTCTTTGGTTTATCTGAGGGTCAGCGAAGAGGTCAGCGTGGCCACAGCCTGGAGCCACGGGAGGGGCCATACCCAGATGGTGTGGGTCTGTGCACCACGGTAAGGGCTGTGGCCTTTCTGTGCGGTGGGTCCTGAGCAGAAAGGAATGACGTGATTTGACTTTTGCCAGATCCCTCTCAATGCTGTGTGGGGGACACCATGGGGGAAGCAAAGGCAGGGAAAGGAGATGCGACGTGACAGTGGCCTGGATTGGGCAGGTAGCGGTGGAGGTGAGGCGACGTCTTCAGCTTCTTGATGTTTTCTGAGGGTGGCTCCAATAGGATTTACAGATAGACCGGAAATGGGGTGTGAGAAAGAGATATGGATGTTGCAATCACCAAGAAATATGACAAGAGCATTGGGGAGGCTGACAGTGAGCCCAGAATCCCCGCAAGGACTGGGGGCACAGGTGCTGGTGCCAACAACAGGGAGGGGCTGTCGGGGGGTGCAGTCCCCCGACACAAACTTCGACAGCTGGGTGTATTCGGGGAAGGGAGGGAGAGAGAATAGTCTAGAAGTACTGGAGCATGGAAGACCCCTCCTATGTCTCCAGTGGCAGGAGGGGTGTAGGAGCACCAGGTTTCAGTGAGACCAGGAAGAGAAAGGAAATATTCCTGAGGAGGGTGAGGCTCTGGGCACAGTTCTGGCAACAGATCAGCAGAGGATGCCATCAGAGAGTGTCATGGTGGGCAGGCTTGTGTTCTTGTCTCCCCTGTTGTCCCAGCACAGTGATCCTTAAGACGCCATTTCTTTTTTTTTAGTGTCCTCGTCCCCCAAAATAACATGGTCACCCTGTTTTTTTTTTTTTTTAGGAGATGGCGAGGGATGATTTGGTGACTCTGGACTTCCTGCGGTGGCTCCTAGAGCAAGTGTAGGGGATCTGGTGGGAGGGGAAGGGGGAGGATGGGGTGGTCCAACCCTTCACTGCCCTCTGACTGTCCCCTGCCCACAGCCAGAGAGGAAAAGGCAATCAAATCCTAGCTCTGACTCACAACTGTGCCCTTGGGTGGTCCCCTCTGAAAATGTTCAAATAACAAACGTCCAGGGAACATTAGTTCCCTCCCTCAGCCTCCTTTGCTCAGGCCAGTAATGGCACTGGGGAAGTCCCACACCTCCTCCGGGTCCCCTCCTGAGATGTCTTCTCTGTGAAAGCCTGCCTGGTCACCTCTCACTCCCACACCCGGCCCCAGGCCACTGCCTCCAGCACATGTGGGCCTGACTGCTAGACCATCCTCCACCCAGCCCCTCTCTCCCTAGACAGAGAGCTGCATGAAGGCAGGGGCTTTCGCCTTCCTCCCAGCTAAGCCTGGCCGAGGGCCCCCCAGCAGAGTGTCGTGCTGAAGGATCTCCTGCAGTGGGTGACTAGGATGGCTGCCTGCACTTCTGCCCCCTGGTCCCTTACTGGGGCCTGGCTTGAGAAAGAAAATGGAGAGAACTCTCTAGTAAGAGGCTTTTGCATAATAAAACACCTGCTGATCCAAACCAGACAAAGACTGGGGAGACAAAGCATGTGACCTCTCACCCCTCCCCTGTCAGCCCCACCCCTGCCAATGCTGGGGAAGTAATTTTGCTCCTGCTACCTCTTTATTTTGCCCCGTTCCTCTTTATTACTTTGGTCGTGTGCCAGAAAATGGGATGTGGGATTCAGGCATGTGCCAGCTGTGTGTCTACCCCCAGAAATCCTCTTCTGTTAGGCCCATCCATCACCTCCAACAGCAAGTGGTTGTGATGCCTCCTATTAAGGCCCCTTAGAGAGAGGGCCAGGGTGATGGAGACAGGAACTGAGCTTTGGCAGAAGGCTCTGGGGCTGTGTGTAAGTGGTATCTCTTACTCACATGTGAATGATATAGTTGCTGCCCCAGGAGAGAGAGAAATGACCATTATGGCATCTAATATCCCCGGAGGCATGGTCTGGAAGCAGGAGTCTTAATGGATTGAGCTAACACTTTGCTCTCCTAATGTCTTCTCAGACCCAGGAGAGAGGGAAGTGGAGAAACAGTCCGATGCTGTGGGGCAGTGATTTTCCAACAGTAAAGCCGGCTTCCCTGAGTTCTTTCTAGGGATGTACGAAGCAGAGGGAACCCACACCTGCATCAATCCCTTTGCCGAATCACCTGTGCCGAGGCCTCGCTTACATATGCCGACGGTACACAGAGCACCCATCCTATGCGCAAGTCTCCTGTGTCACTCCAACTGTGCTAAGAAGCAAACAGTCACATCACCCATTCTCTGGAAAGGGGATATCCGACTGGCCCACAGGCAGTGAATGGCTTAGTGTCCCCTGGAAGAGGGCCTGTCCCATACAGAGCGGAGTGGAACTAACATGTGCTGTGCACTGCTATGTGCCTGCATTTTCTAGGTTGTCTCACATGTAACCTTTGCATCAATCTCACAAGGTAAAGAACACCATCCCTACTTACCCAGGGGGAAACAGAGGCTATCAGAGAACTGAAGCAACCCGCCCAAGTCTAGGATGTAGAGGAGCCGGAATTCAAACCTTGAAATGTGTGGATAGTAAAAAAAAAAAAGGCCCCTAAAAAACCACTGGGAGGGGGCCGGTCCTCACAGCAGCATCCTGTTACCTAAGCAACAGGCTACCCTGCCTGGCCCCTAGTCTTTGGGAAAAAAAACTCTGCTCTGTGAGCATTCCAAAACAGGAATGTCTTATGGTACAGTGGCCTCGGTGGCCAGGACAGATGTGGGTGGACTGGCTGGGGTCACCCTCTCTTATGCCAAGTTACCAAATATCAGAGTTGGAAGGGTTCTCAGAAATTTATTGCAGCCCTGAGGGGGCACGTGGATGGCCAGGGTCCCACAGTGAGCCGGCCACGGAGCCAGGCCCAGAACCAGGTCCGACGACCCGGCCTAGTACTCATCCACTGGCCTAGTGCTCATCCACTGCCCGGGGAAGCTGCACCCTCAGGCACCTCAACCTCACCCTTTGCCCTTGCTCATTCTTTGTTTCTATGGCAGAGTCCTATTTAGAGCAAATCTTGGTGGTGCCAGCTACCTCTGGTTATTACAGCTGCTGCAGCAGTTTAAATATTGAACAGAGTCCTCCCAGAGGTCTTGGGAAAGAGTTCTCTCTGCTGCATGTGTGTGTGCGTGTGTGCGTGTGTGCATGTGTATGTAAGAGGAAAAGAGACTGCAGGATGAGGGGAGAGGGAGAAAAGGATGAGGGGAGAGAGGGAAGAGGCTAAGTCAGTGGAGAGTGAGAAAGACGGCATACACGTCAACTCCTTTCTCTACTTCCCCCACATTTTCAAATGCTCTTATAATAAAGGCTTTGATGGAACTCAGAAACAGGCAGCAGTGCTGAACGCATAAATATTAAAGCAAACTTTAGACAGCAGGTTTACTATTCAGACATGGAATACAAGCTGTTCTGTTTATGTTGAGAGGGAGAGGGAGGGGGCACTGGGGCTGGTGGATGGGGAAAAGTCGTCTTCCAGGGCGGAGACCTGGATGAGTATTCACAAGCCTGGTTCAGATCCATGAACCTTAAGCCTTACATGTTCACCTTTTTAAAAATGCAGGAGGAAGAGGGAGGAGAGAGGAGGAATGCCCAATATTTTCACATTGAAAACCCTTGAAGATGTACATATAACCACAAAATAGAAACTGAGAAAGGAAAATCCTTCAGGTCTAACAGAGATTCCTTGACAACAACAATGAACTTGGAAGGTTGAAAGTTGCGCTTCTCCAGAAGTAGAATATTTTGCTAGGCAGTAGGTTCTCATTTCATCAGGGATGCCATTCAAATGAAACCCACTTACAGAGAAAGACCCTTGCTCTTGCTTACAATGCCAATGGTCATGTTCTCAGAGTCCCATGGATGTTTTACACAGTTGGAAAAGCACCCACTGACAACCACCCACCCCCACAAGGCCCCGGGGAAGTCGAGCCTGTGTGCTGGTCCCTGCTTTTCCTGGTGGCATCTCAGTCCAAGCTGCTGCTAACTCCAGGCGAAAGGATTAGGTCAAGGAAGGAAGGAACTTCCATTTACTGAGTATGTAACTTGGTCCCAGGCACCCAACTGCATTTTAACTTTGGAGGCTTCCTGAGAGAGGCAATATTTATTTTAGGTGTTTTTTTCTTTGTGTTTTTTACAGAGGAGGAAACCAAGACTTAAATATGTTACCTACTAACTTGCCCAGAGTTACATGGAGATCCAGAATTTATGTTGGTCTGAGCATCTCTGTTCCTGGGTGAGCTTGGACACTAATTATAACAATAAAGACAGCTAACATGTAACAGGCACTTTCTTCTAGGTGCCAGCCACCATGCGAGCACTGTACATACAGCACTTCACCTCATTCTCACAGCAGCCTTCTGAGACAGGTTCTCCCCATCTTACAGATGCAGGAGCTATGGCTTGGAGAGGGGAAGAGCTGCCTGAGGTCAGACACTAGAAAGCGACAGAGCTTGCTTGTGAACCTGGGCAACTCACTGCAGGCTCCATGGTCTTAGCACAGTTGGTTCTCCAAGAGTGGTTCCCCCCGACCCCTGCATACCACCACCACACTACCCCGGGCAGCGCTTCCCGAGAGCCCTCTTGGGTGAACTGGGTGTGAGGCCCGGGGGCAGCAATCCTAAGGCAAATGTGACATCTTTGCTGAAAAGCTCTTGAGGTGTCCTTAAGATGCCTCTGAGCCTTGTCAAGGCCGCTGGCTACAGGGCTAACATACAGGCCTCTCTCCATGATCCTTTCCTGCCTCCAAATACCCTGTGGGACACCGTATCCATGACCAGGCGCAAGCCACGCACATGCCAACATGTCATCCAAAGATAAATCCTATCAGCCTCTGCAGCTTTAAAATCACACAAATTGGGTTACCAAGAGCCCCAAATCAATATGGAAATACATGTTTATGAGCTACTAGGAGGAGATTTTAAACCATAAAGAATACTCGCAAATCAAAGGGCCATGGGCCAAATTCTAAAAGCATTTAAGTTTCTGGCTCATTCTTTTCGCCCAGCAGTGAGAGAGTTTTGAGTCAGTAATCCTCTAAGATTTTCTCTGCAAACCAGCCACTGTGCAGTAGCCATGGCTGCTCCTGGGCATCTGTGTGGTCCTCCAACAACTTTCACCAGGAGACTAAAACATCGATAAGACTGGCCAGTGGCTTCCACTGCAACCCTTGGCACAAATATTTGTATTTCGAAGCATTCTCGGGTCACAGCTCCTACGCCACAGCCAAGGTGATGACTGCTCAACAATGCCCATGCGTAGCTGCCTGCGGAAACCCTTCCCATGCAGGCAGCCACAGAGACAGAATGCAGAATAGTGGCTGCCAGGGGCTGGGGGGAGGGAGGAACGGGCAATTCCAGTTTTGCAAGATGAAAAAAAGGCCTGTGGATAGATGGTAGTGATGGTAGTAATAGTCAAAACGATAAATTATTACTACAATAATAAAAAATAAAAAAGAAGCCATGCCTTCCGTACAGCTTCCCTGGATCTTTGGGCTCCTTTTCATGTCCAGCCGGATTAACTGTGAGTTAACTGTGCCGTCTTCATTCCCCTTGTACCTCTGCATCCCAGCACTGGCTCCATTCTGCTTTGCGCTATGGTCAGTCACCTCACTTGTGAGGGACGTATGCCTGTTGGGGACAGGGTCTCCTGAGTGTCTCACTTATCTTAGAAGCCTGCCTAGCACCCTGTGATGTCAAATTGGTGCTCTCTAAAGGTGAGTGCCCTGCATTTTTCTTCTCTCCTAAAAGCCCATAGGAGCATATGGGCCAATCAGCAGTTGGCACATTCCTTACCGCTGTGCATAGCTCCTTCTGAGTCTGGATCCAGTTTACATCACCAGAGACCCAGGTACCCCCACTAAGCTCAGTGAGTCTCAGTTTCCTTGTTACCCCACTTTCTAGGCCTGTTGTGAGGACCAGAGGTAATGACACTGTACCCCAAAGGCCTGACCCAGAGGAGGTAGGAGCTCGGTAAGTGACTACTCTACCTACCATGGTCCTGGATTTCTGGAATAGAAGAAGCCTACAGCACCACCTCAGCACGCACCCCAGTCAGCAGTAACTGACTCCTCCTCTCTGCCAGTCAGGGTGCCGAGCACCACAGAAATAAATGGCAGTAAGTCTGCTGCTGTTCTCATGGAGCACATGGCTCCATCTGCCCTTCTCTTTGTGGCCGTCTCAGTCCTCAGACCACGGTTCCCTAGGAGGGCCCACAGTCCTCAGGCCAGAGCTGCTGCTGGTTCTGGGGAAGGCTGGACGTCGGGAGCACTGAGTAAGCAGTGTGCAGAGACAGGGGCTGTAATGAGCCATCAATTATTCCCTGCGCTCTTGGCACCCCCAATAGAGGAGGGAGAAAATTGTGAGAGTGGGGGCTGAAAAATAACGGGAAAAGTCCCCCGCTGGGCTTGCCTCATCAGCGTTTTCCTGAGACCTCAAGGGATACATCAGCTGTCATCCTGCCAGCAAAACTTAGGAAATATGTAGGCCATAAAATCAAAGAAAAAAGCTTGCATCTAATTAGTATGTTAAAGAAAAAAAGGAAGCAACCCAAACTGAAAAACAAAATTAAAATCAAAGAGGACAGACTGATGAGCTGGTTTTCTTTATGAGGCTTTGTTTTCTTGGGCTTTTGATTGAAGGAAGGGTGGGGTGGGGGGGGCGTGGTATGAAAAGGAGAACCAGATGGGCTTTTGGACGGGGGTCCCAGAAGAGCCCAGCCTCCCACCCCTTCCACCTCCATGGGAGTCTCAACCTTGTCAACCTCAGCACCACCCTCTCCACCCAAGTGAGGGCTCCTCAGGGTCCTTGCAGCACCCTGTTCAGGGGGTGCTCCCAGAGGCAGGCCACACTGCACAGGCTCCACACCCTGCTGCAGACTGGCTTCCCCTGCCGTGGGTGAGGCAGGACAGGGGCACACCAGCGGGAGGGCTGAGAACTCTTTATGACAACCTTCCATCTAGAGAGAACTCTTTTAATTGCCAGCGTGATGTTTGGGGCCTCTTCAACCTGAGCAATGGCGTTTAATTCCCAGGCTCTAAATATCACCTCCACACTGATGACCTCAAATTTCCCAAACGATTCCCCAGGGACTAATGAGAATGTCCGCTGTCTGCTGGCCAATCAAGGGATGCAGTCACCCCTTGTACCCCAAACTCACTGTGCACCTAGGAGAACTCAGGAGCCCTGCCCAGCCACACCCCACCCAACACTACAGCCTCCTGCACCTCTTCTTGGCCTCCCTTGAAGGGGCTATAGTCCTCCCCAAGGCCACTGCATCCTGCCCTGTCCTCCTCCAGGCCTCTGCTCCCTCTGCCTGGTTTGGGTACCAGTCCTAGTCCTGAGGAGGAGAAGTGGCTCCCTCCCTGCTTACATAACTGCCTCCGTGCCACTCCCTCCCTCAGCACACTGTTCACAACTTGACGGGTGCTTAGCACGTTCTAATTAGTTTTGAGCCTCTCCCCCTAGACTGTGAACGCCTCAAGGATAGGGATCTCGCTTATTCCTTTAGTATCTCTAGGACTGGACACAGAGCCTGGCACTGAGCAGGGCCAGCTGAGTAGTTCCTGGAGCGTGCATTTCACTGGGCTTGGATTATGGTCAATCATTTATACTCTATGTCCCTGGAAGGCTGTAAACTCCATGAGGGCAGCTGCCGTGTGACACCTCCATAGCACAGCACTTAGCACTGTGCCCAGCTAGTCCCGAGGAGAGTCACAGTCAATGTTTGCTACGTTAAATTCATACAAGGGTAGGGTTTCATTCCACAATGTCTGAAATTGTTACTGGTTCCCATTATTTGCTTGGCATTGCTCTGGGTGCTGAGGAGACACAGTGAACAAGGCAGACAATGTCCGTCATGGAGCTTATATTCTAATGTATGAGACAGACAAAAGGAGTAAACAAACACATAAATAAAAACAATCATAGGTTGTGATAAGGGCTCGGATGGAAAGAAAAAGGGTGCTATCATGGGAATAATGGATGCAGAGAAGTGGATGGATTCAAGGTTGAGTTCGGAGACAGAAGAGGTGGGATGGACTAAGGAGCTGGCTATGAAGGGTGATGGGGAGAGAAATGAAGGGCTGAGCCCAGGCCTGGAAGGATGGCTGCGAGGGTCTGCATGGAGGTGGGGGAGGTGAGGGTGGGCAGAAAGCAGTGGGGGAGAAAAACAGAGGGGTGGGAATGAAGATGGCGTCTGTGCAGACCCTTCACTGGTTCGCTCACCTGCTCGCTTGCCCAGGCACTCACTCAACAATCATCCACTCAGTATCCAGTATGGGGTCAGCACCTTAAAAGGCACTAGGGAAATAAACCAGGATCCGAGGGAGACAGAGGCTAGGGCTCACAACAATGGAAAATTGTGAATCACTTAGGGTGTGTGTGGCAGGGTTTGAGAAAGAAAAACATCCAACTACTACTACTACATGTCAGCACCCATTAAAAATACTTTTCCTTTCTTGGAAGATCACTGTTTTGATTACAAGGATGGAGGTGCAGGGAGAAGGCTCAATGCAAGATAGTAGAGCTGAGGGTAATAAGAAGTTCTAATTGAACATGTGGGCATTAGAAGTAAATGCCATTTAAAGGCTGGAGTTGCAAATCACCACAGCTACACCTTAGGGAGGAGGCAAAATGAGGCTCTGAGCAGTAATTCACGCGAATCTGACACTGAGAATGAGAAGAAGCCCCCAGGGTGTCACCCCGGAAGGCATGAGTGGGGCTGTGTCCATCAGACCCCTTTACTCTCTTTTTCTCTGAGGAGAAAACAACAGATTCCAATGCCTCATACTCTCCATCTACAAAATGGGTGCAATGGATTTACCATTCCCTGATGGGGAGGGCTGAGCAGACACGAGATTTCCAGCCCCTATGCCTTCACTCACACTGCTGTTTCTTTCTGGACTGTCTCTGTCCTAGCCTCTCAGACCAGCTCAATGCCACCTCTCTCACAAGGCTTCCCACAGGATTTTGGCCATGCCTCACTTAAAATAATAATGACAATGATCTTCCTGGTATTTTGTAACACTCACACTAACGTTCACTGTTAACTTGTGTCACCTCATTCAATCCCCTTGCCCTTTCTAGGAGGTCACAGAGCAACTGGTATCTTGCTTGAGGTAACAGAGTAAACAACAGAGCCAAGATTTGGATCCACAAGCCTCTGACCCTAGAGCCCACGCTCTTAACCGTGCTTCACTTCACTGTGTAGACTATGTTTATCCTCACATTTCATCCGCCACCTGGAATGGGAGCTAAAAGCAACTGAAAGGTAAGCTCTCTGAGTAAATCTAGCCTAGTCCTTCATCTTAGAAATGGGCAGAATGAGGGCCCGAGGTGAACACTGATTTGTCTAGAGTTACCCAGTCCATCTGGACACTCCCTGAACTCCGGCATCGTCAGTACTGGAAATTCCCACATGGGCCTCCACTGCCACACGTACCAGCCAGCGCTCTCCAGTTAGTGCCTAGGTGGCTGACGGTGGGGCTGCATTCAGAGCTCAGAACAGGGGCCCCGCCTTGTAACTGGGGGCTTGCTCACCGACTGGAGGCCTCTCCAGCTGAGTCAGGTCCAGTCAAAGATCCAGCAGCATTTGGGGAACTCCATGGGGTGGGTGAGGAGGAGGGAAACCCACACTGACTGAGCACCCGCTGTGTGCCAGGTACAGACTGGATGCTGTAGTACCTCCTGTAACCTTTGCAAAATTTCTCCTAGCTGTGACAGGCTAGCAGCTAGAGGAGGCAGAGCTAGGCCCAGAAGGCAGGCATACTCTCCACCACTCCACATTGCTTCAATTCACTACAGAATTCCAGTTACAGTAGTCCCCTGCATCCCGACGGATGTTCCAAGACCCCCGATGGATGCCTGAAACTGCACACAGTACTGAAACCTATGTACACTATGTTTTTCCCTATAGATACACACCTATGATAACTACACAACTATGATAAAGGTTAATTTATAAATTAGGCACAGTAAGAGATTAACAACAATAACTAAATAAAACAGAACAATTATAACAATATACTATAAAAAAGTTATATGAATGTGGCCTCTCTCAAAATATCTTATTGTACTGTACTTATCTATTTCTGGACAGTTGACTGTGTGTAACTGAAAGCAAAACTGTGGATAAGAAAGGACGTTTGTATTTCTTGTCATTTCCTTGCTTTTTTTCCCTAAGAAAGCAATTTCCTTCCACTATGTGTAGTTTGGAATTGAATTTTTTGTTTTGCTTTTTTAAAAAATTTTAACAACTGTTTCAAGCCTTTGTGCCTCTTGTTTATGGGTGTAAGTTCTGGAACTGGAGGGTAAGAGGCAGAGAACAACAAGGCTAGTCTTCCGTATTCTGACAAAGACGACCTGGACACACAGTGAAATGGACAACAACTTAAGCTTTCAGTGCAGAAAACGCTCCACATCAAATACCAGGGATACTGACAGAGGCTCAGAAAGTAAGCATCATCTAATCCTCTGGAGCCCCAGACATGAGTAGCATCCAACTCACCCTTGATGATATGCCTGACAATTTTGATGGAGCTTCCTCGCATGTTTAGGATCTGGTGAACCCTCTGGCGAATCTAATAAGGGAAAAAATGGGTAGAGAAAGAAAGACAACCATTTGTCCTGACACACCAGAATGTATCACCTTGAAATGATATACTTCACCCCATCCCTGAAACAAAAGGCTGATGTAGAGTAAAGGAATTCAAGGAGAGCGTGACCCCCTTCTTTCCCTGAGTGAGAGTCCACCTAAGCAGCTGGCGAGGAAGGAGGCAGGGATGGATAAGCCCATCCAGGGGAAGACCCTCCTACCTGGGGGACATTGGCATTGCAGATCTCGGCCATGATGTAGCAGATGTGCTGGAGAACAAAGAGCCCCGCATCCAGGCGCCGGAGGTAGAACTCCTCCTCGGTGTCATTGTCGATGATCTCTCCTCGCCGGACCATGTCCTAGAAACAAATGAACGTTTAGGAATAAAAGCTGGACAGTGAATGGGAGGAAAGAATGGACTCCTAGTCTGGCCATAATACACACAACAATAGCAACTATAACAACAGCAAAAGAAAATCACCTCATCTTTTTGATTTGTCTACATCTCCCTTTAAAGTATCTTTCATGTTCTTCATTCTTAATGGACTATAGAGGCCCCAGGAGGCAAGCTTAAAGCCTATTTTTTCCTATCTGACGAATCAGGGCCAATATGATCTCATCCACATATAAAAAAAGCTAAAAAAAAAAAAAACAAGCTGACGGGACACAAATCCAAGCTATTTATCTGCTTCCACTCATTTTTCACTCTTTGGTTTGGGCCTCCATAAATAATCTCTCTGTAAGATACAGTTGGCCCCTGACCTACCATGGATCGACTTTATGATGAGGTAAGAGTGACAGGCATGCAGTAGAAACTGTACTTCTCCTGCAAGGCTGGTAGTGGCAACGAGCCTCAGGTCCCAGTCAGTCAAGCATTTTCTTTTCTTTTTTTTTTTTTTTGAGATGGAGTTTTGCTCTTGTCCCCCAGGCTGGAGTGCAAAGGCGCGATCTCGGCACACTGCAACCTCCGCCTCCCTGGTTCATGCGATTCTCCTGCCTCAGCCTCCTGAGTAGCTGGGATTACAGGCACGTGCCACCACGCCCAGCTAATTTTTGTATTTTTAGTAGAGACAAGAGTTCTCCATGTTGGCCAGGCTGGTCTTGAACTCCTGACCTTGGCCTCCCAAAGTGCTAGGATTACAGGTGTGAGACACCACGCCTGGCAGCCACGCATTTTCAACTCATGATATTTTCAATTTATGGTGGGTTTATCAGGATGCAATGTTATCGTAAGCTGAGGAGCATCTGTATACTTAAATCTGCCTTCCAAATCAGGTTAAACACAGGGGAGAAAGGTCCCCTTTCTCCACAACTCTGAAACCAATGGCACAGGCACCCAACTTGCGTACATATGCCCTCTGGCTTAGGTGTTTTGTCAGAGGGCATGCTGCATTTCACACGTCCAACACTCCCCAGGCCAAAGCCCTAATTAAGTCACAGGAGTCTCCTTTGTAACCCTAGACCTCTCAGACTTGCTGTCCTCATATCCAGTCCTCCCTAGTAGATTCCTTTAAAAAAACAAAAACAAAAACAAAAAACCCAGCTTTACTGAGATATAATTCACATACTATACAATTCATCCACTGAAAGTGTACAATCTAACAGCTTTTATATGTTGAGTTGTGCAATCAATTTTTAACATCTTTACCATCCCCCAACCCCAATCCTCTCGCCCCTCATCCTGGGCACTGTGAACACTTCTGCCAAGACAGCTCAGGGCCCTACTGCCTTCCCCCCTTGGGATTCCGGGGTATGGTTCAAGTTCACATCATTTTTCAGCTATGTCCATAACAAAGGCTTTCCTGATTTTAAGGCTAACAACTGCTCCTTTCTAAAATTGCTGAGAGCACCTTGACAAACCACTCTGCAACATGACCTCCTCTCCTCCCCATCATCTTCATACTGACTTCAGTCCCCACCAGCTATCTCTGTCTGCAGCCTTTATTTCATGAGAGTGGACTGTGAGCTCTGTGAAGGTAGGGCCCTAGCTCAGTACACATCTATGCAGCCAATGAGACAATGAGAGGAAAAAAGACATCTCTGTTTTTTTGTTTTGTTTGTTTGAGACAGGGTCTTACTGTCATCCAGTCTGGAGTGCAGTGGCATAATGACAGCTCATTGCAGTCTCGACTTTCTGGGCTCCAGTGATCCTCCCACCTTAGCCTCTCAAATAGCTAGGACTACAGGTGCATGCCACCACACTCAGCTAATTAAAACTTTTTTGTGTGTGTAGAGACAGGGTCTCACTATGTTGCCTCGGCTGTTCTTTGAGCTCCTAGGTTCAAGTGATCCTCCCGCCTTGGCCTCCCAAAGTGATGGGATTACAGGTGTGAACGATTGCATCCAGTCAGACATCTGGTTTGGGCTATGAGCTCTCAGGAGTGAGAACTCGGTGTGGGGACTTGTTCTGCGTGACTAGCCCATGGGCCTAAGAAGGCACGTGCTCAATACATGCTTCTGATGGCAACAATCCATTTCATAATTCTGTTGGTAGCTTTATGGCCACCGTTCCTTCTGACAACTTGGGCTCCTGTCACTGATGGGAAGCCCTTGAGATCCTGCTTTCCACTCTTCCACATTCAAAGAACTCACCACTATGGTCATCAATCTCCACCGAGAATCCTTCAGAGACTATTTAGACACAGATAATGCACTTCTTTATTTGCCCAGGGGGCCAGCCTGTAGCAACACAAGGCTACTTTTCATCTCGGCTCCTATGAGGCCTCTATCTTTGATGTGGAAATGAGTGAATCTACTTGGGAGGACTGGATATGAGGACAGCAAGTCTGAGAGGTCTAGGGTTACAAAGGAGACTCCTGTGACTTATCAGAGCTTTGGCCTGGGGGGTGTTGGATGTGTGAAATGCAGCATGCGCCCCTGACAAAACCTGAACCCTCTTTGGCCTGCAGACTGCTAGGCCCTGCACTGCCTGGCAAATCACTAACACTAATTCCTAGCTTCATTTAGTAGCAAATTCATTGGTAATCTGGTAATAGCATTAATGTTCACGAGGTAGTCATGGAGCACTGGACTCATGTCCAACGAGTTTAAAAATAGAACGTTCTCTTTAGTTTCTCATTTGCTCATAATCATGACTTCCTGCTCGAGAACTCTGAAGTGTTCAGCAGTTACTACGAAATTTTAAAAGGGCAGAGAAGAGATTATTCATCCCACTGTATGAATTACAAACCAAAGCACACAGAGGTTAAGTTGCTCATAATTACCAGTTGCTAGAAAACGGATTCCCCAGGGATAGGAATCGTGTCTGATTCATCTTTGATATGGAAATGAGTAACTTGGTACAGTGTTGAGAACTCTGGCCCTACTAAGTGCCTAATGGCAAGAACACTACCCTAAGCACTGAATTAGGGCAGAAAAATAAGGAAAATGGAGGTAAGGGAAGCCCTGGTTTTAACCACTGAAGAGGTCGGTGGAAGTCACAAACTTCTAGGAAATGGCCAGAAAGTAAGTATAGTGTGCCCACATGTTAAAAAAATTGTAAGTGATAGGTGCTGATTGGGGTTGGGTGAAATGTAAGGGCGTCCTGGAAGAAGTGACTTTTGGGTAAGGTTTCAGGGCGAGTGATGGGCAGAGACAGCAGAATGGAGCACCTTAGAGGTATGGTCTTCGCGTTGTGTGAGGGCCCTACAAGAAACGACTTGTGTTGGCCATACTCTCTGCTCACTCCCCCTCACCCCAGCCCAGCCCAGACAGGCCTGTGTTCCCTTCCTGGTCTCCTCGCCTTGCTCATGTTGGTACCGCCCACTCCTCAGTCTCTATCATCATATATTGAAAGTCTACAACGTGATGTGCCTCACAAAATGTTCCCTGAGAACCCCGAGCAGATATGATTTTTCAGTCCTTCAACCCCCTACACCCTGGATTTGTACCTCTGTTGTGGTACCTCCCACGGCCTGCCTTGAACTAGCCATTCAGATCTGTGCCTCTTCCTTGTGTGCGTTCCTTGAAAGGAAGAGCTGTACTGTGCTCATCTTTGTACCCTAGGAAGCACCTTGTGCAGCATTTTTTTGCTTAGTAGGCTCTTTTTTTTTTTTTTGAGAAGGAGTTTTGCTCTTGTCACCCAGGCTGGAGTGCCGGGTTCAAGCGACTCTCCTGCCTCAGCCTCCCAAGTAGCTGAGATTACAGGTGCCTGCCACCACACCCAGCTAATTTTTGTATTTTTAGTAGAGATGTGGTTTCACCATGTTGGCCAGGCTGGTCTCCAACCTCTGACCTCAGGTGATCTAACTGCCTCGGCCTCCCAAAGTGCTGGGATTACAGGCATGAGGCGCTGTGCCCAGCCCTTAGTAGGCTCTTGGAAAGCATTTGCCAAACAGTATTGAAAAAAAAAGAAGGGAGAGGTTCAAAGCTATTTAATGAGCTGTGTGTGCTGAGATTTGCATGGCTGGGGCAGAAGTGAAAACATCAGGAAACGGGGAAGGACTGTGCCTTGGAGGGCGAGCTGATGGTAGGCATACAGGCTGGCCAGAGAAGTCAGATATGATGGGCTACAGAGTGTCAGCCAGCACTGTGCAGGAAAATGTCATGAATCAGAATATGCAAACAGCCAAATGATGGACACATCGGCTTAGAGCATCGAGAGGCAGGTAGAGTGCATAGCTGGAAGACCAGGGCATCAGCCTACGTGAGAAGGGGAAGGGAAGAGAAGAGGCCCCTGGAGGTCACAAACACAGGAACCTGGAGTGGAACTCATTCATTTACCCACTCAACAGAGATGTCTTGAACAGCTAACTGTGCCAGGTGCTGTGCTGGGACAGCAGTGATAAAACAGTCTACATAATTGAGGTGCTTATAATCTAATGAGGTTAATGAATATGAAATTATTTTTGAAAAATGTAATAATGACTATTATAAAGGACCTTTCAAACTGTACTGAGTGCTGTGGGAACCCAGAAGAAGGCTGGACTAAGTCTATTTGGGGGGTGGGGTCAGGAGTGCTTAAAGAAAATGTAACATCTGAGCTGGATTTTGAAGGAGTTTGACAGGCTGAAAAGGACATTCCAAGCAGAGGAGATAAGAGCATGCACAAAGGCACAGAAAAGTCAACTCAGAGAGAACAACAGTGAGACATCAGTATCACTAATGGAAACATTAGAAAGGGGTAAGGGGAGGCTTTTTTTTTTTTTTTTTGGCTTATTAGATCACAGCTTTCGGTAGATCATATTATTTTTGATTGATTACTACATACTAGGCATTGCGTGAGGCAGTCTGGATAATAACTACTGCTATCATTACCCACCTACCAGAGAGGAGCAGCTAGTGTTACTGGGGACTTACTATGTGTCAGGATAGTGCCAAGGGCCTTCTGTATATTAACTCCTTTACTTCTCAGAAATATTGAGAAGCGGGGCCAGGCGCTGTGGCTCACACGTGTAATCCTAGCACTTTGGGAGGCTGAGGTGGGCGAATCACTTGAGGCCAGGAGTTTGACAGCAGCCTGGCCATCATGGCGAAACCCTGTTTCTACTAAAAATTCAAAAATTAACCAGGAGTGGTGGTGCACACCTGTAACCCCAGGTACTTGGGAGGCTGAGGCAGGAGAATCACTTGAACCTTGGAGGCAGAAGTTGCAGGGAGCCAAGATCACGCCACTGCACTCAGCCTGGGGCACAGAGCAAAACTCCGTCTCAAATAATAATAATAATAATAATAATAATAATAATAATAATAATAATAATAATAATATTGAGAGGCAGGGATTCTTACCCCCATTTTAGATGAGGAAGCTGGCTCAGGCAGAACAAGCTCCTCAAGGCTAGTGGGTGGCAGAACTGGGACTCAAACCCTAGTCCATGCTCTTTTCATGCTACCATGTTTGTGTGGGTATAGATTTCGGAGCTGTCTGGAGAACAAAGGAAGACATTAAATATTAGAGTGATAGGGAGGCTCAAGAATGGAGCTTAGCAAAATTAAGTTTCTCTAATTAGGTCAGAAGTACCCCTGGTGATTTTTTCCATTTTCATACTTTTCTCCATCATCTGATCTTCTTTTAACCAGGCAGGTACACACTGCACCTTCTAGTTTCTCTATATTGTCATTTAGAAAGGACAAACTCAAGAGAGCAATGCCAAACTCCACTTTCTTCTCTTTCCTCAGAACTTCAAGACTCTGACAATGTTCAATGCGACATTCTACTTTTAGCCATATGGCCACATGATTTGAAAGTGAAATTTTCAAATGTAGATCTGAGATACGACTATAGCTCATCTCCAAGAAAGGCATCATCATTGCTGCATTGAACATGCACAGAGATGAAACAGAGATTGGCTTCTGAAGATGAAGTTTCTGCCCTGACAGTTTTAGAAGTGCCATAGAAACCAGCATGCAGTGAAGTTGACTGTTGTCAGAATAGCACCTTATCTAGCCTGTTACAACTCTGTGGCATGGAATATTTACTGCTGAATGGATTCAGGGAAGCCAAATATAAATGTGTACTCAGTGTTTAAAAGGAAATAAAATAAGCAGAATGATTATGGAAAACAAGAAAGTGAGAAAGTGTGGGCAGTCCTCTATCTTCTCAAGTTTTGGTCTGTTTTAAAAAGAAGACGGCATCACCTTTATTCTCTGCCCATCTTACTCCATACAGACAGTGTCAACTTCTAAATGGATTAATACACTTCTGACTCCTTTTATGGGTCCCCAAGATGCCACATAGAAAGGTGATCTTGAGATAAGGACTCGAGATGATTCCTTGGCTATCTGTGTGTGATGAGGTAGAGCTGGCCATCTGAAAGAACTTCGAAGGGTGCCTGAAACTCCAAAATGGCTGTTGTCAACTCCACTCATGATCGGATGGCTAGGATTCAGTCTCTGGAGAAGCAATGTAAAAGTTCTAGAAAAAAATTATCATCACAAGCTTCTCCCTGCCTTATATCTTCCCTCATCAAAGGTCCTGGAGGAAGTGAAGGAGTCTGATCTATAATACTCTGACCATTATGCACTAAAGATATATAAGTGGACTTGTTTCTCTAGTGGTAGGGAAAAACTGAATTATGCCCCACTGACCAATGAGACATGTTTTAAAAATGGCTAGACAAAGAACAGAGGGAAGTTAGCTGGCCCGTGTGGAGATCATACCTGCAGCCCAACCTCCTTAGCACATGGGGACTGAACTAACAGGTTACAAATATCCCATTCTAAAGAAGGCACCCAGCTTCCCCTTGCCTCCTTTGCCCCTCAAGAGACCTTGTGTGAGTGCAGGAAGCATTCAAATTAGATACTGGAACTCCTCTAAACTATGATATATACATTCTACAAATAAGTTCCTCTGCCAAGGTGGAACAGAGTACTAAGAAGATGGGATCAGATCCCAGCTCAAACACTAATTTACTAGTGTCCTTAGGTGAGTCATTTAACTTTTCTTGGCCTCAGCTTCTTCGCTTGGAAACAGGAAGCCTGCACGAGATCAGGGAAGGCAAACAGGGTTCATCCCAAGTGCCAACTCAACCCACTGCAGTGAGTACAGAGTATGATACAAAAAACCGTCGTGAAGCCGAGGCGAAGCTCAGTGGGAAACAGCCCTGAAATCACTAGCAATGCCCACCCTGACTGCAGGAGGGGAGGGTGGCAGTGTGCCTCACCCCTGTTTCCCTGATCCGGTGCTCTTGAAGGTCCTTTTGGCTTTGATAATCTGTGGCATGTCTAGCCAGCTGTAACGGATTTCTACCTGCGTATGGGTATGTGGATGGATTCAGGATGTTGGCTGATGGCGTTCCCAGAGAGAGGAGCCACTATGAGAAATGCCTCAAGCTGGAGACACACTTCACCACCGCAACAGGACATGATGGCCAACACTGATGATTAGCTCATCCTTTCATCAATAAATTCATCTTCCCTGTGACAAAGACACAACCCCTGGATCTGCTGTGACATTAGGCCATTTTAAGACAACAGGGGCATGCAAATCACGTACGCTTCAAATGGGAATATGATGAACAGAGATTTAAGGGACGTTCCAAGAATCCAGTAACTTCCTTAAGTGTCGTAAATATTTCTCACTTTACAAAACTTCAGAGTGAAAATCTATATGTACGTTGGACTGTATCTGAACAAGACAGGAGAGTTAAGATTTAAAGGGAGTCTTCCACAAATCAATTCACTCAACTCTCACCTTTGAAGAGCCTGAAGGTGACTGCCTTCTTTGTGAAGCAATGACAACTCAGCATTCATGCAGCATTTTTTACTGTGCAAAGCAGGGCACCTGCATTAATCTTACCTGCTGTACATGCCCTGTGTTGGGTATGTACAACAAATACCATTTTCAGATTTCACAGATGGAAAAATTGAGACAGATACCAAATGACTACCATTGGGTTTCAGTTGGAGACTTGAGTGGAATGTGATTCCATAGTCCCAGGCCTTCTCTATTAGTTCTTTCACACTGGCAAGAGATGACAGCAAAAACCGAATCCTAACAATAGTGAAATTTCTCGAGTCCTTACTAAGCGCCAGTCACCGTGCTAAGCACTTTCACGGATTTCTCATTTTTCCTCGCAAGAACTCCAAGAGGTAAAAACTATTACTATTTCTACTTTTCAAATGGGAAACTGAGGCTTAAAGAGATGAATCTCTCCTAAGGCCAAAAAGCTCACGGGGAACAGGAAACAGAACAGAAACAGGACAGAAACCCATGCAAATTTGTTTCCAAGGCTGTGTTCACTTTCATAGTTCAAAAAAGGAAAAAGTCTATGTTTTATGGACTTTTCATAGTATTAGCATATAAACAAATAGATGGGATATTTTTCTTTATGCCATATCTGGAGACTAACGCAAACCAGTAGCATTAAAATGTAAGGTCACCTAGCTTCTTGGCCTATAGTTTCCCTATAAATTCAAGAAACTTTTAAAAGGGAAACAAAAATCTATAGCTACATCAGCAAATTCCACATGCAATCTGAGACAGCTAAGAAAAAAAAAAAAGAGAGAGATACTCTGGTAGGTTTTGTTTTGTTCATTCCATAAGAGAGGGCTAGAATAAAAACTTAGATGGTAATTCAGCGAATGGTGCATTCGGTAGAACAGACTGCAATTCGCAGCAGCATAAGCCTGTTTAGGGGCTGCTAAAATAAACAGCTTCATCTCCAAAGACACACAAGGAGGTGGTATGTGTAGCGCCAAGGTGCCATTTCCGCAGGGTTGTGTGTGTGTGTTTCCCCCTCTTCCAGCCACTTACTCATTTTAAATGTTAATCTGTCCTTGGGAGCACTACTAAATCACCATCTTTGCACATGCCTCCATCTCTTTCAGCAGTCAAGTCGCAAGCCCTCCAAATAAGCATGCGGATGTCATTTCTAATCTGCCCCTGACAGGCAGTGAGCTGCCCCTTGCTGATAAAAGGAGACAGTCATAAAAGAGGCTGCTATGAAGCCAACATGAACCTCTCTTGCCTTAATAACACGGGACATGACTCAGAGCCGAAACCTGAAGCCTCCACTCGGGTCTCCAGTCATGGGTGGGAATTGCCTCACCATTTGGAAAATGCTAGTTTCTTTCTTCCAAAGCAAGGGGAGAAACTTGAACCACGGGAGAGGGAAGTAACTAGAGATGGGAGAAGCATCAACACCAGCAAAACAAATCTTCCTCCAAAAGCTTCTAAAATAGGGCAGACTATTAGAGAAGAATCCTAGAAACTGCAAGTCTTTTAGCTGGGGAAACTGAGGCTGAAGAAACTGATGGCAGTTTTGGTAAGAATCCAAGGCTCTCAGGCCACAGCTTTGCCCACAAACAAGTGACTGCCTACATGTTAGTTCTGTCTCAGCACATACGCATGTTGCAGGCTTTTACAAACAATCTCATTAATCTTCAGAATGACCCTACAATAAAGCTATCATGAAAATGGACACACACACACAGGGCAAGGCATTTCCCAAGGGAACAAAGATCACGTGTGGCAGAGCTGGGATTTAACCTTGGGCTTGCATGACGCCATACTTATGTTCCTTCCATATTACCATGATGCTGCCATCACAAGTGTGATGCAAATTCTAAATTTACTTAAATTCAGTCAATTTCTAAATTTACATCCCCCGCTAAAAAAAAAACAGACTGCTCACTTGAATTTTGACAACTTATACTCTGGTCTTGAGAGAATCAGTACTTCTGTGATAGCGATGCAATAATACAAGGCTGAAAACGACAACCCTACTGGAGAAAAGGAGAAAGTAAGTAAGATTAGTCCCTATTTGTGAAGACTGAGAGTTAGTTTAGAGGGAGAGACAGATAAGCATGCAGGCCCAAAATACTTGTAATAATAGCTACCACTTAGGGCATACTTCCCTGTGCCAGGAAATATTCCAAGTGATTTACATATACTGCATTTACTTAATCCGCCCCACAATCCTACATGATAGGTACTGTTATTCTCATCCTTTCACTGATGAAGAAACTGAAGCAGAGAGTTTAAGTAACTTGATTGTAATCACCCAGCTGGTAGGAGTCAGAGCCAGGATTTATGTCTACACAGTCTGGCTCCAGCATCCCTGATCTTCAGCCTGAGGCTGCAGTGCAAGGGTGCACTTGGGGCACACAGGAGGGGCTCCAGGTGGTCTCAGGGAAGATTTTCTGCAGAAACTGTCAGGGAAACGCTAAGCAGAATGCTTAGTATATGACAGACACTCAATACATGTTTATTGACTAATTTGTTTGCCAAAATTCTGAAGGATACAGAGTAATACATTAGCCAGCTTCATGAAAGGGATGTGGAAAAGATGGCACAGAGAGGTATTCTGGGCAGAGTTCGGAGCAATGGGCCAATGTCTAGAAGGTTTGAGAAAGCACAAGGTCAGGAAGCGTGAGTGGTACAGAATGGCTTTTGTACATCACGAGGGTGAGGGATGTATCTAGAGCAGCCAGCAGGGGCCAAACTGGGCGAGGCACCATGAGGCCGGCGCAGGAGGTTAGACTGCATCCCGAGGGCGATGCAAGGCCACTGTTTACTGTGTTTGGGTGGAGAAGTGCATACATGAATTTACATTTTAGAAAAATCTCTGGTTGCTGTGTAGAAAATGAACTGGAGGGCCCAAACCTACAGATAGGCAGACTAGTTAGTTAGGCGGGTGCTGCACTAATGGAAGAAAACAAATGATGGTAGCCTGAATGTAAGTGTTGGTAGTAAAGAGAGAGAAAAGTGGATAGGCTGCAGAGATATGAGAGGTAAAGCGGACCAGATTATGAGATGTGGGAGGTGGAGGGAGAGGAGTAAACAGATGATGCCTATTTTTGATCTAGTCAAACTGGTAAACTGCCCTAATATGGGCAGTAGGGGAAGAGATTATACAGGGCTAGGGCCGCAAGCCTGGTTTTGGACTCGCTAAGTCAGAAGAGCCTATGGGTGATGTCCGGGTGGCAGCTGGCTACGTGAGTCTGCAGAGATTTGGGAGGCCCTGGCACTTAGCCCCAATCTCATCAGATCTTGCAACCAGCCTATGAGCTTGGTAGGGGGAGAGCCTATTAGCACCACTGAATGAGGACAGAGAGGATCAGGAAGGCAAAACAGTGCCCAAGGTCATACTGCAAGGTAAGTGGCAGAGGTGTGGGACCAGAATTCAGGTCCTCTGACTTCTCTTCCAAGAGTAAAAAGGATGATTGTGATTGGCAAGGGGGCAGGCAGGGAGGCAGTAGAGGGTGAATGAGCAAATGGTTGAAATTGGGTATTAGAGAGGTAAAAGCACGACGTCCTCTGCCCCCAGGCCCCCTGTCACAAGTTTTACTGGCTGTAAGCTGTGTTTTGGCAAATCTATGGACTGAGAAAGTTTGGGAACCACAGGTTTAAAGAAGAGCCTAGGCTAGGCGCAGTGGCTCAGGTCTGTAACTCCAGCACTTTGGGAGGCTGAGGCATGAGGTTTGCTTGAGCACAGGAGTTTGAGAACACCCTGGGCAACATAGCAAGACCTCGTCTCTACAAAAAAATGCAAACATTAGCTGGGCGTGGTGGCACACACCTGAGGTCTCAGCTACTCGGGAGGCTGGGGCAGGAGGATTACTTGAGCCCAGGAGTTTGAGGCTGCAGTGAGCTGTGATCACGCCATGCCACTGCACTCTAGCCTGGGTGACAGAATGAGATCCTGTCTCAAAAAAAAAAAAAAAAAAAAAGCTGGCAGTGGGAAGGGAGCTGGGAGGAACTCTCAGCAGGATTCTTTTTCAAAGCTTGCCCCAGAATCTTCCAGCAAGTTAGCAGAAGAATCGATGGCAGCCGCACAGTTTCACTGTCTACCATCTCACCCAGTGTTTTAGGTGCACGTACCCCCCACATTCACTCCTGCACTTCACCCCCTTCCATATAAATCTTTAAATGAGCTTCGAATGCAAAGGACAAAATCTGTTTAAGACATCAAGTCCTGTGGATACTGTTTCATTACAAGGAGTCCATCTTTTTCTTTTCAGGTAAAGCCTGGAATGATTTAACTGTGACAAAATTAGCATGCAATTTGTAAGTCATTACGGTGCAAACTATGTGGTAAGAACACTTTATTGAACAAACCTGCTGAGTATAATTTTCCCAGGAACTAAAAAAGAGAAAACCTCTCTCCAAGGCTCTCCTCCCTCTTTTAGAAAAATTCCTGCTAGTACCTATATAATCATGTCTTCTTTCTGACAGTCAAAAGCCAGGCATGCTCTATACACTTAGCCAATGGAAACGGGAAAGAATCAACAAGAAGTCAGGATGCCTTCCCAACAACAGGCATCTTAGTATTTTCTGGGCTTCAAGTCGTTCGGAGAGTCAGGTGAAATCTGCTGAGACAAGAACCCTGGATATTTACAGATCACAAGAACTGCTGCTCACTAGATGGGTCTCAAGAATTACATGCCCTTGAAAAGTTCAGGTCAAATCTTGCTCACCAGAAACCCCTAGGGTATGTCCAGAGACATTATGGCCCTGGAATCTCACAGACTTTGAATACAACATAAAAGCAGAAGGCCACTGCCCAAGACATGGAACTCTTTGCTAGTTACAGATTATTGTAATACGTGATTTGAACTGAATGTGTATAGAATTATCTATCAGTCCTGTTGATTCTTCGAAGTAGTATTTTTCCTTATGAAATATTGCTATAGTTATGCCACAGAATCCACAGAACTGTACTTAAATATTTTTGGTGGCAGGTCTAATCACAGAGAAAACAAAAATCAGGGTTAAAAATTAGTGTTAAGGAATAATGTGGAAAGCGCAGGGTGACTCGCCGTATCTTCCTTAATACTCACAGACAGATATTAATTTCACCTAATGAGCAGTGGTCTTTCATTTACTGAATGTGAGGCACGCTGTCCTGAGAAAACGATGAACAAGAGAGATTACAGTCCCAGAGACAGAGAGTAAACAAATAAATGAAATAATTACAGGTTCTGAAGCAGCTAGGGAGATAGGGCTCTCTTACAAATGGTAATCACTGAAAGCCTCTCTGAGGAGGCGACATTTTACTGAGACCTGATAGCAGAGAGGAGGCTCAGGGCAGAAGGGAGTGGCAAATGTAAAGAAGGAAACAAAGGCTGTGTGGCAGGAGGGGCCTAGTGGCAGGAGAAGAGGTTGGAGAAGCAGGGAAGAGTCAAGTCATGCAAAACCTTGCAGCAGCAGGGAATCAGGACAGTGGGTATGTACACATGTGCGGGGGCGGGGCAGGGGGACACAAACAGTCCTTGTAGAGAAAAGAAAGCTAAAGCTTCTCTGACCACCTTCTGTGTGCCAGGCCCTGTGCAAGCAGCTTTCATGCATAATACATTCACCGACACCATATCCCTACATACATAACTTCTCAAAGTACACAAACTGGGACATACACCTTAAACACAAAACAAACACCATCCAGAAAGAAAATAAGGATAGGGCAGTTCAACTGTTTGCCCACAGTCGGAGAACCAGGATAAAGCCTGGCTATAAAGCCCACGCTCTTCCTCTCACACCCTCCACTCGTGGAAGGTACCCTCTTCTCTCCCCCTTCACTTGGCTTCCCACTGCTGCTCCTTTGCTGTTTCACTCCAGGCTGGAAATGCCCTAGATATCCCTACCTTTTTAGGTTCAGCACGAATGCTCAGCCACAAAACTAGCCCCCCTAGAGTTTAGGGTGACTCTAGCCTTAGATGACCTCTCCCCACTCCCCGGATCCTCCAGCCCTTGTCTGCGGCACCACCCCTAGGCCCATTCTTTTCTTGGCACTTTTGCTTCTCACCCCCAGCTGGTGCCTGGCCTTGCACATTCCCAGAGCGGGCACCTCATCAACATTTGCCAAATGACTAGATTCTCTCCAGTGACCTGGGCAACTGCAAACCATGGGCACGTGCACTGTGCCCAGAGAAGTCTGAAGTTCACAGGGAAGGTGATGGCTGAGACAATAAAAATACCAATACTTGAGCCTGTTATCTTAGGTTTTTTGGTTGCAGACTTGGTGAGGTATGTGAGAGATTATTCACTACTGATCTGATAGTCAAAGTCTTCAAAATGCCTGAAAAATAAGCATTCAATTCAAGTCGACAAATATTTGCTAAGCTCCCAATTGGTGTAGGACATTCAAATTTAATGGGGGCAAGGAGACAAACTGTCTGCAACCTCAGAGAGAAGACGGCATGAGGCAGAGGTGAAAAGGAGGTCGTATTGTTCTAAGTCACTTTACACCTGTGAGGCGGCTTCATCTGCTAGGATGGCGCCTGAGTGCTAGCAGCAAACACTGCTCACAAACGCATCCCTCACCCCTACCTGCCCTGGCTCTCTGCGTAACACTGAGGCTGCTGAGCACTAATGGCCTTGGAATGTTTGCCAGTGCCCAGCAAAACGGCCTTGGCATCAAGGAGACAGATGTTTGTCAGGGAACAGCACGGCCTTGGTGCCCGTGGCACACAGCAGCTCTGTGAATGCTGGGAGAGTGGCTGCAGCGATTACTCTCCGTCAGTGCTAATCAATTTCACACCCTCTTCAATGCTGATAATAGATAATCTTTTGGGAAGCAGGCCAAGTTTCCTAACAGCTATGTGCAAACTGCTCCCTGACACCCAGCCACTTACTAGGTCTCCCTCAAAAAAAGTCTAAGCTGCACCTCAAATAAAGCATCTGATGGTGCCAACCCTCTCTTCTGCTAGGCGACTCCTTCTGGCAAGGAGGACGCTCTCAGGAAAAGGACTGCTTACTAAAAAGGCTTACTAAAAGGCTTACTAAAAAATTACACAAGAATTCCAAAGGAAGCTAGGAAATTCTAGCAGCAGCAGCGGCGGGAGCTTCTACTTACTGAGCAAAGTACTTTCTATACTTTATGCTTAGTCTTCATAATAACCTTTAACGCGAGGTGTTTTGTTTTTATTTTTTGAGACAGGGTCTCGCTCTGTCACCCAGGCTGGAGTGCAGTGGCACAATCTCGGCTTGTTGCAACCCTTACCTCTCAGGCTCAAGTGACTCTCGTGCCTCAGCCTCCCGAGTAACTGGGATTACACGCGTGCGCCATCATGCCCAGCTAATTTTTGTATTTTTAGTAGAAATGGGGGTTTTGCTTTGTCGGCCAGGCTGGTCTCAAATTTCTGACCTCAAGTGATCTGCCCGCCTTGGCCTCCCAAAATTTTTGGCCTACCCTAAAAAGGTAGGGATGTCTGGCCTCCCAAAGTTCAGGTGTGAGCCATTGTGTCTGGCCCAAAAGGGAGGTGTTTTTATTCTAATTTTACAGATGAGAAAACAAAGCTTAGGAAGGTCACCTCGATTATCCAAAATCTCAGAGCTAGAAGTGGCAAGATTACCTTTTCTACTAGACCGTTGCACCTCTATCTAGAAGACCAGTCAGTCACTGACCAACCTATCACTGCGCTTTTAATTCATTCCATTGTCCAAAAATGGCAGAGTTACCAAACGTTGTTTAACTTAACCTGAGGGAATGAGGGAAAACATGAAGCTTGAGGGGTTGGATCACCTTGGCTAGTATCACTTTATAGGCCAGAAACTGAGGCTACATGAGGCATAGTGACAAGCAGTGATTTAAAGGTGGTGCTTGCTCTTAAATCCTAGGTCCCCTGACTCCCAGGTCTTCTCTTTGCCACCCCTCAAAACCTCCCTAGCAGATAACATCGGGGATTCTGTCAGGGCTGGAGTTCTAACTGTCTCATGGCTTTTTCCTTACAAAAGTCCAGGGAATTTCAAGTTGTTTCTAATTATCATTCAGATAAAGAGAAGGAGTACATTATTCCCACAATTTAACAACCACTGAGTGTCCTTCACGTCCAAGTTACTGTATAGGGTAGAAAAGATGGAAACGGAAAGTTTAATTAAAGAACAAAGGGGTTGGGGTGAATTGGAATGAAAGAATTGTGGTGGAACATGCTAATATCTAAAGTGCAGCCTCAGAATTTAGAGTCTCTGCCTTTTATCTTGCAGTAGTATCACTGTATAAAAGAAGAAAGCCCCAGTTAATCAATTCAATCAATCCGCAAACTTCTGAGGACTTACTCAGTTTAGGGATCATAGGGAAATCACAAGAATGAAAAGCACAGCTACCTATCTGCTGGTGTTCATGAATGATACTAGCCAAGGTGATCCAACCCCTCAAGCTTCATGTTTTCCCTCATTCCCTCAGGTTAAGTTAAACAACCTTTGGTAACTCTGACATTTTTGGACGATGGAATGAATTAAAAGCGCAGTGATAGGTTGGTCAGTGACTGACTGGTCTTCTAGATAGAGGTGCAGCAGTCTAGTAGAAAAGGTAATCTTGCCACATTTTATGAAAGGGAAGAGGTGGATAAGAAGTGGCAAAGAGAAACAGGACAGATAACAAGGTCACTGTCTCCCCACATCCCCACAGCCCTAGTCTCTCACTCTGGCCTGAGGCATGCCCCGAGGGAAAATGCTGGTGTAATTCCCAGTGCAACACGGTAGCCTTAGCTGGATGATCCCAACACGGGAAGGTGGGGAGGGCTATACTAAAATCAGTCCTTCCACCAGTGAAGTTCAAAAGCCTCAAGTGTATCTTTAAGAAAAGACTGAAAAGGATGGAGTGATGCAGCAAAACAAGATCACAAGGAAAATGAGGTCTCCTGTAGACTTGGAAAAAAGTAAGCCAGGCGTCATTTTATAATGTGACTGAAGACTTGAGAAGTGTCTTGTAGGGGAGCGAATACAAATTGGACATTAAACAGTGATAGGAAAACTTACCCTGATTAAGGAATACAGATGGAAAGCTACAGTGGCCAGAGATGGTGGAGAACAAAACGGAAGGAGGTGAAAAACACAGAGGGTGGGATAACACCATAGTAAGCACAGCCCCTCCAGAAAAAACATCCAGCAGGTGTCACTTCTCTTAGCAACAATCAACATGAGAAAACAAGGGTCAGCCCTTCAGAACCTGCGGTTTGGCTTGGCTGCAATGCATCTGAGCTTCCGTTCTCTAGGTCTCCAGTTTTCCATCTGTAAATGGGGTAACTGGATTCCAGGACCATTCAGTTTCCTTCCAGCTCCTCTACGCTGTGATCACCCTTCCTCAGCATGCCTCCTTCAGGATTTCAGAAGCCAGCAAGTGTGAGTACTAAGACATGCTCTGCCAACATGGTACCAGGTCACAGCCTTGTACTTTGGCCAGATTTTCGAAGAGAAGCTCTTGTCAAGGGTGCCTGTGCTGTCCACCCAGACTCCCAGGTCAGACCTGGATGGACGCTACACATACTTCTTCCTGAAAGGGTGTCATTCGTGTCAGAAGAGCAGTCGTAACCACTTGGCAGACCATCATCTGCTCTACTTCTATAACATGTTAGATGGCACTGCTGCCCTTACCTATCCTGTGGGGTGATGGGAGGAACACAAGGGACCCAAACGGAGGGCAAGTCAATAGCTGGCAAAAGTGAGGCAGGGATACATACGTGTTTTTCCCCTTCAATCTTCTTGTCCGCCACCTGCATTGCACCCAGATATTTAAAATGCAACTCCATTAGTCTGTCAACCTGAAAGAGAGATTTCACAGGCTTGAGTGAGAAGGAAAGACAACGCACAGCAAGAGAACAGTGGCACTCCTATTCATCTCACTGTCGCTCCCTTACAAAGGGAGACCCGCTCTGGCACTCCTTACAGCGGATGAGAGAAGCTTTGCTTAGGGACACATCAGGAATGGATCAAAGGGCTGGGGCAGAACAAAGCAAACACTTAGGATGAATGCAGTTTGAACCAGGCCCATTCCCGAAAGGAGGCTATGCATTCTCAGCCCTTCTAGAACTCCCAGGAATGCACGTTGTTAAAAACAAATAAATAGATAAAAATTCAAGTCCCTTCTTGCCAAGAGAAGGAGCTTGAAGTTACACACTTGATATTCACTTAGAACTTTACAGAAATTTCTTTTTTCAAACTGAAACCTTTCATGTTCAGATTCTGCCCCAGAGCTGATCTTTTTTTAAAAATGCCTGAGTAAAATCTTTTTAGTTGCTTTTGAGTCAGAAGAGAGAGCAAGAAAACCTCCTTCAGCAACTTTAAAAAAGGCCCTGACTTTTGCTTGGCAATAACTTAAAAATCAGTTTTAAGTTGAGCAAAGTCATGCTTCAAACATGGCTTGAGGAACACTCAGTGGATTTGAAAAAGTTTTGTTTTTTCCCCAAGACTCCAAAATGACTGAAGAAACACTGTGAAGCCAGCCCAGACTCCTGACTTATCTTTTTATCAGGTTGGCACCACCACAGCCCTTGGCAACTCTGGCATTCATTTACCCAGGTGCTGATACTGATTGCTTAATAGGTGATGTTCCTGCAACATGCCATCAGACAGTCTGAGAAGACTGTGGTCAAACCTTCTTTAGCCAACACTGATGACCCTAAGACCTTAATGTTGCAGCTTATAAAGTATTTTCATGACCATTATTTCCTTAAACCTTAAAAAAAACCTGACAAGGTGTGCAGGGAAGACAGGTAGCAAACCCCATTTCAAAGATGAGGAAACCGAAGCACAGATGTTAACTGATGTCACTAGGGTGACGTGACTACTAAGATCTCCGTGTCCTAACCTGATGACCTCTTCATCATGCTATACTCCTGGTGAGGGTAGAAAAAATGGTCAGAGATAGCTCAAAGAGACAGTCTTAAACCTTTCTTGGGTAAGTTACATAATGTCTCTAAGCTTCAACTGCTTTGCCTGTCAATGCAAATAATAACTATACAAGGATAAATAAACCACAGTGTTGTAACAATATATGCAACGATGAAAGTCATCTTCTCTATTATCCAATCCATAGTAGTCACTCAATAAATGGTAGCTCTTATTACTGTTAAAAATCCTATCGTCTGGCATACTAAAGATATAAAATATCCATCTAATCTCATGTCACTGTGTTCCCAGCTTCCATAGCCCAATCCATCTAATGTCATGTAATTGTGTTCCCAGCTTCCATAGCCCGAACCATCTAATCTCATGTAATTGTGTTCCCAGCTTCCATAGCCCGATCCATCTAATCTCATGTAACTGTGTTCCCAGCTTCCATAGCCCGATCCATCTAATCTCATGTAATTGGGTTCCCAGCTTCCATAGCCCAATCCATCTAATTTCATGTAATTGAGTTCCCAGCTTCCATAGCCCATTTAGGGCAGGCTCTACCATTTCCTTATCATTATCTTCATTTTATTACCACCACCTTAGTAAGACCTTATCTAATTCACCTCCCACTGACCCTTCAAGATGAGTATTGATGTCCCCATGTTGAAGCTGGTGAAACTGAGGTTCAGAGTGGCACACATCTCAAAAGCAGCGAAAACAGGTTCAAATCTCAAGTCTGTATCCAAAGCCAATGCTCTTAATCACTTTGCTATGCTGTGCAGCAGCCCTCAACAAAAATCCTAGTCTAATCCACGCTCTTTGGGTCTAAAAATCCCCTCAAGTACTAGTGGTATCATCCTCAGGTGTTACTACTCCCAGGAGAATGCATTTGGAGATGAAAAGCAGAATAACCAGAAGAGCCTTTGACACGCAAAGCAACAGGGCCCAGGTGCCAGAAAAGAGAATTTTAGGGTAGGACCACTCAACCCAGTATCCCTCAGATCACATCAGGTAAAGAGCCTTTCTATCAGTCCCGGTCCCAGCTTTACAGTCCAACAGTCACCCACCTTCTCACTGTCATTTTCAGTGAATTTATTCAGAAGCCGGGTCCGCTGCTGCCCTCTCAGGTTCCGCAGGAGGGAAGCCAGGATCGAACAGACATGCTCTGGGTTGGGAAAGAGAAAAGAGAACATGCTGAGATCAGAGCAGTAATTATTACCTCTCTTCAAGCCTCGTCTGGTTCTATTGAGGGCAGAATAAGTAGGCCTTTCTGACTGCTGCTATTGATTAATAAGACAAGAACCTAAATTGTGTCACTAAAAAACCGAACCAATCTTCACATTGCACAAAAAACATATTCAAAAGAGATGAGATCCTCAAGGACAACTTGAGTAAGTGAATCAAAACTAAGTTAGAATTCCTTTTCTGTCTGGAATTAATTGATTTTTATTGTCCACAACAGAATCTCAAACTAATCCCACCTTTACAGAAATAACCTGTGAATAGAATATGAACACCAGCCATGGCATGAACAAATAATGGAGATAAGACATGCTGTATCGAATTCTCAAATTACCTTATAACTTTCCCAAGTAAACAGCCTGGAATTAAATATGAAATATGATAGGGACCCAGTGCTATCACTTACATTCTGGTGCAGCTAACATCCCCGCTTCAAGTTTAAAGGTGGCTGTACTGTAAGCACTTCAAAACAGTTAACAGGGCTTTCTGAGTTCAACAACCCAGCGGCTTCTATTATGAAATACTATTCTTCTACTCTTGGAAGAAGAGGGTAATTCAAGGGTATATTATAGGCTTCAGGTGAAAGAGATTCTTTTCTTTAAAAAGAACTTTCAAAAAATCAAGAATAATGACCTTGAAAAGCAGGTGACAAAAGTCTACTCGTGGAGAAATGGCAGAACAAAGTTTATTTTGAAATAAAATGCTCACAGTGTGAACAACAAACAGTTTATTTGAAAACTGATGAGCATCTTCCTATGCCAGTTACCTTGGATTCCCAAGAATGTCATCTGACTACTGAGGCCACAAGGAAGCATTCTTACTTCTCTGATTATAGCACGGATATAATTTTGTGCCAGTGTGTTTTTCTTCACTTAATAAGCATTCCCCATCCCCTCGTTTCCCTAATTTCTTAATGTTGGAGTTATTCAGTCCTTAGATTTCTATTTTCTATATATATTCACTTCCCTGGTAATCGCATCTTGTCCTATGGCTTTGAAAACCATTACATGCTGACAACTCACAAATTTGAACCTATAGGTCAGTCCTGTCCTCTGAATGCTGACTCATATATTCAGCTGTCTACCTGCCCTCTCCACTTGGCTGCCTAACATCCTATCAACTTTTTTTCCTTAATTTTTATTTTGAGACAGATTCTGTCACCCAGGCTGGAGTGCAGCGGCACGATCAGGGCTCACTGCAGCCTCAACCTCTAAGGCTCAATCAATCCTTCTGCCTCAGCCTCCTGAGTAGCTGGGATTACAGGTGCACAACACCATGTCTGGCTAATTTTGTATTTTCTGCAGAGATGGGGTTTAGCCATGTTACCCAGGTTGGTGTTGAACTCCTGGCCTCAAGCAATCCACCTGCCTTGGCCTTCCAAAGTGCTGGGATTACAGGTGTGAGCCACTGTGCCTGGCTGGTTCTTTTAAACTTAACGTCCAAACACAAGCTCCTGATCTTCCTCCCTAAACCTGTTTCCCATAGTTGTTTCCATCTAACTAATGGCAACCAGAATCTCCAGTTTCTCCAGCCAAAACCAGTGAAAATGCCTTTGATTCTCTTCTTTCTCACATCCCACGAGAAACCTCATCAGCTTTACCTTCAAATCATATCCAGTATCCCACCTCTTCTGACTACTACCACCACTGCTACTACATTACCCTCATTCACATCACCACCATTTCTTGCTTGGAATAGTCAATAGCCTACTAGTAAGTCCCTCTCCTTCCACCCTTGTCCCCTTTGGCCTAATCTCCATAGAGCAGCCAGCATGATTCCTTAGGTTAACACCTAACGTCAGGTCTGTTTAAAACACTCCAGTGACTCCCCAACTCAGACTAAATGCTGCTTCTAACGTCAGGCTGTTCCTGCCTCGGGGCTTCTGCACTTGCTGTTTCCTCCGCCTGAAATGTTCCGCGGCAGATTATCTGCATGACTTACTCTTTAAATCTGGTTTTACTCCACTGTCATCCTCTCAGCGAGGCTTTCCTTTGACCACCCTATTGAAAAATGCAATGCCTCACATGGCTATTCTCAAGTCTTATCTGCTTTATTTTTCTCTTCGTCATGTGTTACCTTCCAAAATACTGTATTTTGTTTATTTGTTTTGTTCACCATCTCCCTTCAATTAGAATACAAATTCCCTGAAGGCAGATATTTTAAGTCTGCTCTGTTCATTGCCATATCCCCGGTTCTAAAACAATGTCTGGCACATGGTAGGTGTTTTGGGAATACTTGCTGAATGAATGGGAAGAAAGCAGGCTATCGATATAAAAGTTTTCAGTGGTGGAGGTGGGCATGGGGGCAAACAGGCCACTTTTGAATTCTGGATATGTTTCAAATGCCTTCAAATACTTTTGCACTTTTATATATAATGCCTAGCCCAAATTCAGAGCAATACTACCTTTGCATTGCTAATATGCTTTCAAATTGTTCAGTTACAAGATGGTTCTTAAAGAGTTTTTGTACGTGGGAGCAGGTAAACAGCTTTTTCTGAGGGCGCCATCAATTTCAATAACATATTTCTAATTGGTAGAATCCATTTTTTTAGGTATTGAAAATATAACATTTTTCTTAAAATATGCTGTGGACAGAGGTACTATATACCTTCTCAAGACCCCAGGCTCCCCCAGTATCTTCCTTTCAACTTTTATGTAAAGCTGGGATTGAGGTGGTGTAACCTCCGTCTGCCGTAGTCACTCACTGGGGTGGGATGAGGGTAGAAAGTAGTGGAGAGAACGGGCCCTGCCTTCACAGGAAGACAAAAAACCCCATGAACCCAGGGTAAGGATGGCGAGCTAACAGAGCTCAGCTCGGGGTGAGAAAGTAGGATAAGAAAGGAACGTCTGTGAAGATGCACTTCAGGGAAAGTGCTCTGACCTTTGTGTATGCCAACGAGAAAAGGTTAGGGGCAGAAAGAATGAGGGACAGAATCAACTCTGTAACCTTGTGCCAACCAAGTTGGAAGTAGCTGTGATCTCTTCAGCTGGTGAACAGATATGGGACAGGCCATAATAAATGCAGTGAATTCTAACAAGATCAGTTCTAAAACTTTGGAATTACTTAGTATGACAGCTGGTGACAACATCCTGGTATTATATATATGACAATCTGACAACCACAGAGGAAGAAAAAAAAAATCAGAGCCAAAGTTCTCATCGATTATTTGAGCCAAATTTCTCATTGTATGATGGAAAAACCGAGGCCAGAGAGAAGTGACTTGTCCACAGAGCTAATTGGTGGAAGAGGCAGAACTCAAACTTCAGATTACTCCCTCATCCACTGACCAGTTTACCTCTGTGCCTAGCAAGTGCTGAGTGTTCAGGGCCATAAACAAACAACACACCCTCCCTAACCTGAAGAAGCTCCTCATTTAGTGAAGAAAACAAAACAATTATAGCACTGTGTAACAAGTTCCATTACTGAGGGAGGCAAACAGGACGTGGGCAACATAGAGGAGGGACAACTGACTTCCAAGGGTTCCTACTGGACATAACCAACAACTGAAAATCTTAAAAAACAAAGAAGAGCCATAGCCAACAACAAGGCAGAGAAAAGGAGAGAACATTCCAGGCAGAAGGAACAATATATGCAAAAGTCAGTATGAATGGACTGCCATGTCCATGTGGGAGAGGGGAGGCCAGTGAGGTGGGCAAAGGCTGACCATGGAGAACAGGGGCAAGGGCCTACCAGTGAATTTTAAGCTGGGGAGAGACAGCATTGGATCTGAGTTTACACCAATCTCCTCAGCAGCCACAGTCCTTTCAGAGATCAAGATCAAGAAAATGTTTCTCTTTCCTGATAAATTTTTTGTATTTCCTTATCAATGTTCCTTCTTTGCCTGGGCTATTAGGAAGCTCAAAGATGAATTTACACACAACCACAGAAAGCAATTTCTTTTACTGTTTTGTTGTTACTGATTCCCTTCACCCCCTACCAATGGAGTTTAAAATAAAAGCAATGGATGTATGAGGTAAAAATCAAACTACATGAAAAGGTACAACGTGTACTTGATATTTATTGAGCATCTATACTAATATATTTCTTTTCCCATATTCCTTCCACGAACCCATTCTTCTCTCCCAAGAAAAACTACAAGGTACCTTGTGTACATTTTCAGGGGGAAAATTTTGCATTTCATATATCTAAATATTCCCTAATATATATTTCCATATCGGCACCCACACTTCATTTTTTAAAAATGGCTATCTAGAATTCCACTGAGCTTATTTATCACAATTTTAACTAGCGCCCCATTCATGGGTATTTTAGGTAGTTTCCAGTTTTGCGTTATTTTATTCTTGCTATTAGAAGCAATGCTGCAATGAGTATACAAGCCCACATATTTTGACTTACTTTTGCACAAATATTCTTAAAACATATTCCTAGTAGTGGAATTAAAGCATCAAAAGAAATTTACACATGAAATGTTGAAAGACACTGACAAACTGTCTTCCAAAATGGCTGTACTAATGACATACCCACTATTAGTATATATATGAGCATCTGTCTTCTCATATCCTCACTCAGATTGCATATTATCCAACTTAGTAATTGTGACAGCCCAGTAGGTGAAAAATGAGATCTTCTTTTGATTAGCATGTTTTTGTTCTTGTTACGAATGAGGTTAAACATCTTTTCCTATGTGTATTAGGGTTCTCCAGAGAAACAGAATAGGAAATATAAAAATGTACAGGAAAAGATTTATTATGAGGGATGGGCTTGTGCAATTATGGAGACTGAGAAGGCCCGTGATCTGTTATCTGCAGGTTGAAGGCCCAGGAAAGCCAATGGAGTAGTACCAACCCAAGCCCAAAGGAATAATGTTTTGCCAACGATTTGGGTATCCCACAGCCCAGTCAACTTAACATAAAATTAACCATCACACTATGTTTACTGGCCACTTGTACTGCTTTTTCTTGAACTGCCTGCCCTTATCCTTTGCTCAATTTTGACTTCTATGAACTCTTTATAAATTAAGCATATTACCCTTTTCCAAATATGTTGCAAATAGGTTCCCTAATTTAACATTTGTGTTTTGACAAATTCTTATTCAAAGCTAAGATTTAGTGCCACCATATTGTTTTGGTGAAAGCTCCTTCTAATTCCTATTTGAACGTAAGTAGGGTATAATAATAACTGTCATCATTGTTACTGTTTATCTATGCCAGTAGGCTTGAGTCTGTACACAATTTTTTCACTGAATCCTCAAAACTAAGCTGTGGAAAAGGTACTATCCACATCTCCATTTTATAAATGTGGAACCCATGGCTCGGTGAGATTAACGGACTTAAGGTCATGTGCTTGAGTAGGTGGCTGGATCTTAGATCTGAATCTAAGTCGCCTGATTCCAAACTGTAAGCTTTTCCTACCATGTTATGCTTCCCACATATAAAAGGCAATCATCAATGCTATTAAAGAAGGAAGGTAAATGAGACCATGCAAAGCCTGAAAATACGCCTCATATTTGGGCTCACTGTGCCCAAAAGACAGACACTATGTAAATGTGGATTAAAAAATTAACAGTTTTAACAAGAGTAAAATGAAGTAAAAGGCCATATGGAGTAAGACATGAATAACAACCCTCTTTCTCTATTTTACAGAATTAGTCTTTGCGGAAGCAATTTCCACCACAGTCTAAATAAAGAAGAGACTTTGAGTTTCAGGCAGTTCCACAAAAATACTGAACCAGAACTTCTCAATAATTTTCCCTTTTAATCTTGCTGATTAAGATGGATGAGAAAGAGTTGCAAGAGAATGTTCTTTATATACCTCAACAAGATGGGGGAGGGAGGGCTGGGTGCTGGTGGCACAGAGAGGGTATCAGAAGCTGTAATTTTCAAAGAGAAAAATGTAATAAATAGAATAACCATCTTCTTTGGCAGCACATGACACTGGCATGCATTTCCACGGCTCACCACAGTCTGGAGCAAGGTATACCATGATCAACTGCAATGGTATACTAAGAATAAATGATATTTACCTATTTGGGATTTTAAGTGAAGGATAGGTTGCCAATTGATGCCTATGCCCTTCTACCTCTCTATCTGGATGCTGAGGCACGCCATAGGCTACTGGTGCCGGCCAGATAGGGAAACACTTCAGCCATCCCAAATTTACACATATATACACACACCGAGTTTCATTAGCTACTAATAAATGTAGCTTCCCTAAGAACAGATTTCAGCCCAAGGTGGTGTCAATTTTTCATGCACCAAGGAGACGGGGAGAGCTGCTGGCACAGGGAGCAGGCAAGATAACAGGTTTATCTGCTGGCCAACACTGCTCAGCTGCTCCGTCATTTCGACAGGATAAAATGGAGGTGAAGGATGGTTATGGAGCTGTCAATGCAGATGGGGTGGATGTGGTAGTTCCCACTGCAGAGAACAGCCTCTAAGGGAGGGCCCAGGAAGTGCAGAAAACACACATGCATGTACACACGCACACACACACACAGAAGCAACAAGGCTCCACCAAGGGGAAGGCCAGGCAAATCTACATTTTCAAATCACTAGGCAGAGAGGTAGGTAGCCTGGCATCTAGGTGGAGCGTTACAGAGCCAGGATTGAAATTGTGCCAGTGAGAGTCCCTGCCTGCTGGGCTCCCTGCTCAACAGTCAGACAACTAGCTGCCTCAGACAGACACTAACTACTGAAACCGCCTGGAGGGAGGCTCTGGCCCACCCTTCCCCCAGCTCAGCTCTCTTCAGGGCTTCTCAAGGATGATTAGCAAAGGGTTAGATGCCTGTTTCTATGTGAGAGGGCTAAAAGTTTGATTTTCCAGGGGGCAGTTCGAGTTTTATAATTTTCAGAGCTGGAAGGAGGGCTAGAAATCTCTGATCTGATTCTGGGGTTCTGAGTATGGAAACAATAGCCCTGAGAAGGAATGTGATTTGCCTCAGGTCCAAAGTACCTTTGTGGGCCACTGGAATCTAAATCTGCTTTTCCCTCCAAATCATGACAGACATTTGAGACTGATACACACGGAGGCATGCTACCCTCCCGAAACACATACACAAATGTAACATTTTCCATGGAGTTTCAGAGCATTCACATCTCTTAGTGATGGCTCTTTAGTTAAGAACGCTTGATCTAGTACACCCAAATCAGAGGTCTTTCCAGAACAGCACAGACTGTGGCAGTCACTCCAACCAGCCATTTATAGTGTGCACCATTTTTGTGAAGAATGGGATGGACTGGCATTTCTCATCCCTACTCTCAAAAAAAAAAAAAAAGTATGGTCCACATTCCAGCAGGTGTTTGGTTAACATTACCCATTCTCTATGAGGAGAGCTATTTATCCATAGATGGGCCTGCTTATGAGTAGGCCTATTATGGTTCCATTGCTGAAAAAGACACACAGGTACATGGAGAACACTAACTCCTGGGATCTGCTCCAGACATGCCAACAAGTGAATTAATTAACCTTATGTGGGGATTTAGGATCACAGGGACATGGATTCAAATCTTGTCTCTGGCACTCACTAGCTGGTTAAGCCACAAGCATGGAGCTTAGCCTCTGAGCCTCAGTCTTCTTATTTGTAAGCTGGGGCTGTCCCTCCCATCTATTAAACCCATTCTTTCAAATGAGGTATGTGTATAGTAGGCACTCAACAGACAGCAGTTTGAGATCTGTTGTACTGAAAAAGAGAATCACAAGGGATTCGCTCACCTACGCACCTGTCCTAGATCACCAGGTAACTCCTTCCATACTGCAACCTGATCACATGTCTGCCACTGAACATGTTTCAGTCAGCCCTGGTCATCCTGACTGGCTCCTGCTGAGAAAAACAGAAACCTAGATTGCTTGGCTCTCTCAGCTGGTAGGGCTATTTTCTCTAACTCAAGATTTGTTCTAACCCTAAAATGGAGCAAGGCCAACTTCGCTCAGACTCTCTAATCCCACAATAAATTAAAATAAAGTGCTTGTGTGTCGCTGGCTATAAAGCCAAATAATACAAGATTCTGGGAGACCTGCAGACAGTGCTAAGGTGGGTAGTGACTATTTACTAGTAAGTTGAAGGACACAGCACATCTAAGTAGAGATGGTCCTACCTTTTAATAAAAAGAAATGTACTTGGCCATGATAATCATTTGCCTTTTGGTCTTCCTGCAAGAACTGAAAATACAATGTGTGATCTGTAAAGAAATGAAGATTAGCTTCTCCTTCTAGAGTTTCATAATCTTATGATAATTATAGGGCATGAAGTGGTACGTCACCAGCCCTCCCTTTTCTCAAAATTCTGAGTACCAACTATGTGCCAGGCAATGTAGCAAGTACTAAGACGACAGTGATGAAAGCTAGCCCACTCTAGAGAAGCTCATCATTTTATGATTAACGCTAAGAAATAAACAACTACAGCTGGGTGCGGTCATTCATGACTGTAATCCCAGCACTTTGGGAGGCCGAGGCGGGCAGATCACAAGGTTAGGAGATCGAGACCACCCGGGCTAACATGGTAAAACCCCGTCACTACTAAAAAATACAAAAAATTAGCTGGGCGTGGTGGCGGGCACCTGTAGTCCCAGCTATTCAGGAGGCTGAGGCAGGAGAATGGCGTGAACCCAGGAGGTGGAGCTTACAGTGAGCCGAGATCGCACCACTGCACTCCAGTCTGGGTGTCAGAGCAGGACTCTATCTCAAAAAAAAAAAAAAAAGAAAAGAAAAAGAAAAAAGAAATAAACAATTACAATAGAGTACACAATTAACTGGCATGCATGGAAAATACTCAGCGCATATGTGAAGGACCCCTAATTCAGCTGGGGTAGGAAAGAGGAGGGCCTGAGTAGGAGTGGCTACACACTGGAAGTTAAGAGGTCAGAACTGAGACAGAAGAAAAACATTTTCCTCCAAGACTCTGGGAGAGATGCAGGGCTGGATGTATTACACTGGCAGGTGAATGGCTATGCGCTAGCAGCTTCATGTTTTCAGTGGTAAAGTTGGTGGACAGAAACCAGAATTTGGGGTTCTATGGGCACACTTAGTTTTTGAAGCCTAGAACTGGGCCACATTCTTGGAGTCAGGGATAAATGGAATACAGATGGTTCCTGATTTATGATGGCTTGACTTATTTTTTGTCTTTACGATGGTGCAAATGCAATATGCACTCAGTAGAAACCGTACATCAAGTACCCATGCAACCATTCTTTCACTTTCAGTACAATATTCAATATATTATGTGATACAGTCAACACTTTTTTAAAAAAATAAAATAGGTTTTGTGTTAAATGATTTTGCCCAGCTGTAGGCTAATGTAAGGGTTCTGTGCATGTTTAAGGTAGGTGAGGCTGAGCTATGATGTTTGGTAGGTTAGGTATGTTAAATGCATTTCTGACTTACCATATTTTCAACTCATGATGGGTTTTTTGGGACATAACCCCATGGTACGTTGAGGAGCATGAGTCCTATGTATATTAACAAGTCTCCCAAGGTGGAAGTGGGAGAATAGAAGGAAAAAAGTGACAAGGTGCACAGTAACAATCCCTAAATTTGACTTTCTCAACCTTCTGTACCAAGAGAGGTGCCTCCAGATTCTAGAGGGGTCCTGCTGGAACCTCTGTTGAAGTTTTAAAATGGCAGGGCAGGGGAAGGCTCCGTTCACCAGAAAGGAAAAGGAGGCCCTAGCAAGCGGAGCTGGGTCACAGGAGGAGGCTTTTAGGAATCTTTGGCACAGGACTCGTTCATTTACTGACAAAATAGGTATAAGAATCCTACAATGTGTTAAGATTCATGACAGAAAATGCTATGTGAGATGATGGATATGTTAATTTGCTTGATTGTGGTCATCGTTTTATAATATATACCATTCATATATCAAAACAAAAAGTGGTATACCTTAAATATACAAATTTTTCACATGTCAGTCTCAATAAAGCTGTTAAAATTTAAAAAAAAAATTACAGTTGGCTCACGCTTGTAATCCCAGCACTTTGGGAGGTCAAGGCTGGTTAGATTGCTTGAGCCTAGGAGTTTGAGACCAGCCTAGGCAACACAGTGAAACTCTGTCTCCTACTAAAAATACCAAAATTAGCTGGGCATGGTGGTACGCTCCTGTGATCCCAACTACTTGGGGGGCTAAAGTGGGAGGATCATGTGAGCCCAGGAGGTCAAGGCTGCAATGAGCCATGATCGCACTACTGCACTCCAGCCTGGGT